>NC_000016.10:66683712-66986742 GCF_000001405.40 Homo sapiens | reverse complement strand
CCAGGAGTTCAAGGCCAGCCTGGACAACATAGTGAGACCCTGTCTTTACAAAAAATTAAAAAGTCAGCCAGATGTGCTGGTACATGCCTGCAGACCCAGCTACTTGGGAGGCTGAGGCAGCAGGATCAATTGAGCCCAGGCGGTCAAGACAGAGTAAGACTCTGTCTCTAACCAAAATACCCCGAAACAAAAAACAAAAAACAAGACCCACTTTTATTATTTATTTATTTTTTTGAGACAGAGTCTCACTCTGTCGCCCAGGCTGGAGTACAGTGGCGCCACCTCAGCTCACTGCAAGCTCTGCCTCCCAGTTTCAAGCAATTCTCTTGCCTCAGCCTCCTGAGTAGCTGGGACTACGGGCGCATGCCACCACGCCCAGATAATTTTTTGTATTTTTAGTAGAGACAGGGTTTCATCATGTTAGCCAGGATGGTCTCAATCTTCTGACCTCGTGATCCGCCTGCCTCGGCCTCCCAAAGTGTTGGGATTACAGGCAACAGCCACTGTGCCTGGCCTATTTATTTATTTTTGAGACAGGGTCTCACTCTGTTGCCCAGGCTGGAGTGCAGTGGCCCGATCTCGGCTCACTGCAACCTCTGCCTCCTGGGTTCAAGCGATTCTCCTGCTTCAGCCTCCCAAGTAGCTGGGACTACATGCCTGTGCCACCACCCCCAGCTAATTTTTGTATTTTTAGTAAAGACGGGGTTTCACTGTGTTGGCCAGTCTGGTCTTGAACGCCTGATCTCAAGTGATCCACCTGCCTCAGCCTCACAAAGTGCTGGGATTACAGGCGTGAGCCACCACGCCCGGCCACATATTTTCCATATTTATTTATGTATTTATTTTTTGAGATGGAGTTTCACTCATGTTGCCTAGGCCGGAGTGCAATAACATGATCTTGGCTCACTGCAGTCTCCACCTCTTGGGTTCAAGAAATTCTCCTGCCTCAGCCTCCTGAGTAGCTGGGAATTCAGGTGCTCACCTCCACAGCCAGCTAATTTTTCAATTTTTAGTAGCATGTTTACCACGTTGGCCAGGATAGTCTCAAACTCCTGACTTCAGGTGATCCACCTGACTCAGCCTCTCAAAGTGGTATTTTCCATATTTAAAAAAATGAACATTAGTTGAGGGTTCAGTCAGTGTGAGGTTTAAAGGTATAGGGATGGGAGGACAGGGTGGGCAGGACCAGGAAAGCAGGGACTACCAGCAGCTCCACCTGGCCTGGACCACATCTCTCTCTGTTGACTGCCTGCCTATCCTCACAGCCTCATTCTGCCAGATTCTCTTATAGGCTGTGGCCACAACAATAGGAGTATGGATATTAGGCTTTGGGAGGTGAGGAAGCTGCTTGTTTTGCTGCCCAGCATCTGACAAAGTTCAGAATGCACAGGACAAGCTGTCAGGCAGAGGACAGGGGAAGGGGGCAGTGGGGAAAACAGACAAGATTGTGAATCCACCTGCTAGGCCTAGGGGCCAGCCACACATAGATTCCCCCACTCAGCTATGCAGCTCCTTGGCCACATCTGTGTGGGCCTCAAGGACGAGTTCTGCCAACCACTGGCTCTACTCCTGCCACCTGTCCCTGGGGGGGCAACAACCTTTCACTCAGCCCATATGGGAAGCACTCGTGCCAGGCCAGATACCATGATGAGGTGCCCAGGATACATGTGTGCCCCATCTGATGCTCACATGGGGCACAGGGGATGTTGAGTGGGCAGCCACGTCAACCACGTAGTCCTGGTACAGTATCATCTTTTCTGAGAATCAGCCTTTTCTCAGAAAGCCTGGTTGTTAATTGCCTGAGTCTCTTAGCAGAGTTTTCATTCAGGTAGTCCTGGTACAGCATCATCTTTTCCAAGAATCAGTCTTTTCTCAGAAAGCCTGGGTGTTATTTGCCTGAGTCTCTTAGTAGAATTTTCTTAAGAACATTCCTATGTATCTTGGTTGAGTAAAGGGAAGGATGTCGTGCTGTGGAAAGAGCATTGATCTCTGAGTCTGACTGATGTAGGCCCCAACAGCCTGGGCTTGGTGGCTCACGCCTGTAATCCCAGCACTTTGGGAGGCCAAGGTGGTGGATCACCTGAGGTCAGCAGTTCAAGATCAGCCTGCCTAACATGGTGAAACCTCATCTCTACTAAAAATACAGAAATTAACTCGGTGTGGTAGCACATGCCTGTAATCCCAGCAACTTGGGAGGCTGAGGCAGGAGAATCATTTGAACCGGGGGGGTGGAGGATGCAGGTTGGGATCACACCACTACACTTCAGCCTGGATGACAGAACCAGACTCCATCTAAAAAAACAAAAAACAAAAAAAAACAAGATGTAGGCCCCAAGCTCACTTAGTCTCTTACCATCCATGTGTCCCAGAAGCCCTTTCTGAGCTTCATTTGTCCCATCTGTAAAACAGAGCTAACAACGACTAATTGTGAGGGTTGTTGTGAGGATTAAACAAATTGCTGTTGAGTGGGCGGGACTGCACGGGGCACACCACAGCGTGGTGGAGATTGTGATGTCTGTGTAATTCCCCATATCTGTGGCTCTTTTATTGCTTAAGGAGGAAAGTTGTAATTATAAAACATAGAATAATTTTTTCCTTTTTTAAAAACATTAACTTAAAGCAGCAATTTATAAAAGATTTAAAGCAAAAATTGACCAAGGCAATTTATAAAAGAGTGTGCATAAAGTGTATTATTGGGCCTGTAACCTGTAGAAATTTAATATATTTGCCAGTGACAACACAAAGGAGGTGGGTGGAAGTAAGCTGCATTGGGCTAACAAAATGAAAACAGTAAAATAACAATCATACAATGTATTTTCGGGTTTGTAACATTAATAGATGTAAAACATATAACAATAATACCACAAAAGGGTGAAAAGTGAATAGGGATATATAGGAATAATGTTTCTATATCTCACTGGAATGAAGCTAGTAGAGATAGGGCCAGGCACTGTGGCTCACACCTATAACCCCAACACTTTGGGAGGCCAAGGTGGGTGGATTGCTTGAGCCCAGGAGTTCAAGACCAGCCTTGGCAGCATGGTGAAACCTTGTCTGTACTAAAAATAGAAAAAACAATTAGCTGGGGTTGGTGGTGCACACTGTAGTCCCAGCTACTTGGAAGGCTGAGGTGGGAGGATCACCTGAGCCCAAGAGATGGAGGTGGCAGTGAGCCGAGATCATGCCACTGCACTCCAGCCTGGGCAACAGAGTGAGACCCTGTCTCAAAACAAAACAAAACAAAACAAAACAAAACAAAACACCTCTGAAGCTGATTCTCTTTAGGTAAAATGTATATGGTAAGCCCTAAAACAACCACTAAAAACAACGACAACAACAAAACTAAAAATATACAGTGATATTAATTATTAAAGAAATTTAAATACGTCACTAGAAAATATTTACTTAAAACAAAGAAAGCGGTAAAGGATAAATAGAAGACAAAAAAGACACGAGACACATGGAAAACAAGAAGTAAAATGCCAGCAGTAAATCCAACTATGTCAGGAATAACATTAAATGTGAGTGGATTAAACAATCCAGTCAAAAGGTAGAGACTGTTGGATTCGATTTTTTAAAAAATTTTATTTATTCATTTTTTGGAGACAAAGTCTTGGTCTGTCACGCAGGCTGGAAGTGCAGCGGCACGATCTTGGTTCACCACAACCTTCGCATCCTGGGTTCAAGTGATTCTCCTGCCTCAGCCTCCCGAGTAGCTGGGATTACAGGCATGTACTACCACGCCCAGCTAATTTTTTTTTTTTTTTGTATTTTTAGTAGGGATGGGGTTTCACCATATTGGCTAGGCTGGTCTTGAACTCCTGACCTTAAGTGATCCACCAGCCTTGGCCTCCCAAAGTGCTGGGATTACAGGTGTGAGCCACCACACTCAGCCCAGATTGGATTTATAAAAAAGTCCCCTATATGCTGTCTATAGGAGACAGACTTTAGAGTCAAAGATACAAATAAATGGAAAAGAAGAGACTGGGGAAAAGTATATCACGGAAACAGTAACCACAAGAAAGTTGGAGTGGCTACGCTAGTATCAGGCAATGTAGACTTTTAAAATATTACTAGAGATAAAGAAGGGTATTTTATAATGATAAACATGTCAATCTATCAGGAAGACATGCAATTATAAACATATATGTACCAGATAACAGAGCACTAAAATATATGAAGCAAAAAGTGACAGAAGTGGCCAGGCATGGTGGCTCATGTCTGTTATCCCAGCACTTTGAGACACGAAAGCAGGAGGATCACTTGAGCCCAGGAGTTTCAGGCCAGCCTGGGCCACATAGTGAGATCCTTTCTCTACAAAAAATAAAAGGAAATTAGCCGGGTGTGGTGGCACATGTCTGTGGTCCCACTTCAAGCAAAACAATCTTGAAAAGGAACAAAGTAGAAGAACTCACACGTCCCTACTTCAAAACTTATGAGGAAGAAATGCTATGAAGAGAGTGTGGTACTGGGCCGGGCATGGTGTCTCATGCCTGTAATCCCAGCACTTTGGGAGGCAGAGGCAGGCGGATCACGAGGTCAGGAGATCGAGACCATCCTGGCTAACACGGTGAAACCCCGTCTCTACTAAAAATACAAAAAAAAAAGAAAAAGAAAAAAGAAAGAAAAAAAGTAGCTGGGTATGGTGGTGGGTGCCTGTAGTCCCAGCTACTCCGGAGACTGAGGCAGGAGAATGGCGTGAACCTGGGAGGCGGAGCTTGCAGTGAGCTGAGATGGTGCCACTGCACTCCAGCCTGGGCAACAGAGTGAGACTCTGTCAAAAAAAAAAAAGAGAGAGTATGGTACTGGCATAAGACAGATATACAGAATTGAGAGTCCATAAATAAACCCATGTCTCTATGGTTAACTGATTTAATTAGTTTATTTATTTTCAGAGATGGAGTCTCACTATGTTGCCCAGGCTGGTCTTGAACTCCTGGGCTCAAATGACCCTCTTGCCTCGGCCTCCCGAAGTGCTAGGATTACAGGTGTGAGCCACCGTTCCTGGCCAAGGTGAACTGATTTTCAACAAGGGTGCCAAGACCATTCAATAAGGGAAAGAATAGTCTTTCCAACAAATGATGCTGGGAAAACTGGATCATGCCACATGCAAAAGAATAAAGTTGGCTCAGGTGCAGTGGCTCACACCTGTAATCCCAGCACATTGGGAGGATCGCTTGAGCCCAGAAGTTTAAGACCAGCCTGGGCAACAAAAAGTAAAAAAGATGAGCCAGGCATGGCGGCATGTGCGTGTAGTCCCAGCTACTGGGGAGGCTGAGGTGGGAGGATTGCTCGAGCCCAGGAGGTTGAGGCTGCAGTGAGCTATGATTGTGCCACTGCACTCTAGCCTGAGCAACAGGGCAAGATCTTGTCTCAAAAAAAAAAAAAAAAAAAAAAGAGAGACCCTTATATCACACCATGTACAAAAATTAACTCAATATGAATCAAAGTCCTAAATGATGTAAGAGCTAAAACTATAAAACTCTTAGAGGACATAGAGGTAAATCTTCATGGTTTACTGACATATTCTTAGATATGATACCAAAAGCATGAGTAACAACAACAAAAATAGGTAATTCAGACTTCATCAAAATGAAAAACTTTTGTGTTGCAAAGGCCACTATGGAAAAATGGAAAAGACAACCCACAGAATGGGAGAAAAGATTTGCAAATTATGTGTCTGATAAGGGACTTATATCTGGAATATATAAAGGTCTCTTACAATTCAACAACAAAAAGACAACTTAATTTTTTTAAATGGGCAGAGGATTTGAGTAAATCTTTCTCCCAGGAATATAAAAAGAGCCAAAAAGAACACGAAAAGATGCTCGACATCATTAGCCATCAGGGAAATGCAAATCAAACCAATATTAGACACTACTACTTCACACCTACTAGGATGGCTAGAATTAAAGAGTCAGATAATAAGGCCAGGCATGGTGGCTCATGCCAGTAATCACAGCACTTTGGGAGGCCAAGGCAGGTGGATCACTTGAGGTCAGGAGTTCGAGACCAGCCTGGCCAACATGGGGAAACCCCGTCTCTTCTAAAATTATAAAAATCAGCTGCGTGTGGTGGTGGGCGCCTGTAATCCCAGATACTTGCCAGGCTGATGCAGAAGAATTGCTTGAGCCTCGGAGGCGGAGGTTGCAGTCAGCCAAGACCGTGCCATTGCACTCCAGCCTGGGTGATAGAGCAAGACTCTATCTTAAAAAAAAAAAAAACTCAGACAATAAATTTTGACAAAAAAGTGAAGAAATCAAAACCCTTACAGATCGCTGGTGGGAATATAAACTGGTGTAGAAAACAGTGGTTTTAGAAAACAGTTTGGCAGTTCCTCAAATGATGAAACATAGAGTTACCATATAACCCAGCAATTCCACTCATAAGTGTACAGTTGACCCTTGAACAATGTGGGTGTTAGGGGCGTTGACCACCATGCAGTTGAAAATCTGCATGTAACTTTTGACACCCAATAAACTTTACTAATAGCATACTGTTGGCTGGAAGCCTTACTGATAACATAGTCATCGATTAACACTTTTTTTGTTTGTTTTTTATTTTTGACACCCAGGCTAGAATGCAGTGGCACGATCTCGGCTTCACTGTAATCTCCACCTCCCAGGTTCAAGCAATTCTTCTGCCTCAGCCTCCCAAGTAGCTGGGATTGCAGGTGCCCGCCACCATGCCAGGCTAATTTTTGTATTTTTGTTTCCCAGCTTTATTTTGCCATGTTGCCCAGGCTGGTCTTGAACTCCTGGCCTCAGCTGACCTGCCCACCTTGGCCTCTGACAAACTCCAGGAGCCACAGTCCAGGCCCAAAAGACAGAGGGGACTCATGAAGGCATCTGAGGGAGAGCAGGGCTGGCCCCTGTCATCTCCCTGCGGGCTGTCCAGCCCCAGTCTGAAGCCACTGCCTTGCAAAACCCCTCCTCTGGGCCTCCCTTGCTGGCCTAACTAGAATCCCAGTCCCCCCACCCAAGTCAGCCCACTAGACCCCAACTCCAGCACCTGGAAGGCCACCCTAGACACAAGGGCACATTCTGGAGGGGAAGGACTTGCAGTTTGAAGGCCAGTAAACTTGGGTGTGAGTCCTGCCTTTGTTCTCACTGTGTGGCCTCAGGCACGGTACTGCCCCTCTCTGATTCTAATTTCCTCATCTGTAAGGTGGGGTCCTCTCGGAACCCCAGAGGACGGCCCAGAGGCCTGCGGGAGAGGCCGGGTGTGAGTAAGCTTGAGCTCAGAGGAGAGCTCAGTGGGTGGCCGGGAGAAGCCTGGACCTCACCCCTACCCGCACCGCCAGCGATTGCCTTGTTTCCTGGGGTCCTGGTCAAGGTCTGAAGAGTGGGAAGGGGCCAGCTTGGGGGCAGCAGGGAGGGGCAACGTCACCCGAAGAGAGGCTCCAGTGGCAACGATGCCCCAAAGTGTGGGAGGTCTGGGGGTGATGGGAAGGAAGGCAGGCAGGCTAGGGCAGGGAAAGAAGGCCATGTGGGTGCCACTGCAAGAACCAGAGCTGGCGTTCCCCTGCCAAGTTCCTTCCTGTTCTTGGAATAGCCTTCCCGGAGCCTGGGCAGGCTGGACTGGGAACTGGGGTGGAGGCTGCGGGGGCGTGCAGAAGTGGAGATGGGGGGTGGCTAAAACCCAGGAGGTGGGGCTATAGACAGACTGGGGAGGAACTTGAACATGGCTTCCCTGAAGTCCCCAGGGAGGGACACAGACTCTATATGACACTCAACCTGCCATTCAGAGCCTCCCAGGGGTCCACCGACCAATTCTTTTGGGCAGCTACAGGCTCAGAAGTTATTTATTTACTTAGAGACAGAGTCTCACTCTGTTGCCCAGCCTGGAGTGTTGTGGCTCAATCAGCTCACTGTAACCTCGAACTCCTGGGCTCAAGCCATCCTCCTGCCTCACACTACTACAGGTGTGAGACACAACATCTGGCTAATTTTTAAAACTTTTTGTACAGATGGGGCCTTGCGATGTTGCCCAGGCTGGTCTTAAATTCCTGGCCTCAAGCGATCCTCCCACCTCGGCTTCCCAAAGTGCTGGGGTTACAGGTGTGAGCAACTGCCCCTAGTCCCAGAAGTTATTTTAAGGTGGAAGAGACTCATGCCAATATTATGATGCTCCCTGACATACCCCAATTCTTCCATGTTTGAGTTGTAGTCGAGGAGCCATATGATTTTTTTGGACATTGCGAGCAGAGTGTTTATACCTGTGCCAGGGAGCACTTATTTAGCACTGGCTGTGTGTCAAGCACGACTCTAGGTGCTTCATGGCTAATGATGTTTCAGTACTCACAGCCAGACCTGGGAAGGGAGTCACTAACCTTACTCTCATTTTACAGATGAGAAAACTGAGGAACAAAGAGGATACACAGCTTACTCAAAGATACACATCTGTGGTCGAGTGCAGTGGCTCATGCCTGTAATCCCAGCACTTTGGGAGGCCGAGGTGGGTGGATCACTTGGGGCCAAGAGTTAGAGACTAGCCTGGCCAACATGGTGAAACCCCGTCTCTACTAAAAACAAAAATTATCCAGGTGTGGTGGTGGGCGCCTGTAATCCCAGCTACTTGGGAGGCTGAGGCACAAGAATCATTTGAAGCCTGGAGACAGAGGTTGCAGTGAAGCAAGATCACACCAATGCACTCCGGCCTTGGTGACAGAGTGAGACTCTATCTCAACAAAAATAAAAAATAGAAATAAAATAAAGAGAAGATACACACCCAGTAAATGGTGGAACTCGTAGGAACCCTATCCGTGAGCGTGTGTGTGTGAGACTGTCGGGTTGTGTGAGTAACTAAGGTTGGCCTTGGGTAGATACTGGAAGCATCTGCTAGGACCTCATCCTGTGGCGGGGTCCAGGTGTGCACGTCTGATCCTGCAGCGCCCCCTGGTGCTCACACTCCTGCACTGTTCACTTGGCCCTTCCTGTGGCCCTTCCACTGGGAGGCTCCCGGGTCCACCAGTCCCTGTCCTGCAGGGCCACGCCTGTCTGAGTCTTTGGCTTGCTCCCTTCAGCTCTGCATGGCTGCTGGGTCCTAGGGCATGGAGGGGCCTTCAGGGAGCCTCAGGGAAGAGAGAATACAGAGGCATGAGGCCTGGAATCCCCTCTGCCTGGTAGGTCATATCCCCCGACCCCTGGGGCAGTACCAGACATTCTCCTCCCTCCCTGGGTGAAGGATGCCCTTGGCGGAGAGGGCTGGAGCTAGGACAGGGTCTGAGGCCTCAGCAGCCGGCTTGCCCACCCTCTCCAGGGCCTGCTGGTGTTGGCGATACCCAACCTGGTAACACCCCCCCGCTACACTCCCATGGCTGCCCTGTGGGGGCCACCATCAGGCCCAGAGGAAGAGGCCTCTTTGTACATCCAGTGTGGCCCACACCAGACCCCTGATTTCCGGGTCCACTCCTGCTTGCCTTAAGGCTGCCCTATCGGGGCTTCTTTTCCCCAACCTCTGTGTCTGGTCAGTCGCCCGGTCTTGTCTGCGGACTCTAAATCTAGAGCCCACCAGTGCCTCTCCATCCACCTGGCAGCCCACCCTGGTCCCCTCCCTGTTCTCCCTGCTCTCCCCCTCCTCTCCCCCCTCCCAGCCACCCTCCTCCATACAACAGGGCTTCCATGAGCGTCAAGTCCATGCCGACCCCTGTCGCAGCCCACAAGTCCTCTCACGTCTGCTCTTTGCTGACCTCTCCAGCCCTGCAGAGCCGCGATTCCTCCACACATTGCATCCTTCAGGCCTTTGCTGCTGTTGTTCCCTCTGCCAGGCACGCCCTTCCCCCGCTCCCCACCCTTCCAGTCTTCTACGCTGGTCTGCACGGTTGAGTAACCTCTGTTTATTCCTCGGGTCTCAGCTGAGATGTCCCTCCTTCCCTGTCTCCCAAGTCTGGGCTGGTCTACGTCTCTGTGTCCTCACAGCCCTTCGTGTCCCAGTTACACACTGTATTATTGGGGCCTGTTTTGTTTTGTTTTGTTTTTGAGACAAGGTCTCACTCTGTCACCCAGGCTGGAGTGCAGTGGCGTGATCTCGGCTCACTGCAACCTCTGCCTCCCGGGTTCATGTGATTCTCCTGGCTCAGCCTCTCTAGTAACTGGGACTACAGGTGCACACTAGCACGCCTGGCTGATTTCTGTATTTTTTAATACAGAGAAGGTTTCGCTATGTTGGCCAGGCTGGACTCGAACTCCTGACCTCAGGTGATCCACCCGCTTCGGCTTCCCAAAGTGCTGGGATTACAGGCGTGAGCCACCGTGCCCGGCCAGGGCCTACTTGTCAAGCTCTACCAGCTTGTGGGGATGAACTTCCCTGGTGGAAGGAAGTGGATGAGAATAGCAGGACTTCAGTGGCACGTGGAGAACTTGGACTTGTCTTCAGGGAGACAGGGAGTCACCAGGAGCTTTCGAGCAGGAGAATGATATGACTCAGAGCCCTTCTGGCTTTCTGTCTCTCCTTCCTCCCCAAAATGGACTTCCCAGAACAGAGCTGGTTCCAGTTGGAAATGAAAATGCTGGCCAGGCGCGGTGGCTCACGCCTGTAATCCCAGCACTTTGGGAGGCCGAGGTGGGTGGATCATCTGAAGTCAGGAGTTCAAGACCAGCCTGGCCAACATGGTGAAACCCTGTCTCTACTAAAAATACAAAAAAATTAGCTGGGCATGATGGTGGGCGCCTGTAATCCCAGCTACTCGGGAGGCTGATTCAGGAGAATTGCCTGGACCTGGGAGGTAGAGGTTTCAGTGGGCTGAGATCGTGTCATTGCACTCCAGCCTGGGCAACAAGAGTGAAACTCCATCTCAAAAAAACAAGACAGAAAGAAAGGAAGAAAGAAAAAAGAAAATGAAAATGCTTTTCACCCACCCATCAGCAGCCAGCAGCTCAGTCTGACTGAGGAAGGGCATTTGTGCGACTGGAGCTGGTAGGATGGCATAACGGGGGCAGGGAAGACTCTGGGATATGTATTGAAATCCAGGTGTTGGCTGGGCACAGTGGGACACACCTGCAATCCCAGTGTTTTGGAAGGCCGAGCCGGGAAGATCATTTGAGGCCAGGAGTTTGAGGCCAGTCTCGGCAACATGGTGATACCCTGTCCCTACAAAAACTAAAAAAATTATCCAGGCATGGCGACACTCACTTGCAGTCCCCGCTACTTGGGAGGCTGAGGGGGGAGAATCGCTTGATTGAGTTCGAGGCTGCAGTGAGTTCGAGGAGTTCAAGGCTGCAGAGAGCTACAATCGTGCCACTTCAGTCCAGCATGCACAGCAGAGTGGACCCTGTCTCTAAAACAAAAACAAAAATAAACCCAGGTGTTTTAAGGTAGTGGTACATTGATCCTCAAAGCAAGAAATGTTTACTTCTGTGTCCGGAATTGGTGGGTTCTTTGTCTCACTGACTTCAAGAATGAAGCCACGGACCCTCCCGGTGAGTGTTACAGTTCTGAAAGGTGGCGTGTCGGGAACTGGTTCCTTCTGAGGTTCAGATGCGTTCGGAGTTTCTTCCTTCTGGTGGGTTCGTGGTCTCGCTGGCTCAGGAGTGAAGCTGCAGACCTTCGCGGTGAGTGTTACAGCTCATAAAGGCAGTGTGGACCCAAAGAGTGGGCAGTAGCAAGATTTATTGCAAAGAGCGAAAGAACAAAGCTTCCACGGCGTGGGAGGGGACCCGAGGGGGGTTGTCACTGCTGGCTCAGGCAGCCTGCTTTTATTCTCTTGTCTCGCCCCACCCACATCCTGCTGATTGGTCCATTTTACAGAGAGTCAAGTGGTCTGTTTTGACAGGGTGCTGATTGGTGCGTTTACGATCCCTGAGCTAGACACAAAGGTTCTCCACATCCCCACTAGATTAGCTAGATACAGAGTGTGGACACAAAGGTTCTCCAAGTCCCCACCAGAGTAGCCAGATACAGAGTGTGGATTGGTGCATTCACAAACACTGAGCTAGACACAGGGTGCTGATTGGTGTGTTTACAAACCTTGAGCTAGATACAGAGTGCCCATCGGTGTATTTACAATCCCTTAGCTAGACATAAAGGTTCTCCAAGTCCCCACCAGACTCAGGAGCCCAGCTGGCTTCACCCAGTGGATCCAGCACTGGGGCAGCAGGTGGAGCTGCCTGCCAGTCCCGCGCTGTGCACCCGCACTCCTCAGCCCTTGGGTGGTCGATGGGACTGGGCGCTGTGGAGCAGGGGGCGGCGCTCCTTGGGGAGGCTCCGGCCGCACAGGAGCCCACGGGGGGTGGGGGGAGGGTCAGGCATGGAGGGCTGCAGGTCCCGAGCCCTGCCCCGCGGGGAGGCAGCTAAGGCCCAGCGAGAAATCGAGCACAGCAGCTGCTGGCCCAGGTGCTAAGGCCCTCACTGCCTGGGGCCGGCCAGCTGCTCTGAGTGGGGCCCCGCCGAGCCCACGCCCACCCGGAACTCACTCTGGCCCGCAAGCGCTGCGCGCAGCCCCGGTTCCTGCCCGCCCCTCTCCCTCCGCACCTCCCCGCAAGCTGAGGGAGCTGGCTCCGGCCTTGGCCAGCCCAGAAAGGGGCTCCTACAGTGCAGCGGCGGGTTGAAGGGCTCCTCAAGTGCTGCCAAAGTGGGAGCCCAGGCAGAGGCGGCAGGGAGAGCAAGCGAGGGCTGTGAGGGCTGCCAGCACACTGTCACCTCTCACTTCCATCTGAAAACCTCTTGGTGCTTTTCACCTTTTGCAGCCCGAGTGGGTGGGTCTCTTCTTTTCTCTGTGACAATAGCCCGACGGATGCCCTGGTCCAGATGCCCTCCCCTGGCCTGTCCTGCTGTGTCTTGGTGGGTGCTCTTGGAAGCTCCCCAGAAACTGGTCTCCCCAAGCCAGGAAGGGAGGGAGGACCCGGCACTGGGGCTGGGAGCTGGCATCCAGCGTCCTGAGGGTCAGGGCTGGAATTGGTGAGGGTCAGGTCTGGGTGACACTCATGGCCCTGATGGATTCTGTTGTCTTGTGCAGGGGCCAGGACTGGGCAGCAGAGAGGAGGAGACCCCTCCCGCCCTAGTCTGAGGCCTTAGTCAGGGGCTAAGGTCTGCTCTAGGCTGGATCCCCTGGCGCCCCAGGACTTCTCCCATCCCAGGTCTCTGCCATTGGCATGCACCCTTCTGGCCAGGGTGGACAATGTCGGTGGGGGCCTGAGTATGGCTTTGGCACCTGAAGGCTCTGGGTTCAAGTTCAGCAGCTGCCATTCCCATATTCTGTGTTTCACTCACTCACTCAGCAAACACCCCCTAGCTCCAGGTCCCACCCGATCCTGGTGTGGGTGACAGAGTGGGGTTAGGCTAATCCCCATTTTGAGAGAGCTCCTCTGAGGGGGAGACAGACACAGACACGGTGCTAGCCTCGGGTGGACTGTGCTCTAATGGACGCAGACTCGGGGCCGCACAGCCCAGAGAAGGCAGGGAAGGCTTCCTGGGGGAGTGAGTCCTCCAGGAAGCTAGAGGAATGTGCTAGAACCTACCACGAAGAAAGCAGGAAAGGCACTTCAGGGAGAGGGAAGAACTTGTACAATGCCCCAGAGGTGGGAGGCGGCCTTGTGACATTTCAAAAGAGCATAACTCCAGTCACAGAGCGGCCGACACTTTAAGGGCTGGTGGAGATTAAAGTCTCAGCAGGGGGAGAGGCGGGCTGCCGTGCTGGGACTCTGCCACCACTTGAAGAGTGGTTTGCCCCAGCCAAGAAGGTTCAGGCCTGGCCTCAGAGGTCCTCCTGGGCCTTCCTGTTCTTCTGCTTCTGGTGCCACTGTTGTATCTTGCTGGGGAGCGTCTCTGACCAGAACTGCATCCAGGCCTCCCTGAACTTCTGTCCGGCCCGTGGCACTGGGTTGATCTCCAGATATTGTTCCGCCTGGTTGAATTGGGGCCAAGGAGGCAGAGCCTTGCTATTGGGGTCCCTGGGTGGGAGGAATGAATGAGGACCAAGGCTTCCTGTGCTGTCCCCCAGAGGGGCCGACCTGAGCATCCCAGGCCCAAAGCGAGCTATGCCCTGTCACTCACTCACCCTGTCCGGGCAAAGTGGGTCCACTGGGCCATCATGGTGAGGCTTAGCTGCTTCTCCTCCTCTGTGGCCTCTGGAAAGGCTGGAAAGGTGAGAGGGACAGAACTGAACGAGAGTCAGGTGGGACCTGGAAGGGACCCAAGGATCCTCAGTGCTGACTGGAGACCCGTGTTCCTGCAAGCCCTGCCCAGGCCCCTTGGAGTCTGGCAGCCTAGGGATCACATGTCTGTCTGTCTGTCCTCACCCAGGCGGGAGCTCTCGTCCATGAGGAAGGGACCTCCGAACACAAAAGCACCCTCGGCCCCATGATCAGCCTTCACCCAGGCAGGTTTGATCTTCGCAAAAGAACTGGGTCGATGCTGGAACTCATAGAAAAAGACAGGGCTTCCAGAATCTACAGAGAAAGGATGGGATGGGAGTTAGGCACTCATGGCCTGATTCGATGCTGCCTTTGGCAGCACATGCTCATAATAACACCAATTTCCATGATGATGATGATGATGATGATAAAATGACTAGCTGCAAACATTTACTGAGCGCTTGCTAGGTGACAGGCACCATTCTGTGTGCTTTGTGTCATCATTTTAATTTAATTTAATATTTTTATTTTAATCTCTGAAATGGTCTTGCTGTCGACCAGGCTGGAGTGCAGTGGCATGATCACAGCTCACTGCAGCCTGAGACTCCCGCGCTCAAGTGATCTTCCCACTTCAGCTTCCCAAGTATCTGGGACTACAGGTGTGTACCACCATGCCCGGCTAATTTTCAAAAAATTTGTGTAGAGATTGGGGTCAATATGTTGCCCAGGCTGGTCTTGAACTCCTGGGCTCAAGCGATCCTCCCGCTTCTCCCAAAGTACTGGGATCACAAGATTGAGCCACCCACCGCGCCTGGCCAGTGTCATCATTTATTGAATCCCCATCACAATAGATTCTGTATTAATAGAATTAATAGATTAGATTCTATTATTATTTCCATTTTACAAAGGAGGAAACTGAGGCTCAGAGGGGGTAGGTATCTTGCCCAAGGTCACAAAGTTCTGGGTCTGGAACTGTTCTGGGTCTGCATCAGGGATTAGCTACTAGGCTTGAAGGAAGCAAGACTTTCCCCCCAGAAGTGCTGAAAGAGGATGAAATCACCCATTTGAGTGAATCCCTGAGAATTAGTGATAGGCCCTGCTGGGTGACCTTTGGTGAGTCATTGTACCTCTCTGAGTCTGAGGTTTTCTCCTCTGCATAGTTTCCTGCTGGAGATACCTCTCATTACTATGACACTGCATCCCAGAGAAAGATAGGTTTGGTGGGGGGCAGTGGGGTGTGGGGTGCAAGGCATTGAGGGAACCAGCACCCTATCATGCCATGTCACCTGTGATGACCCAGCTCCTGGGCCCAAGTGGGAGGGGTTGGGCAGGTGGCCAGGGACAGGCTTACCTCGAAGGTATCTTGAAAAACTGACGGTGGGAACATTGATGAATACGTCACCCATGAATTCCTGGAACGCCTGGCATTTGGCTTGTGCGTCCGAGTTGCTTCCTAGGTATTCATCTATGACGGTGGGCATCATCTCAGGGGGCACATCCTGGGGCAAGAGGCCAGGCTCAGCCCTGCTCAGGGTGCACAGATGTGGCAGACCATCCCAGGAAGCCCCAAACTCTCCAGCATAGCTTCCCTCAAATCCCAGGGCTGATGGTCCAGGGGACAGCCAGCTGCCTCTCTGCCTCCCTGGGAGTTTGGCATAAGCTCAGGTTTGGAGTCAGATCTTAGCTCTGCAACCACTGCTTGGCTGTGTGATCGCAGACAGGTGGCTAAACCTCTCTGAAAGTCAGTCTCTGCCTGGCAGCCTATGTGAAGTCCCCAGCAAAGGGTCTGGCCTGGAAGCAGGTGCTCGGTTGAAGTTAACTGGGAAGTAAGTGAGAGCAGAAATGATAGGGGCTCCCCTCAGCTCCAGAGGGCAGTGATGAGATTGCGTGAATGGGAAGGGTTCTGGGGCTTCCAAAGAAGGGAAATGGACAAAGATTGAACAGCCCCTGGTATTGAGATCCCAGGTAGACTCTTCAAATGCAACGTCTAGTCTCCTTACAACAGCCCAGGCGAGTGGGCAGTGTCATCCCCATGTGTAGATGAAGAGATGGGCTTAGAGGGGATAGGATAACTGGGCAAGTGCCCAGGGCTGGGATTTGGCCCCAGGTCTATCTAGCTCCACATCTGACAGCTGAGGCTCTAGGGTCAGACAAAACTGGCTTAAACTCTGCCTCTGCCCCTTCCCCAGCATGACACCTCAAGCCTCAGTTTCCTCATGTGTAAAATGGGGCTAGCGAGAATTCCTCTGTAAAGAGTTGCAGCGCCGGGCGCGGTGGCTCCACGCTCGCAATCCCAGCACTTTGGGAGGCCGAGGCGGGTGAATCACCTGAGGTCAGGAGTTTGAGACCAGCCTGGCCAACATGGTGAAACCCTGTCTCTACTAAAACACAAAAATTAGCCGGGCATGGTGGCAGGGGCCTGTAATCCCAGCTACTCGGGAGGCTGAGGCAGGAGAATCGCTTGAATGAGGGAGGTGGATGTTGCGGTGAGCCGAGATCGGGCCACTGCACTCCAGCCTTGGCGACAGAGCAAGACTCTGTCTCAAAAAAAAAAAAAAAAACAAAGAAAAGAAAAGAAAAGAAAACAGAGTTGCAGTGAGGATTGAAGGAGATGAAACCCTCTCCCGGCGCTCAGTGCACCATAGTCCCTGGCACGTAATATGTGCTCATTAACGGGCAGTTTCATGTTGACGATGATGGTGATGATGGTTTTCCTTTGAGAACCACACTGGCTCATATCTAAGGAGATTCCGGAGTGGAAGTAAAATTGATCAGTTAGACAAAGGGGCTTGGTGGTAGGTGGGTAGCTGTGGGTGTCGGAAGGTAGGGGCAGAGACTGTGCTGTTGGATGGGATACCCACTAGCTTCCTCCCTCCTGCCCTAGCTTCCTCCCTCCTGCCTCTTGTCTCACCAGACTGGTCAAGACGGGTGTTGAGATGGCCAGCATGTCCTCCCGGCTCATCTGCTCCATTGTATCCAGGAGACCCCAGCCCTGTGTGGACACCAAGGCCCTCTCAGTGGAGCCTGACCACCGGCTCACCCCGACTCCCAGCCCTGGGCAAGAGAGTGTTCACGGTCCTGAGGCCAGAAACTCATCATGGAGCACTTGGCCAAAATGGGGCCGAAAAGTCCACAGATCCAAAAAGATAAACCGCAAATTGGTGGGAGGTGGTTGGTGTGGATGGGGAGAGCAGCCCCAAATACAACAGGCAAGTGGTTAAAGGCAACTGTAGAGAATGAAAAATTTCTTCAACATTTTTTTTTTGAGACAGAGACTCACTCCGTTGCCCAGGCTGGAGTGCAGTGGCGCAATCTCGGCTCACCGCAACCTCCGCCTCCTGGGTTCAAGCTATTCTCCTGCCTCAGCCTCCCGAGTAGCTGGGACCGCAGACGTGCACCACCGTGCCTGGCTAATTTTTGTATTTTTAGTAGAGGTGGGGTTATGCCATGTTGGCCAGGCTGGTCTCACACTCCTGGCCTTGAGTGATCCGCCTGCCTTGGCCTCCCAAAGTGCTGGGATTAAAGGCATGAGCCGCCGGGCCCAGCCTGAGTCACCCAACTTCTAAGAAACATTCTCAGCAACAAGTCCTGGGCACAGCCTTCCACGCCAGGCAGATCTACCCAGGTCCTGGGGCACAGCCAGGTTGGGGTTCCCTTGGTTTCACTCATACAACTGTAAGTTGATGGTGTGGGGTAAAGGCTGCCTGCCAGAGTTGAGGGCATTGACCTGAAAACTTTTACAAGCTTTGTATTTTGTGAGACAGTGTCTCACTCTGTCACCCAGGCTGGAGTATAGTGGGACAGTCTCGGCTCACTGCAGCCTCTGCCTCCTGGGTTCAAGTGATTCTCGTGCCTCAGCCTCCTGAGTAGCTGGAATTACAGGCATGCACCACCACGCCCAGCTAATTTTTGTATTTTTAGTACAGATGGGGTTTCACCATGTTGGCTAGGCTGGTCTCGAACTCCTGACTTCAAGTGACCCACTCACCTCAGCCTCCCAAAGTGCTGGGATTATAGGCATGAGCCACCGCACCCGGCTTAAGCTTTGTCTTTGAATGTCAAGATTGCATGAGCCTCTCTCTCACATACCAAGGGACCAATATGAGGGGATTGATTCCAAAGGGCTAAGTCAGAGGACAAAAGCCATGGACATGAAGACATTCACTGCGCTATTAGCCTCAGTGGTAAAAACTAGAAGTTGCCAGGACCGGGTGCAGCCTCATGCCTGTAATCCCAGCATTTTGGGAGGCCAAGGCTGGTGGATCACCTGAGTTCAGGAGTTCCAGATCAGCCTGTCCAACATGGAGAAACCCCATCTCTACTAAAAAAAATACAAAAATTAGCCAGGCATGGTGGCAGATGCCTGTAATCCCAGCTACTCAGGAGGCTGAGGCAGGAGAATCGCTTGAACCTGGGAGGCAGAGGTTGCAGTGCGGTGAGCTAAGATCGCGCCATTGCACTCCACCCTGGGCAACAAGAGCAAAACTCCATCTCAAAAACAAAACAAACAAACAAACAAAAAAACTAGAAGATGCCCAAATGCCAAGATGAAAGAACAATGTAACGAGACGCTCCATTTGTGGAAGATTTGCAGCCATTAAAAGTGGTTGTTGGCTGGGTGCTGTGGCTCATGTCTGTAATCCCAGCACTGTGGGAGGTCGAGGCAAGAGGATTGCTTGAGGCCAGGTGCTCTAGACCAGCTTGGGCAACAGAGGGAGACCTGACTATACACGGAAGAAAAAAAAAGTTAGCAGAGTATGGTGGCACAGACCTGAGGCCCGAGCTACTCAGGAAGCTGGGAGGATTGCTCGGGCCTGAGAGGTTGAGGCAGTAGAGAGTCATGATGGCGCTGCTGCACTGCAGCCTGGATGATGGATCGAGGCTCTGTCTCAAAAAACAAACAAACACACAAACAACAACAACAACAAAAATGGATTGCTTTGTCTTAGGGTGTGCAATGGGCCAAGACGAAAAAAAAAAAAAAAGAAAAGTGAAGAAAATGATTGCTGTGAAGATGGGTAGAAGAATAAGAATGACAGAAACAAGATGCTCGGGATGAAAGCACAGTGCTGACACTCTTGTGGGAAGTTCTATGCACCTGGAAAGGAATGGAAGGGACTTGGCTCATGAAGTCCCCGGTGGCTTGATATCTAAAACCTGAGAGTTTTAGTCAATTGCTCTGGCACAGAGTCACACTAACCAGTCTCATAGAGCCTGATGTATAAACCAGACGCCAAGGCAGGAATATGCTGCCCAGATCAGCAGTGCCCAGAAGGCCAGTTTGTGCAAAAACCTTGTTCCCCAAAAGAAAACATTTGCTTTATTGAAGTGGCCCACGCCTGTAATCCCAACACTTCGGAAGGCCAAAGCAGATGGATTACTTGAGGTCAGGAGCTTGAGACCAGCCTGGCCAACGTGGTGAAAGCTGGGTGTGGTGGCATGTGCCTGTAATCCCAGCTGCTTGGGAGGCTGAGGCAGGAGAAACTCTTGAACCCAGGAGGTGGAGGTTGAAGTGAGCTGAGATCGCACCACTGCACTCCAGCCTGGGTGACAGAGCGAGACTCTGTCTCAAAAACAAACAAACAAACAAACAAAAACAGAAAAAAAAAAGCAAAACAACAACACAACAAAACAAAGCTGGGTGACCTTGGGCAAGTCCCTCAAACCTTTCTGGGCCTCTGCTTTCTCACTTATCAAATGGGAGTAACGGGAGTGCTCCGTTCACAAGGCTGTAGTGTTGATGCTGGGGTGGCAGGTACTGGCTGGGGCAGGGCCTTGAAGGGCACAGGGGTGGGAGCAACTCACCCTGGGGATGAGCCAGCTGAACTCATGGTTGTTGACACCCATGAGGAAGGGCACAGAGTGGAAGGGCTTCTCCTTCAGGAGTTCCTTGGGGCTTTTGGGGAAGACAGTGCCATCAACGGTGAGAGGATAGATAGTATTTTTCTGCAGGAGAAAGCAATGCAGGAGGCTCCCAAGTTAGGGCCAAGCCTCAAAGGCTAGGACCCCAGCAGCCACTGAGCTGCAGGCCTGAGTGTCTGAGCCTGGAGGGAAAGTGAAGGGATGAAGATCACCAGGGTTAAGGGGGTCGGGGGAACCAGGAGATCAGGGCAACAGATGCGTCCAGTTTCTTTCCTAGAAGACAGGCCTGCTGTGGGGATGGAGATGGCCCTCCATTTCTGTCTCCAAGCCCTCAGCCCCTTCCCCTCATGAGCTGCTGTCCCCAGCCCCACCTGGGGGTAGACTGCCCCTCTGCTCCTGCAGGGGATGGATAGAACCCCCTCTGTGCCATTGCCCGGCACCATCCCCAAAAGGGTGGCCATACCAGCTTCTTGCTAAGGACCAGCTCTTCTCCTTCTTTCTGCTGAAGGCACTGCACCATCTCAGCCGGGGAGCTGGAGCTGCAGGCCAAGGTGTTTGCGATTTTCTGGGGACAAATGAAAGAGTCATGCCTCCCTCTCAGCCACTCAGCCCCACCTTGCAGCCTTCTGCCTCCCACAGAGAGGGTGCATCTGTAGGACAGCTGGATGTGATGTCACAGATCGGCCTCGAGACTGGTCACAGACTTGTCACCACTCCTGAGAAGCCTGCCCTGCCCGTCAGCTTGGGTGGTCCCAAGGGCCCCCTTGCGTCCCCTATTATACCATAATTTTATTATCTGGGGGAATGGGGGCACTGAGTCCTCATTGCCCTCTAAGAATAGTGTCATTATCTTTTATTATTATTTTTTTGAGACAGACTCTCGCTCTGTCGCCCAGGCTGGAGTGCAGTGGCATGATCTTGGCTCACCGCAAGCTCTGCGTCCCGGGTTCACACCATTCTTCTGCCTCAGCCTCCTGAGTAGCTGGGACTACAGGCACCTGCCACCATGCCCGGCTAATTTTTTGTATTTTTAGTAGAGATGGGGTTTCACCATGTTAGCCAGGATCACCTTGATCTCCTGACTTTGTGATCCGCCAACCTCAGCCTTGAGCTGTGTTTTTCTTTGGACACAGGAGAGACAGGGAATGACCTCAAGTCTGTGGTTGAGAAAATCTCTCCTGGCCATGGGGAGAGGATGGGATGGGGAGGTTGAGAGGAGGATGCTGTTGTCCATACAAGAGTCAACATGCCCACGCAGAGGTTCCAGAATCATCTTGTACACAGTGGTTAAAATGCCCAGCCCACACTGCCTTGGCCACCATCTGGGGCCAGGTGAGGGAATTGACCCAGTCTTCCAAATCCTGCTCACATTTGCCCCCTCTCTCCCCGATGGCTCTATCCCTATTCCATCCTGTCTCTTTCTCCTGGACTCTGCCCTGGTCATTTCACTGGTGTCTTGATCTTCAGGACGGCTCCCTCCAACCCACCTTCTACTCCAGGTAGCTCAACCTTGTCATTGCCCAACTTCTTCCTGCCCTCTGGAGAAAGTCCAGATTCCCAGGCATGGCCCCCACTTCTCCAGCACCTTCACTTCCTGCCCTGTTCCCTAACCTGCGAGCTTGCTCCTGCAGGACCTGTCACTCTCTCCCACACCTGCAGCCTTTGCAGATGCAGTTCCCACTGTGGCTTCCCCTGGATTTTCTTCACAAGGCCTTACAATGAGGATCTAGGGTGGGGATCTGGAGCCTGAATGGAGAGCTCGCAGGCAGCAGGTGGCTGGCAATGGAGACCCCCTCCACCATGCTGCCTGGGGCAGAGAGGGGTGCTCCTGAAGACCCCACCCTGGAGAAAGGGCCAACAATGATATGCTTCAGGGTGGCTTCCTTCAGGAAGCCCTCCCTGAGTGCCAATATGCTGGAATGCAGCAGTTGTTTCCTCTGATGCTCCTTCGTCTTATTGGGCTTCTCTTTGCTAACAGGGAGCTCCCTGCCAGCAAACCCCGCTACTCTGAGACCCCAGGGCCAGCACAGAGTGGGGTATGGGAGGCACACATAGAGTAAGAGAGGGAAGGAAATACAGACCTGAGCTAGGGGCCAAGGGTGAGAGTCGATGATCCCTGGGGTGGTGATGACCCCACTCTGTGTGATGGCTCTGTGGAACAGCCCTGCAGCCACTGGGGACAGGACCTGGGTGCATTGGAGAGAGGAGGTGGCTGTCAGAGGAGGGCAGAGGAGCTGGGAGTTCTGAGACCACCGGAGCCCTCCTGGCCACCATCACTAGCCCCCTATAGTGACTTACCAGGCCAGAGATGATGCTCCCACCGGCAGATCCACCAAAGACAGTGACACAGTTGAGGTCACCCCCGAAGGGGGCGATGTTTTCTTGCACCCAGCGCAAAGCAGCTACCACATCTAGGAAGCCCTGGTTGCCAGGTGCATGCTCATCTCCAGTGCTGGGGGCAGTGTTGGGGCAACGGTTAGTTCAGCCTGGCTCCTCGCCAGCCTCTGCAGGTTTGCTTTGAATTAGCCACCAGGATGCCAGACCCTTCTCTGCTCCCCAGGTCTGGCCTGTCTGGGAGCCGTGGTTGGCATCTCCACAGCCTGTTGCTCTTTGTCCCATATCCTGCTGGAACCTGGGCTTCAGCCCAGGAATCAATGCCCTCTGCCCAAGGGACCAAGTTCACTGTATAATTCTGGCTTTGGCTGGACCCCTCTCCCAGGGTGGAGGCTTGGGGGGTGCCCTTCTCTGCCTCAGACATCATGGGTAAGGGGCCCTCCCTTCAGGTTCCGGACCCCAACCTAGATCCCCAGTTGCTCTGGTGAGCTGGCCTCTCCCCGGTGCAGGCAGTGCTCTGGCCATGCCTGTCGTCTCACCTGAAGAAGCCAAGGACCCCAAGGCGGTACTGGACTGTAACCACGACCACATCCCCATAGGCAGCCAGAGCTGATCCATCGTAGGAGGTGGCAGCGCCAGTTATCAGAGCGCCTCCATGGACCCATACCATGACCTGCAGAGGTGGCCATGGGGCACTGACCCCCAAGCTCCTGAGACCTTAGCTGCCCACCTGCCAGCCCAGGCAGTCTCAGGACCGCTAGGGTGCTTTGGAAACAGGGACGGGGAGGGGACAGGTAGGCATAGTGGAGCTGGATCAGGTGGACAGGGCCCTCTGGGGTGCCTACCGGCCTACCGGACCCTGCGGGGACCTCAGCTGGGCTATAGACGTTGAGGACCAGGCAGTCCTCTGAAACGGAGAAGATCTGCTGTTTTCCGTTGAGGACAAATCTGCTGCTGTTCATGCTCTCCACGTCTTGTAGGCACCTGTGGCCAAGGGTGGGCCTGAGGTCCAGCTGTTCAGCCCCACAAGCCCCAGCAGCAGGATTCTCCTGCAACCTGCCTGTTTGCCCGCCTCCACCAGCACTACTCACATTGGGGGCGCAGTGCTGGCATCCCGCACACCCTCCCAGGGCTGTGCTGGGTGTGGGGCTGAGAACCGGTCAGGGCCCAGTGGCGGCTGGGCAAATGGAATGCCCAGAAAGACATTCACAAGGCGGTCTGTGCCCTTCACGCCCACCTGCCGGCCTCGCACACGACCCAGGGTGGTGTCTACTTCAGGCTGAGCAACTTCGGGCCCTGAGGGAAGGACAGAAAGGCCACGGGGTGAGTTTGCAGCCCCCATGAGGGGAAGGAGTGAAAGACAAACCCTCAGGCTGTTCTCAGTACTTACCACACAGCATCTTGGTAACCTTCCCAGCAAGCCGGTGAGCCTGGTCTTAGGTTGACGCCCAACTTCCTCCTCCCTGCCTGCCTGAGAGTCACTACCACTCCACTCCAGGCCAGACCGGGCCTGCCACTAGGGCCTTGTGCCTTGGGGCCAGCCACTTGCCCATTTCTTTGTTTTTATTTTTTGTGTTTGAGACAGGGTCTAGCTCTGTTGACCAAGCTGGAGTGCAGTGGCACGATCTTGGCTCACTGCAACCTCTGACTCCCGAGTTCAAGCGACTCCAGGGCCTCAGCCTCCCAAGTAGCTGGGATTACAGGTGTGCACCACAACGCCTGGCTAATTTTTGTATTTTTAGTAGAGACGGGGTTTCATCATGTTGGCCAGGCTGGTCTCGAACTCCTGACCTCAAGTAATCCATCCACCTGGGGCTCCCAAAGTGCTGGCATTACAGGCATGAGCCATCATGCCCAGCCCTGAATTATTTTTTAAAAAGTAGAGATGGGGTCTCATTATGTTGCCCAGGCTGGTCTCAAACCCCTGGGCTCAAGCAATCCTTTCACCTCAGCCTCCCCAAGTGCTGGGACGACAGGTGTGAGCCATCATGCCCAGCTGGCACCATGTTTCTTGTACGGCCTGCAGAACTGTGGCCTAACTAAACTTCTTTTCTTTGTGAATTACCCAGCTTCCTGTATTCTTTTACAACAACACAAACAGACTAAGACTGGAGGACTGCCTCTCCCAGGCTAGACAATTCCTAGAGATAGGAGGCAGCTCTCTGGGGAGGTGGAATTGGCAGGCATCTCTCTAGGGAGCAAAGGCAAACCAGTCCAGAGCCATACCCAACCACCTCCTTTATACAGCTCTCAGCTCCTGGCTGCCATCCACCAGCCATAATCACCACAGAGCCGGGTACCAGGAAGCTGGCTGGGGACAGCCCCTTTCCCCAGAGCCTGCTGCCAATCGTAAACCTCTTTAGCCTGCCTTGCCTATTCCTTCCCGTGGCAACCGTGTCAAAGGGGCTTGCCCACATTTTCCCCCTGCTCCCTCTGCCTCCTGGCTGATGCCACCTGGTGCTTCCCTCTGTGGCCCTATGTGGCATGGCCTGCTTCCTGTTCACAGGGAACTACGAGCAAACTCCTTCCCTCATGATAGTCATTTGCATATCTGCTTGTCTTACTATACTTCATTAAAACAAATCTCAGGCCCCCTTAAGACATAAAGACAGGCCAGGTGCGGTGGCTCACGCCTGTAATCCCAGCACTTTGGGAGGCCGAGGCAGGTGGGTCACCTGAGGTCAGGAGTTTGAGACCAGCCTGGCCCACATGGTGAAACCCCATCTCTCCTAAAAATACAAAAATTAGCCGGCCATGGTGGCAGGTGCCTGTAATCCCAGCTACTCAGGAGGCTGAGGCAGGAGAATCGCTTGAATCCAGGAGGCGGAGGTTGCAGTGAGCCGAGATCGCGCCATTGCACTCCAGCCTGGGTAACAAGAGCAAAACTCTGTCTCAAACAACAACAACAAAAACAACGAAACAAATACAGCAAGAGCAGAGCGCCTGCCCAGAGAGAATGCACAACCCCTGGTCTGCCTCCAAACAGGACTGTTTCCTGAGCGGTCGGCCCACTGCTCCCTGTCCCTGTCTCACTCTTGACTCCTCCACACCAAGTACCTCTGCAGGCCCAGCAGGTGTGTCTTACCAGTGGCTGTGGCAGGGCATGCCAGGAGCAGACAGACCACCCCGACCAGGACCCCGGACTCCACTCTCACTGCTCTCTCCATTCTCCTTACAACTGGTTCGACAGAAGCTTCAGAAGGTGGAATAAGATCCCTGCCCTTCAGCACCACCGATCTCTAAAGGGCTGTGATATAGAACCTCCAAGGACAGCGCCACCTAGCTGGTGGCCAGCCCCATGCTCAGGCTGAGCCAGAGGCAGGGCTAGATGAGTGCCCTGCAGAGGCCTGGTTGATATGACAGCCCTCCCCGTCCCACTGTTTTCAAATTCCAGCTCTCCTGACTTGGTGATCTCCATGAAATCCTGTGCGTTCATCCCAAGGTGACCACATCACTGACCCTAGGAAGTGGTGGCCAGTGACCCTGGGGTGCCACTCCGAGTGGGCAACCCAGCCTGAGGTGAGGGCTTGATATGGTTTGGATGTTTTGTCCCCTCCAAATCTCATGTTAAAATGTGAAAGAAAATAAAACAGTGATGATAATAGGACCCACCTCATAGCATTGAAGTGAGGGTACATGTTTGCATGTGTGTGTGAGTGTGTGTGTGAAAACATGAGGCTTGGGACTGGGTGTGGTGGCTCATACCTGTAATCCCAGTGCTTTAGGAGGATGGGGCAGGAAGATCGCTTGAGCCCAGGAGTTTGAGACCAGCCTGGGCAACACAGGGAGACACGTCTCTAGAAAAAATAAAAAAAATTAGCCAGGTGTGATGGTGCATGCCTGTGGTCCCAGCTACTTGGGAGGCTGAGGTGAGAGGATCACTTGAGCCCAGGTTGTCGAGACTGCAGTGAGCTGTGATAATGCCACTGCACTCTAGGCTAGGCTATAGAGCAAGACAAAGAAAGAGAGAAAGAGAGAGAGAGAAGAAAGAAAGGAGAGAGAGAAAGAAGGAGAGAGAGAAAGGAGAGAGAGAAAGAAAAAGAGACAGAAAAAGAGAAAGAAACAAAAAGAGAAAAAAGAAAAATAGAGAGAGAAAGAAAGAGAGAGAGGGAGGGAGGGAGGGAGGGGAGGGGAGAGGAGGGGAGGGGCTTGGAACCAGAACTCATGGAAGCCTGAGGAGAGGAGAGTCTGGGAACCAGAACTGATGGAAGCCTGCTCTTGACCGGGGCGGGGATCTGCAGGGCATCTGTCTCTCTGCTGGCTTAGGAGGCTCCCACCCCCAGGGAGGGCAGGACTCACTTCTGGGCCTCAGTGTCAGGAACATGGCTGGCTGGGAGTAGGCGGTGGGAGGATGGATAGATATTTGCTGGCCCAGTGAAAGACAGAGTGAGGGTTGTGCCTAAACACGATGCCAGATCCTCTTCCGGGGCTCCAGCTGGCACCCAGAGCTGAAGAGACAGGCTTTAGGATGAAACTTCCCTTCTGCCAAAAATAACTAGTGCCAGCTGGGCATTGTGGCACAAGTCTGTAGTCCCAGCTACTCAGGCGGCTGAGGCAGGAGGATTGCTTCAGCCCAGGAGCTTGAGGCCAGCTTGGGCAACATAGCAAGACTCTCTCTCTAAAAAAAAATTCATAAAAAACCATTGCAGCTTCCTGAATCTTCCCCGGCAGCCTGGGGTGGGGTCTCCTTTTCAGAGCTGCCTCCAGACTTTGTCCTTCCCTATTCCACCTTCCTCTTCTTGTTGCCATCACAGCCCTGCCACCCCCCAGCCACACCCCCTTGATCATTTGCTGAAGATTTTAGCACCTGGCTCTGGCATGCTTTCCACCTTCAACACTCACATCAAGGCACCTGGATCTCTTCTCCGCCCACAATCTTACCTTCCATCTTCGGGTATAGATGCTGCCAGGAGAGCTCTCCATCTGCTCCCAAGGCCACGTTTCCCAACTCCCTGCAGCTAGGTCTGCCTTCCCTCCTAGCATTGTGGATGGGCCTACCAGGGCCAGGACTAGGGTGAGACAGGCCAGCAAGGCGCCCAGGGCATAAAAGTTAAAGAGTCACTCACCCCCGGGGTCATACCAGTAGAGGGTCGGCACCTGAGAATGAATGCCTTCTAAATTTTACACTTGCTTGTCTTGCTCTAGTCCCAGCTCTGGGACCTACCCATGGACACTAGACCCTGGTCCCCTCCCACGTCCCCAGGGCTGTCTCTTTGGTAGCAGCATCCCTCCCATCAGCTGCAAACACAGCTTCTGTGTAAATGCCACCATCAAAGCCTGCCTTGACCCACTTTGCCCTCTAGCTATTGCTCCATTCTTCTGTTTTTCCCCTTCCTTCCTTCCTTCCTCTTTCTTTCTCTTTCTTTCTTTCTCTCTTTCTTTTTCTTTCTTTTCTTTCTTTCTTTCTTTTTATTTCCTCTCTTTTCTTTGTCTCTCTTTCTTTTCTTTCTCTTTCTTCTTTCTTTCTTTCTTGCTTTCTTTCCCTCCCCCCCACTTCCTTCCTTCCTTCCTCTCTTTCTTTCTTCCTCTTCTTTTTTGTTTTTTTGGAGACAGGGTCTCACTCTGTCACCCAGGGTAGAGTATAGTGGCATGATCTTGGCTCACTGCAGCCTCAATCTCCTGGGTTTAAGTGATCCTCCCACCTTGGCCTCCCAAGTAGCTGCGACTACAGGTGCATGTGTGCCGTCATGCCTGGTTATTTTTTTACTTTTTGTATGTTTTTTGTAGAGATGGGATCTCCCTATGTTGACCAGGCTGGTCTCGAACTCCTGGGCTCAAGAAATCCTCCTCCCTCCACCTCCCAAAGTGCCAGGATTACAGGCGTGAGCCACCATGCCTGGCCCTTCTGTTCTTATTTCTAGGAAAGCTAGTCATCCACCTTTGCTGTCTCCAGTTTCTCTCCTTCCAGTCTCCACCAGAAGTTGCTCTCGACCTCCACCCAACAGCATGGCCTGTTGTTGATTCAATGTCTCCCATCCAACTCACTGTGGCCCCAGCCATCCTCCCAGCCTCCTGCCTTGGTAGATGCTAACTCTGCCCTTAATTCTCATGTCCTAATTAATACCTGGGTTGTGGGTGCTAAGAGGTCCCCAGCTCCTCCCAGCTCAGAGTCCAGTGACAAAGCTCCTTTACATTAACAGGTCAACTTCTTCCAAATCCCTGGGCTGCTGTCCATGACTACTGGGGGGAACATGCCCATGGATTCCACCATTTACTGTGCTATGGTTCAGAGGTCTTGGCATCGATGATGACTGAGGGAATCATAAAAATGTGAAATGAAGGGCAGGCATGGTGGCTCACACCTGTAATCCCAGCACTTTGGGAGGCTGAGGCAGAAGGATCACTTGAGCTCAGGAGTTCGAGACCAGCCTGGGTAACATAGTGAGACCCTATCTCTACAGATTTTTTTTTTTTTTTAATTCGCTAGGCTGGTGTTGCACGCCTTTAGTTGCAGCTACTTAGGAGGCTGAGGTGGGAGGATTGCCTGAGCCCAGGAAGTCAAGGCTGCAGTGAGCTATGATCGTGCCACTGCACTGCAGCCTGGGTAATAAAGGGAGACTCTGTCTCAAGAAAAAGAAGTGAAAGGAAAAGAAGAGTCATCTCGGGAGCACATTTCTCTGTGTGTGAGGAAATGTTACATATATAGTAAATATAGAGAGATAGAGACACAGAGAGAGAGATAGTCAAAAGCAGAGGCTAAAAGTCCAAGGAACCAATTGCAATGAGGTGCCACTAAACATGCATTTAAAAAAATCAGGGTCAGGTGTGATGGCTCACACCTGTAATCCTAGCAATTTGGGAGGCTCAGACAAGAGGATAGCTTGAGCCCAGGATTTTGAGATTAGCCTGGGCAACATAATGAGATCCCATCTCTACAGTTTTTTTTCTTTTCTTTTTTTTTTTTTTTTTTTTTGAGTCAGAGTCTCGCTCTGTTGCCAGGCTGGAGTGCAGTTGTGCAATCTCAGCTCACTGCAACCTCCACCTCGTGGGTTCAAGCAATTCTCCTGCCTCAGCCTCCAGAGTAGCTGGGACTACAGGTGCACACCACCACGCCCAGCTAATTTTTGTATTTTTAGTAGAGACAGGGTTTCACCATGTTGGCCAGGATGGTCTTGATCTCTTGACCTCGTGATCTGCCTGCCTCAGCCTCCCAAAGTGCTGGGATTACAGGCATGAACCACCACGCCTGGCTACAGAATTTTTAAAAATGCCTGTTTTGCTAGCTACTCAGGAGGCTGAAGTGGGAGGATTCCTTGAGCCCGGGAGTTCAAGTTTACAGCGAGCTATGATCATGCCACTGCACCCTAGCCTTGCTGACAGAGAGACCCTGACTCTATAAAAACGAAAACAAAAACCTGAAAAAATCAGATTTAAGGCCCATAAGACCAAGTTTTAGTGAAGATAGAAAGCATCTGGAACCCTCACAGATGGCTGGTAGGGTTGCAAAAATCATATAGTCATTTTGGAAAACAGTTTGGCATTTTATTTTTTTTAAAAAATCAGCCTAGGTGACAGAGCAAGACTCCGTCACACACACACACAAAATCTATGTATTTGTCGTGTAGTGTAGATATTTATTTATTTATGTATTTTGAGAGTCTTGCTCTGTCGCCCAGGTTGGAGTGCAGTGGTGCAATCTCAGCTCATTGCAACCTGTGCCTCCTAGGTTCAAGCAATTCCTGTGCCTCAGCCTCTGAAGAAGCTGGGATTACAGGCATGCGCCACCATGCCCGGCTAATCTTTGTATTTTTAGTAGAGACGGGGTTTTACCATGTTGGCCAGGCTGGTCTCAAACTCCTGACTTCAGGTGATCCATCTGCCTCGGCCTCCCAAAGTGCTAGGATTACAGGCGTGAGCCACTGCGCCCAGCCTAGTGTAGATCTTTAAATAGGGGGCGTTTTCTTTAAAAGTGAAACACACCCTTGCCATATGACCCAGAATGGCATTATATGGTGAGTGTCCAATCTCAGCTATCTACCCCAAAGAAATGAAAGGTTTGTCTGAAAATGTTCACAGCAGCTTTATAAAAATACCCCAAAAATGGAAGTCACTCAAATGTGCACCCACTGATTGTAGGGAAAAGAAAGAGAGATCAGACTGTTACTGTGTCTGTGTAGAAAGGGAAGATATAAGAAATTTCATTTTGACCTGTACCCTGAACAATTGCTTTGCCCTGAGATGCTGTTAATCTGTAACTTTGCCCCAGCCAATTTGCCCCAACCTCTTTGCCCCAACCTTGAGCTCACAAAAACATGTGTTGTATGGAATCAAGGTTTAAGGGATCTAGGGCTGTGCAGGACGTGCCTTGTTAACAAAATGTTTACAAGCAGTATGCTTGGTAAAAGTCATCACCATTCTCTAGTCTCAATAAACCAGGGGCACAACGCACTGCGAAAAGCTGCTGGGACCTCTGCCTTGGAAAGCCGGGTATTGTCCAAGGTTTCTCCCCGCCTGTGATAGTCTGAAATATGGCCTCTTGGGATGAGAAAGTCCTGACCGTCCCCCAGCCCGACACCCATAAGGGGTCTGTGCTGAGGAGGATTAGTAAAAGAGGAAGGCCTCTTGCAGTTGAGATAAGAGGAAGGCCTCTGTCTCCTGCCTGCCCCTGGGAACGGAATGTCTCGGTATAAAACCCGATTGTACATTTGCTCAATTCTGAGATAGGAAAAAAAACGCCCTGTGGCGGGAGGCAAGACATGTTGGCAGCAATGCTGCTTTGTTATGTTTTACTCCACTGAGATGTTTGGGCAGAGAGAAACATAAATCTGGCCTACGTGCACATCCAGGCATACTACCTCCCCTCGAACTTAATTATGACACAGATTCTTTTGCTCACATGTTTTCTTGCTGACCTTCTCCCCACTATCACCCTGCTCTTCTGCCGCATTCCTCTTGCTGAGATGGTGAAAATAATAATCAATAAAAAGTGAGGGAACTCAGAGACCGGTGCCGGTGCAGGTCCTCCATATGCTGAGCGCCAGTCTCCTGGGCCCACTTTTCTTTCTCTATACTTTGTCTCTGTGTCTTATTTCTTTTCTCAGTCTCTCATCCCACCTGATGAAATATACCCACAGGTGTGGAGGGGCAGGCCACCCCTACACTGATGAATTAATAAAGTTGCGTATATTGGCGAGGCACACCGGCTCACTTCTATAATCCCGGCACTTTGGGAGGCCGAGGCGGGAGGATTGTTTAAGCCCAGGAGTTCAAGACCAGCCTGAGCAACATAGCAAGATCCTGTCTCTAAAGAAAAAGAAAGGGAGTATATTTATACATGGAATACCACTCCACGATAAAAGAAAAGAACTACTGGTTGAATTTCAAAAACACAATTGACAGAAGCCAATCGCAAGTTATTTCATTTATATAATTAGTACTATCATATTAATTTATAATTTGTATTATTTCATTCATATTCTAGAAAATGCAAACTATAGCAACAGAAAGCAACTCGATGGTTGCTTAGGAGCATGGATCAGGACGATTGACTGCAAAAGGGCTTGAGGGAATTTTGGAGTGATAGAAATATTGTAAAACTCCACGTGGTGGTGTTTGCATGTCTTATACATTTACTCAACGTGATCAAACTGCACACTGAAAATGGGTGAGTTTAGGCCAAGCACAGTGGTTCACATCTGCCTGTAATCCTACCAATTTGGGAGGCCTAGATGGAAAGATCACTTGATCCTAGGAGTTGGAGACCAGCTGGGTAACCTAGTGAGACTTCGCCTCTACCAAAAATAAAAAATAAAAAAATTTAAGTTCTCCAGCCATGGTGGCATGTGCCTGTGGTCCTGGCTACTTGGGAGGCTGAGGTGGGGGATGGCTTGAGCCCAGGAGGTGGACGCTGCAGTGAGCTGTGATTGTGCCACTGCATTCCAGCCTAGGTGACAGAACGAGACCTTGCCTCAGAAAAAAAAAAAAAAAAAGGGTGGGGGGAGGTAAATTTAATTGTAAGTTATTTCACTATAAAGCTGTTAAAAAATAACTATTAAGTCTAAACAGTAATCCTGGGAATGTATATTGGGAAACTATATTGTACCTCTGCAGAACTGAAAAACATACAGAGACAGGCATGCAGCCGGTGTTCAATAAATGCTTTCAGAATGTAGTGGAAACATTATGCACCAGTGTTTATTGAAAGGAAAGTCTCCCTGCTCTCTCAAGTTCAAGTCAGCCCAGGTTTAACATTATCCTTGTCTGCCACCTGGTGGCCCAAATGGGCAAAGTGGGTGTCCTGGTCTTTCGCTCCAAACTTCAAAAAGCTGTAGTTGGGCTTAAAGGCCGTGGATGGAAAGAAGGGAGACTTTCGCCCTGGAAATCCGGTGCCCCGAGAGGCAAGTTGGTCAGAGGTAGGGGTATAAGGGGATTATTAGGGTCTATGGGACTAGAATACAGCCTCTTAATGACAGAGGGAATATACTTTGGTGAAACCAAGAGGCCGATTGAACACAATTGGCCACCTTTGCACACTGAGATAAAATATGAGGAGGATTTTTGCGAAGCCAGGAAGGAGAAAAGTTTAGGGACAACAATGAGGTAAGTAGGAAAATAATCATATGGACACACATGGTGAGTTCGGGGATGCTCAGGGGGCTGAAAGGTTGGCAAGGGAATTCTGAAAGGCCAGAGAACATCTCCCTGGGTGGAGAGGCTCCTGGGAGCCAGGGAACAGGAATCTCTTTTCTTAGATATGCCTGGACCTTTGGACCCTCAATCCCACTTCCGGGGCACACCCCACAGGTAAACATCTTCGCGAGTGTGCTACGATCCTGTGAGTAGGGGCCTTACAGTGTCTGTAGAACCACTGAGAAGAAGAGCAACCTTCAGGAGACGGCCACTGAGGAATCGGCTTGGCTTTCCTGGCAACTGTACAGGAGGCCCAGGCTCAGGGGCCTGTGGACAAGCCCAGTCTTGCTTCTTACAAAAATGGGTTGAGTCACCTCTGCAGGACACAGATAGGCGAGGAGGTGGCTTGTTTTTGTTTGTTTGTTTTTGTTTTTGTTTTTAGATTGAGTCTTGCTCTGTCACCCAGGCTGGAGTATAGTGGCACAATCTCAGCTTACTATGATCTCCGCCTCCAGGGTTCAAGCAATTCTCCTGGCTCAGCCTCCCAAGTAGCTGGGATTACAGGGATGTGCCACCACGCTTGGCTAATTTTTGTGTTTAGTAAAGACAGGGTTTCACCTTGTTGGCCAGGCTGGTCTCGAAATCCTGACCTCAGGTGATCCACCTGGCTTGGCCTCCCAAAGTGCTAGGATTACAGGCATGAACCACCGCACCTGGCCTGTAAAGGTGGCTTGTTTTAAATGTCAATGATAGACGACATTTAGTGGGACAAAAGGGGAGTATAGGAACTTTTACATTTTCAGTAGTTGGTGACCTTGGTGGCTGAAATCTGGGAGCTCTAAGTGCTATGGTTTAAATGTTTGTATTGCCTCAAAAATTTGTATGGTGAAACCTAATCCCCAATGTGATGGTGTCAAGAGGTGGGGACTTCAGGAGGTGAAGGGGATTAGTGTCCTTACAAAAGAGGCCAGATGGAGCTTGTTTTCCCTTTCCTCCAGGGGAGCACACAATGAGAGGCTGCCATCTATTAACCAGAGAACAAGTCCTTGCCAGACAGCAAATCTGCTGACACCTTGATCCTGGACTTCTAAGCCTCTATAACTGTAAGCAATACATTTCTGTCACATGAAGGCACCCAGTTTATAACATCAATCTGTAAAATTTTTTTTTAAGTTTTATATCAGTATAGGAAACTTTTTTTTTTGAGACAGGGTCTTGCTGTATTGCCCAGGCTGGAGTGTAGTGGCACAATCACGACTCACTGCAGCTCTGACCTCCCAGGCTCAAGTGATCTGCCCGCCTCAGCCTACTGAGTAACTGAGACTACAGGTGCGTGCCACCACATCCAGCCAATTTTTGAATTTTTTTTTTGTAGAGATGGCGTTTCTCCAAGCTGCCTAGGCTAGCGTCAAAGTCCTGGGCTCAAGTTCAGGAGGCCCACCTCGGCATCCAAAAGTGCGGGGATTATGGGCATGAGCCACCGTGCCTGGCCGAAACCGGTAGTATTTATTTATTTTTTTTTTTGAGACAGACCCTCGCTCTGTCACCCAGACTGGAGTGCAGTAGTGCGATCTTGGCTCACTGCAACCTCCGCTTCCTGAGTTCAAGTGATTCTTGTGTCTCAGCCTCCTGAATATGTAGGATTATAGGTGTGCACCACCAAGCCTAGCTAATTTTTGTATTTTTAGTAGAGACAGGGGTTCACCGTGTTGGCTAGGCTGGTCTCAAACTCTGGGCCAGCTACTCAGCTACTCAGGAGGCTAAGGCAGAAGGAATTCGACGCTGCATGAGCTATGATCCCGCCTTTGCACTCTAGTCTAGGCAACAAAGCAAGACCCAGTCTCCAGAAAAAACATAGTGTGACTGCTGTGGGGATCAGGGAGGGAGGAAGTGATGGAAAATTGCCTAACAGAGAAAATCAGTCCTCTTAATCGATAAAGAATTTCTACAAACAAAGAATATGTCATGTATACAACAGAAAAAGTAGCATAAGAATGTGTTCAGAATAAGCACTACAAATCAGTGTCTCTCAAATAAACGAAGAGATCTTTAAGTCATTCATAGTAAGAGAAATGCACATTGAATTCTCACTGTGATGTCAACCACTCATTTTGTGGTATCCCAACAAGCAAGATAATCAGACGTTACATATTTTCTATCAGAAGTATGCAGCACCACATGTGAAGTGGTCCTCCAAAAAACAAAACAAAATAAAACCTAAAACCCAAATCTGATTATGCCTCTAGAATATAAATACAAGTTTACACAGTAGACAGGGGATAGAAGAACTGTTAAAAGACACCACCCGGATGCAATCAGCAAAACCTAAATGGTGGGATCCTCTCCAGAACAAATAAACTGGTTTCTTCCACATGCAACAAAATTTAGAAAGAAAATTAAAGAGAGGCAGATGGTAAATCTGAAGACTGAAAGAGATTCAAGAAACACATAAAAATGACAGATAATAATAAGTGTTGGTAAGGATATGGAAAACTTGGAACTTTCATACATTGCCAGGGGAAAGGAAAATGGTGCAGCTGCTTTGGAAAACAGTCTGGCAGTTTTTCAGGGGATTAAACATGGAGTTGCCATATGACTCAGCAATTCCACTCCTAACTATAAAGCCAAGACAATTGGTGGGGCATGGAGGCTCACGCCTGTAATCCAAGCACTTTAAGAAGTCAAGGTGGGTGGATCACCTGAGGTCAGGAGTTTGAAACCAGCCTGGCTGACATGGTGAAACCCTATCTCTACTAAAAATACAAAACTTAGCCAGGCGTGGTGGCATGTGCCTGTAATTCTAGCTACTTGGGAGCTGAGGCATGAGGATCCCTTGAACCCAAGAGGCAGAGGTTGCAGTGAGCCTGGGCAACAGAGTGAGACTCCATCTCAAAAAAAAAAAAAAAAGAGAAAAAAGAAATATCTACTTATTTGCAAAGTATGAACGTTATTTGAATCCTGATTTAAAAAAAAACTTGTATTAATACAAGTATCATTTATAAATACTAAAGAACACGACCATATATTTGATTAAATTGAGAACATATTATGTTGTGGAAATACACACATACATATATATGTTCCTTTTCTTTAGTAGGACATGATGAAAACTTTACAGATGATATGATGTCTGGGATTTGTTTCAAATAATGATGCAAGAGAGAGGTGGCCATCCGGAAAACACCAGGTTATATTCAACCTGAGAAAGCTGATTTAAAACAGAAACAAAAACAAGATCTTTGTTATTGCTGAAGACGGACAATGGGTATGTTGGATTTCTTATACTACTGTTTCTACCTCAGACTTGGCTCATCCTTTGGTGCTGTGCAGCCCTTGAGCAGGCTTGACCCTCTCTGTGCCTCAGGGAGGTTCACCTGCTGTTCTTATTCCCACCAGCTCCCACCTGCCTGGCACTTTCCCTTTTGGAACCTCAGGTTCTGCTTCTGTAGGATTTGGGAAATCTGAGCCCAGTTTCATAATAAAAAGTCAGAAAACAGGTCAGTCGCAGTGGGTGACTTTGGTAATCCTAGCACTTTGGGAGGCCGAGGTGGGTGGATCACTTGAGGTTAGGAGTTCGAGACCAGCCTAGCCAACATGGTGAAAGCCTGTCTCTACCAAAATATATAATATATTTGTCAGACACACATATGTTTATAATATAATATAATATACATCTAAATATTGGACTCCGTCTGTTGCCCAGGCTGGAGTGCAGTGGTGTGATTGCAGCTCACTGCAGCCCCCACCTCCTGGGCTTGAGATCCCCCCATCTCAACTTCCCAAGTACTTGGGAACACAGTTGTGTGCCACCATGCCTGAGAGTCCTTTTTTTTTTTTTTTTTTTTTTTTTGGTAGAGACAAGTCTTGTTGCCCAAGCTGGTCTCTAACTCCTAGCCTCATGTGATCCTCCCATCTCTGCCTCACACAGTGCTGGGATAACAGGTGTGAGCCACTGTGTCTGGCCCAAAATATTTCAAAAGGTAGCCATCTGTGAGGCCAGGCAGATCTTCCTGCTGGGCTCCTGGTGAATTCTAGAATGTGATCAAGGGCAGGCATGGGAGGAAGCCCTGCAGGAGTGCACCATGGGGCGAATATGGACTCCACCTGGGCAGATTAAATTGGGAAAGGGTCGGGAGAGGCAGTCAGATCATACACTTAGGAGAGTTTCAGGTGAGAGGACCAAAGGCCAAAACACTCCCGGAGCTTCGAAAAGGGCCTGGAGAAGCCTGGCAGGCACACAGAGCCTTCACCTTTGCCCTGGAAGCCAAGTTGTGCCCTTGCCCAGGATGAGGTAAATGGCGTGAGGGACACCACGAGCTCTTTGGCTCTTGTTTCTGGAGACAGATTTTTGTTTTTTCACCCAGGCTGGAGTGCAATAGTGTGATGAAGGCTCACTGCAGCCTCAACCTCCCCTACTAAAGTGATCTCCCACCTCAGCCTCCCAAGAAGCTGGGACTAGAGGTCACAGGCCACCACAGCCCATTAATTTCTTTTAATTATTTTGTACACTCTGAGTCTATGTTGCCCAGGCTGGCCTCCAACTCCTGGGATCAAGCGATTCTCCCCCTTGGCCTTCCAAAATGCTGGGATTAAAGGAGTGAGCCAATCGCACCCAGCCACTGCGGCCTCTTAGATCTGCTTTAGGATTTGGAGCCTGGGGGCTTCTGTTCCCCAAGGACCACTAACCTTGTCTGAGGCCCCTTTGGAGGGCTCAGCGCGCCCCCTTGGCCAAGGACGCCACACATTGAGAGCCAGCTGCTGCCAGAAGCTATTACTGTTATTACCGGCCGGCAGCACAGGCTACAGCCACAATCGTAAGAGGGAAATGGACTGAATCCCCACACCCCAATCCCTCACTCACTCCGACCCGAGGCTGTCTACCCGGCCTGGCATGTCCCGGCGCTCCTGGGGCCCCTGTACTCCGCTGGTTCCTCGCTGTGGTGTCCCGCAGCCCGACCATTTCTGTGCTTCTAGGAGCCCACCCTGGGCGGCAGGGAGGCGTTGCGTGGGGCTCACGAGTTCCACGCTGTCATCTCCACCAGCTCCTACCTCCCAGGCGCCTGCCCTCCCGCACTGTCAGGTTCTGCCTCCGCAGCATTTGGCAGATCTGAGCCCGGTCCCTGTCACCCCTCCGCGGGAGCCTCATAGTGACCCTGGAGGAGAAGCAGCAGGAGCCCACAGGCCACCGCGCTCGGCCGCGCGTGAAGTCTGTGCAGCCGCATGGTCGGCTCGCTGGTCTCGGTTCTCTGCCGACGGACACGCTGCTGTTCACCCAGAGGCTGCCCCGGGTCGGTCCAGCCGTGGATCCAGTGCCTTGCCCAGCCTCGGAGTTTGGACTGGGCAGGGAGTCGGCGGGGTGCGCTGACTTGGGCCGGGAAAGGTGGGTTGGTAGGAGAGCAGGACTGAACAGTCATAGGTGGGTGGGGATCTAGTGGTAGGCAGGCCCGGGCACGGCCACTTCCCTTCTGCCCGGGCCCCTTTGGCATCCTCAGAAGGGGCTGCGCGGCTTCTGTAGTCCTCCGCGATCCAGAGAATCCTCTCCTCAAACCTGTCGTTGTCCACAGGCCCGATGAGCGCGCTGGGGGATCGATAGGAGGGGGCAATAAACTAGAATTGGAGATCCCAAGAGGGCTTCTCTGAGGAGGTGCACGTTCAGGATCCCCACAGTTGGAGAAATGGGAAGGAACTTGATCGGGGTGAAGGAACCGCTTGAGCAAAGGCAGGGAGGCGTGACGGCGCCCTTCATTCTGGAAGCTCCTCCTTGCTTTCAGGACTCAGTTTCCTGGGTTCCCCTTCACGGCCCCTCATCTCCTTACAGTCCAGGGTCTGAGGGTCTCCGCGGTCCCCTCCCTACTCAGTCACGCCATTCTTTTGAAACGTACACGTGACCGCGGCACTTCTTAAGGAGCGCCCCCCTTTTCCTCGGTGGCTTTCAGTTTCCTCACCTCCCGCGGAGACCAGGGCCATGGTCATTTATCCTCTTGACGAACATTTCACGAGCGCCTGCCGCTCCGAGCGATGGGGACCCGGCACTCCCAGGCCTCTGTTGCAGCAGGGGAGGCAGGCGCGTCACCTGGAGGTCCCGAGACACTGGGAGCCCTGCCAGGCCAGAGGCGACCAACTGGTCTGGGAACGGGAGTGTACTATGGTCCTGTAACTATGGGCCTTACAGTGTCTGAAGCCCGGAGGTGGAGGCTGCAGTGATCTGTGATTGCACTACTGCATTCTAGCCTGGGTGACAGGACTAGACCTTGTCTCAAAAAAAAAAGGGGGAGCAGGGGGTAAATTGTAAGTTATTTCACAATAAAGCTGTTAAAAAAAGAACTATTAAGTCTAAACAGTAATCCTGGGAACTGACTTTGGGAAGGTATATTGTACATCTGCAGAACTGAAAAACATACAGAGGCATGCATGCAGCTGGTGCACAATAAACGCTTTCAGAATGTAGTGGGAACATTATGCACCAATCAGTGTTCATTGAAAGGAAAGTCTCCTCCCTCTCTCAAGTTCAAGTCATTCCAGGCTTAATATTATCCTTGTCTGCCACCTGGTGGCCAAAATGGGCAATGTGGGTGTCCTGGTCTTTCACCCCAAACTTCAAAAGGCTCTGTAATTGGACTTACGGGCCCTGGCTGGAAAGAAGGGAGACTTTCCCCATGGAAAACGGGTGCCCTGAGAGGCAAGTTGATCAGCAGTAGGGGCATAAGGGGATTATTAGGGTTTATGGGACAGAAATATAGCCTCTTAATGACAGAGAGAATATACTTTGGTGAAACCAAGAGGCCGATTGAACACAATTGGCCACCTTTGCACACTGAGATAAAATATGAGGTTTTTTGCAGAGCGGGGAAGGAGAAAAGTCTAGGGACAACAATGAGGTAAGTAGGAAAAGTAATCGTGTGGACACACATGGTGAATTTGGGGATGCTCAGGGGGTTGAAAGGTTGGCAGGGAAATTCTGAAACGTGAGAGGACATTTCCCTGGATGGAGAGGCCCCTGGTAGCCAGCGGACAGGAATCTCTTAGCAGGTGTGCTAATATCCTGTGAGTATGGGCCTTACAGTGTCTGTAGAACCACTGAGAAGAAGAGCAACCTTCAGGAGACGGGCGACTGAGGAAGCAGCTTGGCTTTCCTGGCCACTGTGCAGGAGGCCCAGGCTCAGGGGCCTATGGACAAGCCCGGTCTGGCTTCTGACAAAAGTGGGGTTAGGCACCTCTGCAGGACATCGATAGTTGGGTGGGTGGCTTGTTTTATTTTTTATTTTTGAGATAATGTCTCGTGCTGTCGCCCAGGCTGGAGTATAGTGCTGTGATCTCAGCTCACTGCAACCTCTGCCTCCCAGGTTCAAGTGATTCTCTTACCTTAGCCTCCTGAGTAGCTGGGATTACAGACACCTGCCACCACACCCGTCTAATTTTTGTATTTTAGTAGAGATGGGGTTTCACTATGTTGGCCAGGCTGGTCTTGAACTCCTGACCTCAGGTCATACCCCACCTTGGCCTCCCAAAGTGCTGGGATTACAGGTGTGAGCCACCGCACCTGGCCTGAGGTTGCCATCTATTAACCAGAGAACAAGTCCTTGCCAGACACCAAATCTGCTGGCACCTTGATCCTCGATGTCCAAGCCTCGAGAACTGTAAGCAATACATTTCTGTCATTATAAGGCACCCAGTTTATAATATTAACCTGTAGTATTTTAAGTTTTATATCAGTATTGGAAGCCCTATTTTTTTGAGGCAGGGTCTTGCTGTGTTGCCCAGGCTGGAGTGTAGTGGTGCAATCACGACTCACTGCAGCTCTGACCTCCCAGGCTCAAGTGATCTGCCCGCCTCAGCCTCCTGAGTAACTGAGACTATAGGTGTGTGCCACCACATCCAAATAATTTTTCTATTTTTTTGTAGAGATGACATTTCTCCATGCTGCCTAGGCTGGTCTGGAACTCCTGGGCTCAAGTTCAGGAGTCCCACCTCGGCCTCCAATAGTGCTGGGATTACAGGCATGAGCCACTGCACCCGGCCTAACCGGTAATATTTATTTATTTGTTTATTTATTTATTTACTTATTTTTGAGGTAGGGTCTCTGTCGCCCAGACTGGAGTGCAGTGGTGCAATCTCAGCTCACTGCAACTTCTACCTCCTGGGTTCATGTTATACTCGTGTCTCAGCCTCCCGAGTAGCTGATATTCTAGGTGTGCACCACAGAGCCTGGCTAATTTTTGTCTTTTTAGTAGAGACAGCGTTTCACCATGTTGGCCAGGCTGGTCTCAAACTCCTGGGGTCAAGTGATCCACCCACCTCGGCCTCCCAAAGTGTTGTGATGATGGGTGTGGGCCACTGCACCGGGTCTAATCGGTAGTATTTTTGCTATAGCAACTGAATGGACTAAAACACTAGGAATTCCAGTAACCAGGTTTCCTATTGGCCACTCACAGATTTTTTTTGTTTTTTGTTTTTGTTTCTTTGTTTGTTTGTTTGAGACTGAGTCTCGTCCTGTGGCCCAGGCAGGAGTGCCGTGGTGCAATCTCATCTCACTGCAACCTCTGCCTCCCGGGTTCAAGGGATTCTCCTGCCTCAGCCTCCCTAGTAGCTGGGACTACAGGCGTGTGCCACTGCACCAGGCTAATTTTTTGTACTTTTAGTAGAGACGGAGTTTCACCATGCTAGCCAGGATGGTCTCGATCTCCTGATGTGGTGATCCGCCTACCTTGGCCTCCCAAAATGCTGGGATTACAGGTGTGAGCCACCGCACCCGGCCTGGCCACTCACAGATGTAAGAGCACTTGGGGCTTGGGGAGAGGCAGACAGAGGCTTTTTTTAGAATTTATTTTTATTCTTTCAGACCTCTCAGGGATGAACGGACATAGGCTTCTAACACTTAGGTGTGGGCAACATTCTTCGAAGCACCTCCCTCAAAGTGGAAAAGGCCTGGGGGCTCAGACGAGAGAAGAGAGAAGGCAGGGAGAAGGTGGAGGTGAGGAAGGGAGGAGGGGGCCCAGGGCTCAGTGGGGTGTTGGGGAGGGTGGGATTCCACCGGGGTTTGCCCATCCACAGCTCAGTGGGGGGATCTATGGAGTGTGTCTAGCAAGAGAGGACCCATGGCAGGCTTGGTAACTAACATCATGCAGTAGCTTCTTCTATTCTCTCTTATTTTTTTGGAAACGGAGTCTCGCTCTTGTTGCCCAGGCTGGAGTACAGTGGCACAATCTCAGCTCACTGCAACCTCTGCCTCCCAGGTTCAAGTAATTCTCCTGCCTCAGCCTCCTGAGTAGCTGGGATCACAGGTGGGCACCACCACTGTGCCCGTCTGATTTTTGTATTTTTCATAGAGATGGGGTTTCACCACGTTGGGCAGGCTGGTCTCAAACTCCTGTCCTCAGGTGTTCTGCTCACCTTGACCTCCCAAAAGTGCTGGGATTAGGGGCATGAGCCACAGTGCCTGGCCTATTATTCTCTTTTTATTTTTATTTTTCTCATATTTTTCCCTTATATTTTGTTTTCTTTGCTTTTTAAAAATCTTTTTTACTCCTCACTGACTTGAAGCTCAAAACTTTCCTATTTAGCTTCTAATCACACACTCTCTCTTTTTTTTTTTTTTTTTTGAGAAGGGGTCTCACTGTGTTGCCCTGGCTGGTCGGTCTCAAACCTCTGGCCTCAAGCCATCCTCCCATCTCATCCTTCCCAATAGCTGGGATTACAAGTATGGGCCATCATGCCTGAGTAAATTCTTAATAAATGCTTTCTGAATGGATGGACGGAAGTATGAATGAATGGCGAAGTGAATGAAGGAATCAACTTCTTTCTCCTTAGTGGGTGTGTGTGGGCACAGCAGGCTGACCCTCGCCTGTCAGCGAACCCACCCCCTCCTCCCCGGCACAGGGAGCTACAGCTCTGTGTGTCTCTCTTCAGGCTCCTCGAGCTCCTGGATCTTTTGGGGCAGCGCCTTCTTCCAGAACTGGAGCCTGTGGGCCTTCAGAGCCCGGCCCACCGCAGGCTGTAGGTTCAGCTGCAGGTATTGCTCCTCCTGGTCGAACAGCGGCCAGTGTGGCAGACCCTCGCCATTGGGGTTCCTGTAGACATGCCATCCCAGCAGGGCAGTATGAGGGTCACTCTGGGCCCCCGAAGCCCAGACCTGAGCACCCTGAGTCTGGTCAGGCAAGGCAGCCAAGCAGGCCAGGTGGGCTTGGGGAATGAGTGGGGAGGCTTCCAGAAACAGGAAATAAGCTCCCTCTGGCTAGTGTCAGCACCAGTGGGGGTTGGGGGAGGGCAGCCAGCTCTGTTGTGTCCCTCTCTCTGAGAGGGAGGCCCTGACGGTGGCACAGCACTGGCGCCCACCCTCCAGGTAGACTGGAGAGATAGAGCGTGTCCACTGCCCCACGCACCCCCACCCTGTCTGAGTGGGTCCCGGAGCTGGGGAAGGGGCCATCATGTGATGAAGGATGCGGGTGTGCTCATGAGGTCACCCCAGACTAGGAGAGCACTGGATGGGCACAAGTCCCCCAATCGGGGAGGTTGAGGCAGGGGTGTGCTGTCTCACCCATTTCTCGCAAAGTTGGCCCAGTACTTCATCATCTTCCTGCTTAGCTGCTCCTCTTCCTCAGTGAATTTAACTGCCAAGAGGAAGAGGACATGTGTCTTCATCAGGATGTCCAACCTCAGCATCCCAGGTGGAGCTCGTCCTTGGCCCCCGAGACCTCGGTCCCCAGTCCTGCTTCTCCGCTTTTTCTTCCACTGCCCTCAGAAGCCAGCCCTCCCCTTTTCCAAACTTTCCCTGTAGACCAGGCTCTGGCTGACTCCATCCTGGGCTCCTTCATGGCCCCAAAGGCCCCTTCTTCCTTCTATCTCTGGGAGTCACTGAAGAAATAAACATGTCCCTGAAACACCTGTTCTGCACCAGGCCAGACACCCATGGCTGGGGAGAGGCAGAGGGAGCACAGCTCACAGTCTGAAGAGTCGTGAATTCTAATCCTGGTGCAGCTTTTGGAGCTATAAAACCTTGGACACCTGATCTCATCCTCTCTCTGAGCCTCAGTTTCCTTATCTGGGCAGTGAGGACAATCAATCATCGCTCAGAGACCCAGCCAGAATCCCAGCCCACCTCCCGGGAAAGGAAGAAGACTCACTGTAGTTGCCCCCAAAGAAACTTCTGAAAACAAAAGGAAGCTCATCACCATGGTCTGCCTTCATGTGCGGTGGCCTGATGTTCTTGAGCCAGCTGGGCTGATGCTGGAACTCGTAGAAGTACACAGGGGCCCGGGAACCTGTGGGGTGGACAGCCCATGACACGGTGGCCCCTCCCCCTGAAGACTTCTTGCCTCACCCATGGTGATAAGATACCTAGGTCCAAAGCTGGCTGGAATCTGGACAATGGGGTGTGGAGCCCCAGGCTGGGGCAGGAATAGAGGAAAGGACTTGCGATTCTTTGCTGTGTCATCTTGGGCAAGTCACTGAAGGTCCCTAACTTCAATTTGCTCGTCTGTGAAATGGGGGAAATGTCGGATTCTTGGGCTAGCCATGAGGATTTACTGCAATGATGGATGTCAAGTGTCCCCGGAGCCCAATAAACATGAGTGCTGACCCGGACAGCAGCAGGTCTCACCTGGGACCCACAGCCCTGAGCTGTACCCTGCCCGCCAGGCTTTGGTCCAAATATACTCACACTGAAAATGTGCTACTTGGAGTGCAGGGATCACAAACATGGAGTCCGCCATCATCTCCTGGAACTGCGCTTGGAGGGTCTGGGGATCCCCATTGTCCCCAATGTACTCCTCCCTCAGCAGGTCACCAAATGTAGGAGGCAACATCTACCCCAGGTGGATCAGGAAGAGGCAGGTTAGACTGGATGCCAGGGGCAGGGAGGAGGTGGTCTCGGGCTTGGGGATGGCACAGGAAGGGGGAGCAAAGGCGAGGCTCTGAGGTGACCCCACCCCTAAACACACACACCCAGGCCTTTGCTCATGGGGGTCACTACATAGGAAGGGTATCTGGGGGTTGAATTTCCTCTGTCTCAGGACAGGAGAGGAGCCCGTCTCCATTGGCGAGGGACCCCAGGAGCCTTACCAGCAGCGTTAACATTTTCTGCAGAGCAGCCTGGGAGGCCTCTCTGTCCATTTCCTTCTGGGTATCATAGATCCTCATGACCTGGATGGCCAGGAGAGAGTCTGTAGCTGGGGATGGGATGAGCCTGGAGCTATGAAGCCCTGAACACCCCCCACTACCAGATGGGCTCCCCAGGCACTTGTGGGCTTGGGTTGGGGCTCACCTTGGGGATGAGCCAGCCGAATTCATTGTTGTTGACACCAACAATGCTAGGGACAGGCTGAAAGTCGGCAGAGGCCAGCAGCTCCTGGGGGTGCCTGGGCAGGAAGACCCCATCCACCACTCCGGGGATCATCTTGAAAGGCTGAGGGGAAATGTAAGGTCAGGGAACAAGGTCAGGTCCCAGACATCTTCCGATGCCCTCTGAGTACCTTCCACTCCTTCCCAGTTTATCCCTGGATGCTCATACCCACCCCAGGAGATTACTGTTTGGCTCAGCATGCACCGACCTTCAGTCCCGACCCAGGGCTATGACACTCAGGCATGCAGATGAGGTAATGTGCCCAGGGAATATGACGGCCGTGCAGGCCTGCCAGCCCCATGCCTATTGCACCCCTTCCTCTACACCCACATCCATTTAGACCAACCTTGTTAATTGCAAGAATCTCCTCTTTACTCTTGCCCCGCAGGCAGCCCACCAGGGCCTCAGAGTCAACTTGGTCACAGGCAGACAGGTTGGCCACCACCTGTAAAGGGACCAGGCAGGGGCTGGCTCATCCTTCCAGGTAGAGGAGAGGAGTTTGCCCAAGGCCCTGGCCAAGAACAGGGGTACCCCAAATCTCAGAGGGTACTTCGTATGAGTTCCTGCAGTTCTGACACTGTTCCAACTCAGAAGTCCCAGACACAGGGGCCATCCCATCCGCCTAGATGATTCTCCTCATGGTGGGGATCCCTAGGGTGACAACTTTGCACAGGAGCCACAGAACAAGCTCGGCCTCTGCAATGGCAGAAGGATGTGAATTCTGACCCTGGAGCCCCCCAGCAATTCCACGGTAGGCAGCAGCTCCTGGAGCATGCTCCCGATGGCCCTTGTCATCCCCGTTTAACAGACAGAGGCTCTGAGGGATATGAGGGGAGGGAGCAGGCCTAGGCCTCTTCAGCTGAGGGCACTCACCGTGGAGATGACATCAGCTGAGCTGGCAATGAGGCCGGGCAGGAGGGCCACGCCACTCTCCATGATGGCTCCGTGGAAGAGTCCTTGGGATATGGGGGACACAACAAGCGAAGACACACTCGTGCCACCCGCAGACTCGCCAAAAATGGTGACACGGTCAGGGTTGCCTCCAAAGTGGGCGATATTCTGCTGGACCCAGCGTAGTGCAGCCACTTGGTCCAGGTAGCCCCAGTTGCCGGTTGCGTGCTTGTCTCCAGTGCTGAGAAGTAGCAGGGACAGGGATCACAGGGCTGTCCTGGCCCCGCTCAGCCCGGGTTGCCCAGCCCAGCCCTAGTCTCACCTGAAGAAGCCCAGGACACCCAGGCGGTACTGGATGATGACCACCACCACGTTCTCCAAGGCAGCCAGCATGGAACCATCATACAAGGAAGCCATGCCAAAAACAAGCGCACCACCGTGGATCCACACCATCACCTGGGGAAATCAAGGCAGCTACCATGATGCTCCCACCCAGCCCAAACCCCACCAGGGCCACTACCTAGACCAACCAGTGCTTTGCCTCTGTCTACCTCCCCATTAGATCTCCAGCACAAATTCATTACATGGGCAAATGGTTAGGCACCCAAGATCTATCAGGAAGACCAGGCCTCCCAATCTTTGCAATCGAACCCCCTGTATCAAAGCCTGGGTTCATTAACCCCAGATAATTCACCAAAGTGGAAAGAAAAGGGGTGTCTCCCTGATGGCTCCACATGAACATTAACCAAAAATGTCCTTAGCCTGAACCACATAGTGAGACCCCGTTTCAACAGAAAATGTTTTAAAAATGAGCCAGGCATGGTGGAATAGGCCAGTAGTCCCAGCTACTCGGGAGGCTAATCTGAGAGGATCATCCCGGATTTCGAGGTTACAGAGAGGTATGTTCATGCCACTGCATTTTAGCCTGGGCAACAGAGCATGATGCCATCTCTAAGAAAAAAAGTTTTTGTGTGTGCCCATTCTATAGGCCCAACAGATTATCCATGGCTGGGGTTCTTGGTCACCTCAAGGTGCAGCCCTTTGGCACTTAAGTGGATCTCCTGGCATGAGTTGGCTGAGTGAGTCCTGGGTCCAGCCCAGAGCCACAGCCTTTGACCTCTGGGAGCAGCCAGAACTCTGTGACCCCATGTCCAGGGGCCAGCTGCCCAGTCTGGGTAAGGAGCATTTCTTGGACCTGACAGTGAGAAGCTTCTCAGCATGGTCCACTCTGAAGCAGGGCCTGAGCTAATATTGTCCTTTTCAGCTTCTTGCAGAAGAACTGTCCTCCAACCCCCAGTGAACTGTGGCCTGACACCCACCGGCAGGTTAGAGCCTTCATGGCTATGGGCCGGCGTGTAGATGCTGAGGTACAGGCAGTCCTCAGACATGGAGTCGGAAGGGAAGGTCATGTTGAACTGGCTAAGAAACTCTGACTCCACTGCGGTGAGGTCCTGTAGACACCTGGTAACCAGGGCAAATAATCAGTCCAGGGGCCAGGCTGTGGCCAAAACCAGACCCTGGGTTCAGAGGTGCTCCCAGCCACCCTCAGACCCTTCCCACAATATCCTGCTCACACATGATCCCTCTCAAAAATCCCTTCCCACCAAGTTACAGGCCACAGGCTCTGGGGAAGCTGGGATGCAGCTTGGACTTCCAGGGAGGCCTCGAGGTTACTGAGGACCTTGGGTATCATTCCTCGCACTGCCGGAAACCTTGACTCTTAGGGGTTTCTATGAGAACCATTGGCTGCATGTGTTGACATTCACCACTATATTCCTGTAACCCGTAAGGCCTGGGACAGGGGAGTAGCCCACATATGTGTGCTACATGAGTGAATGGATGTTAATTTCTCATGAGAAGGGCAGTGGGATGTCTCTCATCCCAAGTCTAAACTCTCAAAAACTCATCATTCCTACATGGCCTCCAGTTGGAAACATATACATATACATATACATGTCTCTTGGCCAATGGCTCCTGGTCCTGTCAGTGGACACAGTGCCTGTGGAGAGTGCAGGTCCCCAGAAAGCTACCACTACTGTTCTCTTCAGGTATTTGCAACATCTGCCACTAGAGTTAGGGGCTCCTACAAGGTTCATAGAGCCAACCCGAACCTTTCCCAGAGACACCTGCCACTGGTGGCAGAGAAAGCTTGGCATAACCAGAATCTGGGGAGATACGTGTGTCTGCCCCTCCCTTCGGCACCTGGAGCCAATGTCTTCTGAATGCCAAGCCCTGATCCAGGAGTCTGAGAAGTTATTCTGCCCTCCTGAGCCTCAGCATGCTCATTGGAAAAATGCACGTGGGAATCCACGAAACTCAGAAGGAAAACTGGCTGTGGGGGTTTAGATGAAATGATAACTGCAGCCTAGCTGAGCTCAGAGCACCCCCACCCCTGCCCCAGGGCCTGGAGTTCCCTGGACCCCTTGGAGAGCTTACATGGCCGGATGGGTGGTTCCATCCCTCACACCACTCCAAGATTCAGGGGGCTCAGGGGGTGCAAATCGCAGCGGACCTAGAGGTGGCTTGGCAAATGGAATTCCCAGGAAGGTTTGGACCCCGGCATTGGCGCCCTTCACATGGACAAGACTCCCCAGCACCTGCCCCGTGTGTGTGGTCCGGATGGGACTGGCTGAGTCCTGGCCTGTGGGCAGAGAGACAGACATCACGGTTGGGTTTGACCAATCGACTGCCCTCCCAACTGTTGGTATTGCTGCTTCCTTGCCATCCTCATCTTAGCTCAAGGGACTCTGATCTGTAAACATGGGCTTTACAAACTTCCTGCCTGTAACACTCCCTTCCCGCTCTGGCTTCCTGGGCCTGTCTCCATCCCACCAGGCTGAGGCTCCTTGGGGCCAGGCATCATCATTCAGCCCTAGGACCTTCAAACAAAGGGTCACATGCCCTTGATGGGACTAGAGTGTCCTTCAACTGTGTGCCAGGTCATGTGACAGTAGGATGATGGTGGGAATTGGGCAGGCAAGTTTCTTGTCCTCAGGGATGTCATGTCCAAAGTGGCAAGAAATCATGTAAAGAAAGCATCATCCAAACCATGAGTGATGTTGGTGAAAAGAGGTGCAAGAGAAAAGTATGGCTGTGGCTGGGATATAAAAAGCACAGTGACTGGCCTGGGGACCATAGTGGGACTCTGTCTCTGCAAAAAAATCAGGAAATAAATTGGCGGGGTGTGGTGGTGCATGCCTGTAGTCCCAGCTGTAGAAAAGCCTGGCTCCAGAAAGTGGGTGAGTTTATGACTGTTTAGATGAAAATCAAGGACAAGTGCACACATCTATTCTTGTGTAAACTGCTGGGCACTGTGTGTACTGCGGTGTCAACAAGCAGTTTCCAGTGTGGGCCATGGGGACTTTGATGGCCCCTGAGGAGAAGCCAGGACTGGTTGGGTAAAAAGAGGATGGCACACATCACCTGTACCCTCCTATGGCTTGTCAATTATTTTTTCTGAATGTGGGTCCAACCCAAAATTTTGTATACATATATATTTGTCAGACAAGGTCGCCATCTGTTGCCCAGGCTGGAATGCAGTAATATGATAACAGCTCACTGCAGCCTCCACCTCCTGGGCTTGAGATCCTCCCGCCACAGCCTCCTGAGTAGCTTGGAGTACAGCTGTCTGCCACCATGCTTGACTTTTTTTTTTTTTTTTTTTGGTAGAGACAAGTCTTGTTGCCCAAGCTGGTCTCTAACTCCTAGCCTCAAGTGATCCTCCCATCTCTGCCTCTCAAAGTGCTGGGATAACAGGTGTGAGCCACTGTGCCTGGCCCAAAATATTTTAAAAGGTAGCCATCTGTGAGGCCAGGCAGATCTTCCTGCTGGGCTCCTGGTGAACTCTAGAATGTGGTCAAGGGCAGGCACGGGAGGAAGCCCTGCAGCAGTGCACCATGGGGCGGGGGGAGTATGGACTCCACCTGCGCAAATTAAATTGGGGAAGGGTTGGAAGAGACAGATCATACACTTAGGAGAGTTTCGGGTGAGAGGACCAAAGGCCGAAACACTCCCCCAGCTTCTGATAAGGGCCTGGAGAAGCCTGGCAGGCACACAGAGCCTTCACCTTTGCCCTGGAAGCCAAGTTGTGCCCTTGCCCAGGATGAGGTAAATGGCATGAGGGACACCACGAGCTCTTTGGTTCTTGTTTCTGGAGACAGATTTTTGCTTTTTCACCCAGGCTGGAGTGCAGTAGTGGGATGAAGGCTCACTGCAGCCTCAACCTCCCCTACTAAAGTGATCTCCCACCTCAGCCTCCCAAGTAGCTGGGACTACAGGTCACAGACCACCACAGCCCACTAATTTCTTTCAATTTTTTGTACACTCCGAGTCTCACTATGTTGTCCAGGCTGGCCTCCAACTCCTGGGCACAAGCGATACTCTCCCTTGGCCTTCTAAAGTGGTGGGATTAAAGGAGTGAGCCAATCGCACCCAGCCACTGTGGCCTCTTAGATCTGCTTTAGGATTTGGCGCCTGGGGGCTTCTGTTCCCCAAGGACCACTATCCTTGTCTGAGGCCCCTTTGGAGGGCTCAGGGCATCCCCCCTGGCCAAGGACGCCACACACTGAGAGCCAGATGCTGCCAGAAGCTATTACTGTTATTACCGGCCGGCAGCACCCGCTACAGCCACAATCATAAGAGGGAAATGGACTGAATCCCCACACCCCAATCCCTCACCCACTCCGACCCCAGGCTGCCTACCCGGCCTGGCATGTCCCGGCGCTCCTGGGGCCCCTGTACTCCGCTGGTTCCTTGCCGTGGTGTCCCCCAGCCCGACCCTTTCTGTGCTTCTAGGAGCCCACCTTGGGCGGCGGGGAGGCGTTGCGTGGGGCTCACGAGTTCCACGCTGTCATCTCCACCAGCTCCTACCTCCCAGGCGCCTGCCCTCCCGCACTGTCAGGTTCTGCCTCCGCAGCATTTGGCAGATCTGAGCCCGGTCCCTGTCGCCCCTCCGAGGGAGCCTCACCCTGGCCCCGGACAAGAAGCAGCAGAAGCCCACAGGCCACCGCGCTCAGCCGCGCACGAAGTCTGTGCAGCCGCATGGTCGGCTCGCTGGTCTCGGTTCGCTGCCGGCGGACACGCTGCTGTTCACCCAGAGGCTGCCCCGGGTCTGTCCAGCAGTGGATCAGTGCCTTGCCCAGCCTTGGAGTTTGGACTGGGCAGGGAGTCAGCGGGGTGCGCTGGCTTGGGCCGGGAAAGGTGGGTGTGGTAGGAGAGCGGGACTGAGCAGTCATAGGTGGGTGGGGATCTAGTGGTAGGCAGGCCCGGGCACGGCCACTTTCCTTTGCCCGGGCTCCTTTGGCATCCTCGGAAGGGGCTGTGCCATTCCTGCAGCCCTTCCGCGATCCAGGGAATCCTCTCTTCAAACCTGTCCTTGTCCACAGGCCCGATGAGCGCGCTGGGGGATCGATAGGAGGGGGCAATAAACTAGAATTGGAGACCCCAGGAGGGCTTCTCTGAGGATGTGCACGTTCAGGATCCCCCAGATGGAGAAATGGGAAGGAACTTGATCGGGGTGAAGGAACCGCTTGAGCAAAGGCAGGAAGGAGTGTCGGCGCCCTTCATTCTGGAAGTTCCTCCTTGCTTTCAGGACTCAGTTTCCTGGGTTCCCCTTCACGGCCCCTCATCTCCTTACAGTCCAGGGTCTGAGGGTCTCCGCGGTCCCCTCCCTACTCAGTCACGCCATTCTTTTGAAACGTACACGTGACCGCGGCACTTCTTAAGGAGCGCCCCCCTTTTCCTCGGTGGCTTTCAGTTTCCTCACCTCCCGCGGAGACCACGGCCATGGTCATTTATCCACTTGACAAACATTTCACGAGCCCCTGCCGGTCCAAGCTGTGGGGACGCCGTACTCCCGGGCCTATGGTGCAGCAGGGGAGGCAGGCGCGTCACCGGGAGGTCCCGAGACACTAGGATCCCTGCCAGGCCAGAGGCGACCAACCGTCCTGGATACGGGAGCTCCCGGCCAGCCTGACTTCCAGGAGGAAGCGGTGTGGGGATTACCTCCGACCGCCTTTAGTGCCCCCTGAGACCTGGTTCTGGCCTCTACGTTTCAGCCCGCTACTGGCTCGCACGACCCAGCGCCGCCGTGGTCCCTTCTCAGCGCCTTCTGCTCCAGCGACCATCATGTTCCCGGGTCCGAGCAGCCAGGGCCGCGGTCACCGCTTCTCTCGCACCTCAGGCCGAGAACCCACAACGCGGCGTGTCCCTCGCGCGACTCCGTCGCCACGCCACGCCCCCTTCCCGTTCTCCGGAAGTGCGCGGGTTGGAGCGGAAGCGCACGCCTGCTAGGATCAGCGGTGGTGGTTCCGCGATGGTAGGCGGCGGCGGGGTCGGCGGCGGCCTCCTGGAGAATGCCAACCCCCTCATCTACCAGCGCTCTGGGGAGCGGCCTGTGACGGCAGGCGAGGAGGACGAGCAGGTTCCCGACAGCATCGACGCACGCGAGATCTTCGATATCCGCCGCTGCTGGGCGCGGGCGGGTTCCGGGGGCTTGCGGTGGGGGGAGCAGTGATATCGAGCAGCTGGTGGAGCCGCATCCCAGCAGGGCGTTCCTGGCAGAGGGTTCTAAGTGGGCAAGGGCGCAGAGTCCCTTTTCCTTCACTTCCCACATCTGATTCGCTCCATCAATGACCCGGAGCATCCACTGACGCTAGAGGAGTTGAACGTAGTAGAGCAGGTGCGGGTTCAGGTGAGTCACTTCCGAGGGGAGCGAGTTGTTCCAGAGAGTCAGAAAGGTTTCTGTGCAGCAGGAGCTGGCGTGCTCTATGCTCACGAACACCGAAGGGTATCTTTGGGGAGGGAGATTGTTGTGCCTATTTTATGGGTGTTGAAACTGAGGCCCATAGAAGTTGGATGATTTGCCCAAAACAACAAACTAAGAAGAGGGACCTTGGGCTGAGGGTGGTTGACTCTTGACATCTCTCCTCCACAACCAGGTTAGCGACCCCGAGAGTACAGTGGCTGTGGCTTTCACACCAACCATTCCGCACTGCAGCATGGCCACCCTTATTGGTCTGTCCATCAAGGTCAAGCTTCTGCGCTCCCTTCCTCAGCGTTTCAAGGTCAGTTGGAGCTGAGCCCCGGGAGTGAGACCAGGCATTGAGGGTCTACTGCTGAGGATGGGGACTGGGAGAGCATGAACATGGATAGGACATCAGAGTGGGGCCTGGAAGGATCCCCATTAGCAGAGAGGAAACTGGGAGGAAGCTTTCCAAGTCGATGTGACAAGAATAAAGATCTGAGCTGGAAAGTGGAGAAAAGTATTGAAGAGTGTGGCAGGAAGGGCAGTAGGGAGCGGCAGATGGGTTTGGACCAGGGGTGGGGCACAGGCAGGCCTTTAAATCAACAGTAGTGGGCCAGTTCTTTGGATAGAATTGGAATAGCTAGGGCCGGGCGCGGTGGCTCACGCCTGTAATCCCAGCACTTTGGGAGGCTGAGGCGGGTGGATCATCTGAGGTTAGGAGTTGGAGACCAGCCTGGCCAACATGGTGAAATCTCATCTCTACTAAAAATACAAAAATTAGTGGGGCGTGGTGGTGTGTGCCTGTGGTCCCAGCTACACGGGTGGCTGAGGAAGGAGAATCAAATTGAACCTGGGAGACAGAGGTTGCAGTGAGCCGAGATTGCGCTGCTGCACTCCAGCCTGGGCAACAGAGCAAGACTCAGTCTTGGAAAAAAAAAAAGAATTGGAATACCTGTGGATGGGTTTGGGGTGTAACGGAAGGGCCAGAGTCCAAAGGCATGATTAGGAGGAAGGATCAGCTGGAGATGGTGCCTGAGGGTCTGGGGGCTGCAGGGAAAAGTGTGGGTCGGTGGGTGGGTGTTCAGGCCCTGGTTATCTCCCTCCCAGATGGACGTGCACATTACTCCGGGGACCCATGCCTCAGAGCATGCAGGTAAGTGTGGACTGGTGGTGAGGGTGTTGGCCCGGGCACCCCCTAAGCAGTCTGAGGCTTCCCCCTTGCACAGGAGTCTATGGGCAAGACTGGAGATGGGTAACTGTGTGAGTGAAATTGCCAGAGACTCCTCAGTATGGGTTATAGCCTAGACCGAAGCTGGCCTGAGAAGACTCTCCTTTGCTTACCATGTCCTCTTCTCCCAAATCCCCTCTCACCAAATATACAGGACCAGAGTGTGTCAGGCTTCAGCAGCGCAGGAGGCAGCCAGGGGGAGGGATCCTAAGAAGGCAGATTAGGTGGGCTCAGGTGGTTGAAGTAGCCTGATCAATATGTGGGGTCCTGGGAAGGAGGTGACAGGAGGGCTCTGTTGCTGCGGGGGACATATCCTATATAGAGGTTCAGAGGTAGGGCTGGCTAGCACTCTGGCCAGAGCCTAGCTTTGACTCTGCCTTCCCCACACCCTTCTTCCCACCTAGTGAACAAGCAACTTGCAGATAAGGAGCGGGTGGCAGCTGCCCTGGAGAACACCCACCTCTTGGAGGTTGTGAATCAGTGCCTGTCAGCCCGCTCCTGAGCCTGGCCTTTGACCCCTCAGCCTGCATACTGGTATCCTGGTCCCAGCTCCTGCCAGGGCTGTTACCGTTGTTTTCTTGAATCACTCACAATGAGAAACTAACATTTTGCTTTTTGTAATAAAGTTAATTTATATTCAGTTCCCAGCATGCCTTGGTGTCTTTCATCTTGGTGGAGTCATTTGGAGTTTGAGGGGGGGATGGTGGTAGTAAGTGCCTCTAAAGGGTGGTGTACTTGCAACTTTTCGTAAAATAAAATCAAAATGGAAAGAGTAGTGTACGAATGTGCCTGTATGCTCACCACCACCAGTAGAGTCAACAGTTGTTGACATATTGCAACACTGGCCATATTTATGTGTGCATATATAAATATCAGTAAGTAAGCTGCAGAGACTTGACTCTTCACTTTGAAGTACTGCAGCTCCTATAGTCAATATAAGCCTGTATAGCCACAATACTTTTATCTGATCAGAAAATGAACAGTTCCTCAACACCATCTAATACCCAGGCATATCTGGATTTCCCTAATGTGTCATCATAGTTGTTTTTGTTTTGTTTTTGAGACAAGGTCTTACCCTGTTGCCCAGGCCCAGGTGCAGTGGCAAGATTGTAGCTCACTGCAGCCTCCAACTCCTGGGTTCAAGCAATCCTCCAGCCTTGGCCTCCCAAGTAGCTTGGATTACAGGCATACACCACCATTCCTGGCCAAATTTTTTTTTCTTTGAGGGGACACAGTCTTGCTCTGTTGCCCAGGCTGGAATACAGTGGCACAATTATACCTTTCTGCAGCCTTGACCTCCTGGGCTCAAGCGATCCTCCCACTTCAGCCTCCCGAATAGTTGGGACTACAGGCATGCACCACCGTGCCTGGCTAATTTTTAATTTTCTTGTAGAGACAGGGTCTCCTAGGTTGCCCAGGCCGGACTCTAGCTCCTGGGCTTAAGTGATCTTCCTGCCTCATCCTCCCAAAATGTTGGGATTACAGGTATGAGCCACCCCAACCAGCCCAATCAAAAGAATATTTATTTATTTATTTATTTATTTATTTTTATTTTTTATTTTTGGGGGTAGAGATGAGGCCTTGCCGTGTTGCCCAGCCTGGTCTCAAATTCTTGTCCTCAAGCAGTTCTCTCACCTGGTCCGCCAAAGCACTGGGATTACAGGCTTGAGTATCACACCTAGCTGTTTTTCAGTTTTTTTAATTCAAAAAAACATTTTGTTAAGAGGTAGTGTATTGCTCTGTCACCCAGGCTGGAGTGCAGTGATGTGATCAGAGCTCACTGTAGCCTCAACCTCCTAAGCCCAAGTGATCCTCTTGCCTCAGTCTCCCGAGTAGCTGGGACTACAGGCGTGTGCTACCATGCCAGGCTAATTTTTTAATTTTTTGTAGAGACTGGGTCTCCCTATGTTGCCTAAGCTGGTCTTAAACTCCCAGGCTCAAGCCCCACAACCTGCTGGGATTACAGGTGTGAACACCACGCCCAGCCCTTTGTCTTTTTTCACAGTGATTGTTTGGAAAAGTTCAGAGAAGTCCCAGTTCTGCAGTCTGATTTGTTCCTGATTTGTGTTGCCTTTAACTGGAAATTGGTCTAAAGGCCTCAGTGAGTCCAGGTTTGCGCTTTTTGATGAAAACCCTGCCCAGGAGTGGCATATATATTTTATAAGCCCACTAGTAGGTGTGTGATGCCAGCTTTTCCAGCTGTTAGTGATGGCCGTCTGGTCCCTGATAAGGGCAGTGACATCAGACTTCTCTGTTGAAGGGAACCTGAGGCACCCTCTCAATCAGCCCTCCCAAAGGCATGTGTCACCCCCAGTGTTGAGTAAGAGGGAAGCTCAGCACTGTGAAGTGACGTGCTCGGGTCTAAGGCCTCTGCCTCCCCTTGGCCCTATGCCCAGATTGCATTTGGTCACCTGGACAGACTGTAGGGCTTAGACCTTGGCTTAGCTGGTTAGGATCACTTTCCCAGGGGGAGCATCCTTCCTGCTTTAGTCTCATTCTCTGAAGATAAATGGCAATATTAAGAAGCAGTGCCCAACCCCACCTCATCCCTACTGAGGCCCAGATATGATTGTGGGCAGAGAAGCCTCAGTAGGGATCCTGGCCATTTTGCAGATCTGTTCTTGAGGGCCTGCTGACAGCATTGAGCCTATCCTAAGAGTGGAATTCAGTCGAGGGCTTTACACTTACTATCTAGTCAGTTCTCCATCCAGCCCTATGCAGCAATTGCTATCCTCTCTCTCTCTTTTTTTTTTTTTTTTTTGAGACACAGAATCTCGCTATGTTGCCCAGGCTGGAGTACTGTGGCTATCCGTAGGTATGATTATAGCACACTACAGCCTTGAATGCCTGGGTTCCAGGGATTCTCTTGCCTCAGCCTCCTGAATTCTTGGGACTGCAGGCATGTGCCATCACACCTCGCTTGCTATTCTTTATCCCCAATTTTCGGACAGGAAATGGGCTTCTAGAATAAATGTAGTCAGACCTCCATTATCCATGCGTTCTACATCCATGGGTACAACCCGCTGTGGATCGAAAATGTAGTTAGGCCTAGGATGACTGTGTCTGTACTGGACATGTACAAACTTTTTTTCTTGTTGTTATTCCCTAAACAATGCAGTCTAACAACAACTTACATAGCATTTACATTGTATTAGGTATTACAGTAGTAATCCGGAGATGACTTAAAATATATGGAAGAATGTGCAGAGGTTAAATGCAGATACTGTGCCATTTTATATAAGAGACTTGATCTCAGCCACTGAAGTTGAGTTTAAAAAACAAAGTAAAAAAATATATGTAAAGGAGTTAAGTATTCATGGATTTTGGGATTCATGGGGATCCTGGAGCCAATCCCCTGTGGATACCAAGGGACAACTCTAATTTACTTCTCAAGACATCTAGCCGGGCACGGTGGCTCACACTTGTAATCCCAGCATTTTGGGAGGCTGATGTGAGGATCGCCTGAGCCCAGCATTTTGAGGCAAGCCTGGGCAACATAGCAAGACCCTGTCTCTAAAATAAAATGTGTGTGTGTATTTAGTGGGGAATGGTGGTGCATGCCTGTGGTTCCAGCTACTCGGGAGGCGGAGGTGGGAGGATCGCTTGAGCCCAGGAGGTTGAGGCTGCAGTGAGCTATGATTGTGCCACTGCACTCCGTCCTGGGTGACAGAGCAACACCCTGTCTCAAAAAAAAAAAAAAACTTACAGCTAGGGAGTAAAGGAGGCCCTGAGCAGCTTGATAGGTGCTGTGCAGCTGGCAGGGGGCGCCGTTGCCTACAGAAGGGGCTAAGCCCATCCTGAACCCCAACTCCTATTGCTCCCACTCAGCTCACTCTTAGGAGGGAGTGGCCTCGCCACCTAATGACCAAGAGGAGGTGCTGGATCTGGCTACCTAAGATCAGAGAGGTGAAGCCATCAGCCCCTATTGCCCAGAGCTTCTTCATCTGTGAGGGGGATAGTCATGGCAACCACTTGGGACTGCCCTTGGGAGATTTAAATGGGTCTAGGCCTAGCTCTGATGATCTAGGCACTGTATCCCGCACAGATGAGGAAGCTGAGGGCTCCAGAGAGGCAGAGTGAACAGCTGAGCCCCAGGGAGCCTTCCCGAGCTGAAGGCCTCACACCCTACGACGTGTGTACCTTCTGCCGGACAGTCCCTGTCTGAGGTGGCCATGGTGTCTGTGTTGAGCTGGGGATGAAGGGAGTCATGGGGGCGGCAGGTGTGATTGAGTCATTTGGCTGGCCTTCCTGGCAGCCAGGCCATGGTGGGTGAGGGACACCAAACTGCTCATGCCACAGCTGACATATCAGATAGTTCTCTTGTCACTCTTGACTCATCAGTGCCTGGCCCCTGGCTGCCTGCAGGGCCACCATCTGTGCATCCTGGGCCAGTGCCCAGGGAACTTTCTGGAACCCCAGATGCTATCTGAGGACACAAGGGTACAGGGGATGGTGAAGTTTGAGGTTCCTGAAACCCTCCACCAGGTATGTCTGGCTCTGCTGTTTCTGGCCTGTGACTCCTCAGGCTTTGGTTACCATGTCTACAAAATGGGAACAACAAATCATAGCTGAGTTTGACCCAGGGATTAGATGACATGTATGAACATGCCCGGCCATGTCTATTTTTGCTCATCATCCTGCCCCCAGCACAAGGGCCTGGCACACAGTAGGTATTTAGTACAGGACCGCGGAATGAATGAATGCATTGGGCCTTAGAACACAGCAGAGGCTCTGGGGCCTGAAGGCTGTGGTGTGAGGAGGGGGTGGGGACACTGAAGCCCAGCCCAGTTCCCTCTGCAGCATCTTGTCACCTGAGGGACGGGGAAGAGTGTGGGGTCCTACAGAGAGGAGACATGGGTATGGGGCTAGGGGAGAGGTATCTGCATTGTTCCTGAGACCTCTGCCCCACTCCTGGACAGACCACCATCCTGGAGAGAGTGGAGCAGAAACAGGAGAGGGACCACAAATTCACCTAACCTGCCCCATCCAACGAAGGATGATCATGATAAACGTGCTCTTAGTGAGATATTACTGTGTGCCCGACTTGAGCCAACTACTGTGCCTCTGCATTTCATGTTTGTTTTGTCTTATAATAACCATCAGGAAGAGGTGATCCCTGTTCTACACTGGAGAAACTGAGGCTCAGCCTAGATAAATGGACACAGGTGAAACAGCTAGCAAGGAGCACAGCTGGGATCTGAAGCCCGGGCGGACCTAGGAGTGGTTCTAGCCTCAGTTTATTCCTCCTGGGCAGCCATGCTCAGCCCAGAGAGCTGGGAGAACCAGGTGGTGGGAGTGGGGGTGTCTCAAGGTTGTGTCCTGGTGTTAATCCCTGGGGCCCCTGGCCATATCTAGCTTGTGGTGAGTGTCTCTGGCCTGTTGGAGCAGCCACTGGAATGCCTGGGGCTTGAGTGGCCCTTTGTGGTTGCAGTTCCCTTGGCAATGAAGAAACACTGCTGAGGTCAAGAGCTCAGATTGCCAGAGGGGAAACCCAGCCCTCCTTCTTTGCATGGCCCCCTGCTGGGAAGGGCCACAGCTACCCCCCACCCTCGCCCTCTGCCAGACACCCAGAGGAGGCTCTTTCCAGTGGCACAGTCATGGGGTTGGAGGGGGCACAGGCAGCCCAGCCAGGATTCCTCATGGGAAGTGTGTGGTGGCTCTTTAGACTTGCCTGCTAACGGGAGGCTCTGCCCATAACTTCCTCTTCCCACTGGAGTTCGTTCAGGAAGCCAGAACCAGCATGGGGATGCTCAGGCCTCCAAGATCCCCTAGGACCATGGGCAGGCCACCCCTCAGCCCAGCTTTTGCCTACTTTGAAGACCTCAAGGACAAGAGGGCCCTAATCTTACCGAGCCAGGCCCTCCTCAATCCAAGGCCTTCTTAGGCGTTGCCAAGGAAACTGATGCAGCAGCCAAAGAGCCTGGCCCAGGTCTCCATGACAACCTACCACAGCCCACCAGGGTCCATCCATCTGTGATGTCACCTGAGCCCCAAATGGATGCCCTCCCACCCCCACCACACTTGTCACAATCAGATGTCACAGTCTGATAGCAGGTCCCTGTCACAAAATACCTCACAGCCTGACCTGCAACCCTCAGACCCCTGAGAGATGAGCAGGGAGCTAAGACACTCCTCATGCCTTGACCACACCCTGTGTTTATGCCCCTTTTGGGTGGGGGCCTGAACCTCCAGGCCCTGGATGTGCCCTGGGTGGCTGGCTCAGCCTACAGCTAGAGGGAAGAAGGGAGACCTTGACGACTCGAAGTGGCTGGCTCCTGCTGGCATTCAACACCCATTGGCCTGGATTTCCCCAACTCTGGGCAACTTCCAGTCCAGGAGCAGAATAACCAGAGCCACGGCCAGGGCCAGGGCTGGGGCAGATTATTTATTTTTAGCAGAGTTGCTGGCAGCTGCCTGGTGGGTGCTGGGAGGTGGGATGGGGACTGAGTTTAATCCCTTCCCTCTTCTGGGCTGGGGTATCCTCCCCAGGGTTCAAGCAGGCATCTCCACCTGCAACTCTGTCAGAGCTGCCCCCACCCCCAACAGCCCTCTCAGGGCCCCCAGGGGCTCATGGGGTGACACCAACCCTCACACTGAAGGTTAGGCTCATTAGGGAGAATCTTCAACTCCAGGATGGGGAGTGGAAAGGATTTTGTGTGAATTTAGGACACCCCCTAAATTCTAGCTCAGACCTGAGCCTATGGGGAGTGGGTGTCATGGGCAGAGAAGGGGGATCTCTGTCCAGCCTGTAACTAGCTTACTTGCTAAAAGGACGAGCCGGGACTTGGGGAGAGGAAAGGGAGAATTCAGTCTCACGGGGCCAGACCGAATTCTTCTCCAGAGGGCAGTTGCTGCTTTTGGCTGATTGGGTTTACCCCGCTGCCTGCCTCCCCATCACGTACTCCCCCCGCAACCTCGCTCTCTCTCTCCTTCTCACACACACCCTCAGCTCCGGACCTCGCCTACCGGTCAGCCCCTCTATTCCCAGACAGCTACCGCTACTCCCCTGGCGGGTAGGGCGGGGTGTCGGGGATGTAAGGTCCGAGGAAGAGGGTGGGGGATTCCCCTGGTGGGGGTGGACAGACACGTCAGCCCCCGCAGCAGCGTGGACCGGGGGCGGGAGCGGGGGCGGGTGGAGGCTTAAATAGGCGGCTCTGGAGCCAGAGCCCAGTGCGGGCTGAGAAGGCGGTGGCTGCAGCAGCAGCGGCGGCGGAAACCCTAAAGTCCGAGTCCGGACTACGAGTGCGTGGCCTCCTAATCCGGATCCTAGTCCTGAGCGTGTCTGTGTGCGAGTGGGTGAGTGTCCTGGCGGAGCGGGGTCGGGGCGGCTGCAGATGGATGCGCCAGGTCCGGAGGGGTCCCGGGTGAGGGCGCCGCGACCTGGGGGCTGGGGGAGGGCTGCGGCGGGACCTCGGCCGGAGCATCCCGCCTGACTCCGGGTTGGGCAGGTGCGCCCCGGGTCCCGCCTCCCTCGCGGCTTACACGGCCACTCGGGTTCCTGATCCCCTAGACGGTCCCGGACGCGATGACCCTGAACGGCGGCGGCAGCGGAGCGGGCGGGAGCCGCGGTGGGGGCCAGGAGCGCGAGCGCCGTCGGGGCAGCACACCCTGGGGCCCCGCCCCGCCGCTGCACCGCCGCAGCATGCCGGTGGACGAGCGCGACCTGCAGGCGGCGCTGACCCCGGGTGCCCTGACGGCGGCCGCGGCCGGGACGGGGACCCAGGGTCCCAGGCTGGACTGGCCCGAGGACTCCGAGGACTCGCTCAGCTCAGGGGGCAGCGACTCAGACGAGAGCGTTTACAAGGTGCTGCTGCTGGGGGCGCCCGGCGTGGGCAAGAGCGCCCTGGCGCGCATCTTCGGCGGTGTGGAGGACGGGCCTGAAGCAGAGGCAGCAGGTGAGGGGACCCAGCTGTTCAGGGGAGGGGCGATCCCGGGGCTAGGACTAGGGGCTGAGACCGGTACTCAAAGCCGCAAATACCGTGGAATTATAGTTGTTGTTGTTGTTATTATTATTATTATTATTATTTTATTATTATTTTGAGACAGAGTTTCGCTCTTTTTCCCAGGCTGGAGTGCAGTGGCCTCGATCTAGGCTCACTGCAACCTCCGCCTTCAGGTTTCAAGGGATTCTCCTGCCTCAGCCTCCAGAGTAGCTAGGATTACAGGCGCCTGCTACCACGCCCGGCTAATATTTGTGTTTTTAGTAGAGTTGGGGTTTCACCATGTTGGCCAGGCTGGTCTGGAATTTCTGACCTCGTGATCCGCCCACCTTGGCTTCCCAAAGTGCTGGGATTACAGGCGTGAGCCACCGCACCTGGCCAATACTGTGGAATTCTATTGGCGCTTTCAGAATCATGCCTCTACCTACCCACTTCATAAATGGGGAAAGGAAAGGAGAAGGGACACCCCCCAGCCTTTGGTAGGGAAGAAATGCCCAGAGTAGAAGGCCAGGGCATAGATATGGCTACTCTGTGGGATGGGACTGGACATCCCTCCCTGCCTATCAGGGACAGGTCAGAGTTTCTAACCAGAGGGATTTCTAAGAGAGGAGCCCTAGGTGGCCAAGGTCCCCAGGGGGGGCATGTGGGTGGAGGTCAGGCACACCATGCCCTCCAGCCCCCACTTCCCTGCCTGGCACTGCTGTTGCCACATACCAGCATCTGCAAGTGGAGTGGAGGGTAAGGAGGGCTCTGGGGAAGAGTTGGAGGGTGTGGCCAGAACAGGAAACCTGGCAGCAGCGGCTTTGACAACCAGCTGGTAACCTGTCTACTGGCCTTCTGCCTAGGGCACACCTATGATCGCTCCATTGTAGTGGACGGAGAAGAGGCATCACTCATGGTCTACGACATTTGGGAGCAGGTAGGGTGCAAGCAGAGACCCAGGGCAGGGGAGGGAGGAGTGAGTTGGGTTAGAGGTCTGGGAGTGCCAGGCTCGTGTCGGGGGCATGAGGACTGTTGGGCAGATGTGTGTTGTGTGTTCTCCAGGACGGGGGCCGCTGGTTGCCCGGCCACTGCATGGCCATGGGGGATGCCTATGTCATTGTGTACTCAGTGACGGACAAGGGCAGCTTCGAGAAGGCCTCAGAACTGCGGGTCCAGCTGCGGCGTGCACGGCAAACAGATGATGTGCCCATCATCCTCGTGGGCAACAAGAGCGACCTGGTGCGCTCTCGTGAGGTCTCGGTGGATGGTGAGTAGGCGGCAGGTTGCAGGGGGAGGGAGAGCCCAGCTGGGCCCTGATCCAGGCAGTCTTGGCTCAGCTTGAGTCCCTGGGGATCATCAGAGGCTAAAAATGTTCAGAAAGAAAACTGGCGGGGAGGGAAATGGGAGAGAGCTGGTGCCTGCTCACAGGGCTCCGGAAGGCCCCAGAGGGCTGGGGAAAGAACCAAATCTGATAGGGGAGCTGGGCACCGCAGGGCCCTCCTCTCCTGCCCCTCTTGGTCCTGGCCTGGCTGGTTGGGGGGGTAAATGGGTGGAAGAGAGTGTAGGGGAACAGGCCAGGAGGTCAGAGCCTGTGTGCTAGGTCTGGGCCATTCTTAGAGTAGACTTGGCCCTGGGGAAGACCCTTCCCACTTGGCCTCAGCATCCTTTTCTGTGGACCCCAGTACTGAGCCCCTCAGAGGAACCCAGCAGTGACTTGGTGACCTTGCCTCCGCAACCCCAGTCCACTGGATCATTCATCATGATATAACCTCGAATTAAAAAATACTAAGTTGTGCGGGGCATGGGCCAGGGGGTGGCTAACGCCTGTAATCCCAGCACTTTGGGAGGCCGAGGCGGGTGGATCACGAGGTCAGGAGATCGAGACCATCCTGGCTAGCATGGTGAAACCCCATCTCTACTAAAAATACAAAAATTAGCCGGGCGTGGTGGCGGGCGCCTGTAGTCCCAGCTACTCGGGAGGCTGAGGCAGGAGAATGGCGTGAACCCGGGAGGCGGAGCTTTCAGTGAGCAGAGATTGTGCCACTGCACTCCAGCCTGGGAGACAGCGAGACTCTATCTCAGAAAAATAAAATAAAATAAAATAAAATACTAAGTTGTCCAACATAGTTCTCATTTTCCTGTGTTTACTACTGTCGTACTTTGTTTAAATATCAGGCTTCAAATTATTTCAATAAATGGATCTCCTTTTGAGGGCCACTGTTTTGGGGGCTCCTTAAATGCAGGCACTCTGCCTACTGGGTGACGCAGCAGTGCCCAGTACCCTCAGTACAGGAGCTGGGGTCTCTGTGTTTTCGGGGAGGACCTTGCAAATTCTCGAGTGGCAGCTTCCATGGGTGGCCACTGTTGGAGGGGACTCCTCATTCACCCACCCTTTGTTTACTGGTGCCTGCCTTTCCCCACCCACACAGAGGGCCGGGCCTGCGCGGTGGTCTTTGACTGCAAGTTCATTGAGACATCAGCGGCATTGCACCACAATGTCCAGGCGCTGTTTGAAGGTGTCGTGCGCCAGATACGCCTGCGCAGGGACAGCAAAGAAGCCAACGCACGACGGCAAGCAGGCACCCGGAGGCGAGAGAGCCTTGGCAAAAAGGCGAAGCGCTTCTTGGGCCGCATCGTAGCTCGTAACAGCCGCAAGATGGCCTTTCGCGCCAAATCCAAGTCCTGCCACGACCTCTCGGTTCTCTAGGTCCCACCCGCTCCCACTATGGTGGGAGACGAACGGAAGGGTTGGTGGGCTGGCCCAGCCAACTGCCCCGGGTGCCTCAGAGCAGGCTCAGACTCTGGGTCCCTCGGAGCTGCCAGCCGGGCACCCCCAACCTCATGGTCATGGACAGATAGACAGTGCTGCCCTGCGAAGTGGCTCTCAGGGGCCAGTGAGGGCTGGGCCCACAGAGATGCATGCGCAGGCTCATATGCGTCCCAAGCAGCCGCAGCGCAGCCGCCGGGCAGGCCTGCGTGCCGGGAGAGGACTCTGCCTTTTTTCACAGCCCGGGTGTGCCTGCCCTGGAGGGAGGCTCTTCAGTGCGGTAGCTATTTGTTTACATGCAGATTTTTGTAATAAAGGCTATTTCCTGATAGTCATGGCTGTTGACTCTCTTTCCTCCTATCTGGGCGCTTCAGGAGCTGGAAGGATTTCTGAAGTTGAGGGATGGGGGCTCACTGCCCCACCCTAGTGTGTGGCCATGATGTGTTAATGTGAGGGTCCAGATTTAGCCAGCTGGGATGGGCATCGGGTCTGGTTAGAGGTTCAAGGAGCAGGAGACACAAACCCCTCCCAGTCCCTGTTATCCAGATTCTTCTCTTTCTGCACTGGGGCCTGGCGTTGCCCAACTGATTGAGGGTTCAATCACTTCACTGTCCATAAAGGGAAACAGGCTGCTCAGGGGAGCACATTCTGCCCTGGGTCTCACAACCAGGCAGGAACCCTGGGTCTCACAACCAGGCAGGAACCCTGGGTCTCACAACCAGACAGGATCTGGCTCCACAGCTGGTATTTCTGCCCTGTTCCCTCTTGAGGGGCTGGAATCAGCTGAGGTTGGGGATAGAGACCTCCGAGGGGTGGTTTGTGAAGGCACACACAGCTCCACATGGCTCCTCCACCACTTCACTGGGGTTGAGCTACGGAGGAGGCACTCACTGTTCTCTCTACCATGAGTATCCAGGCCAGAACATTCCATGCTCAGCATTGGCTAATTCAGTTTTGGTGGGAACAGCTGCCGGGAGCCCGCCCTGCCTGGAATGAGAGGTCTTGCATTTGTATAGGAAGGTGTACTCGTGCTTATGTTTAGGGATGCACCTGTCTCCCTGCCCACCCATGCCCATGGCTCCCTCACCCTCGGCACAAGTGCTGCTAAGAGTTTTTATCTACATGGTCTCAGGAAAAACCATCCCCATCTGGTGCTGGGTGGGAAGTGGCTGAGTGGGGACTGGTATACAGGTCTGCCCATCTCCAAAGCCTGGAGGCAGCCTGGGGCGAGGTGGGGGGCAGTTTCTAAGAAGGTTCTGGGCCAAGGTCCATACATTCCTTCCTTAGTTCAATTTATTCAATTTATTCATTCCCTCACCCTCGGCACAAGTGCTGCTAAGAGTTTTTATCTACATGGTCTCAGGAAAAACCATCCCCATCTGGTGCTGGGTGGGAAGTGGCTGAGTGGGGACTGGTATACAGGTCTGCCCATCTCCAAAGCCTGGAGGCAGCCTGGGGCAAGGTGGGGGGCAGTTTCTAAGAAGGTTCTGGGCCAAGGTCCATACATTCCTTCCTTAGTTCAATTTATTCAATTTATTCATTCCACAGACTCCAGGGAGCCCTGGCAACCTGGTTAGAATCCTGATTGCAGCTTATTGAATGGCAGGAGGAGGCTTGAGGGCTGCCCCTCCATGTACAGGGGAGCGCTGAGATTCACCCACGTGCTCCCCAGGGCAGAGGTAACTGCTCAGAGCTGTTGCTGCTCTGCCCCTCCTCCCCACATACTTCAAGGAATGCAGAAGGCATGGTATTTTCAGATCAAGTGAGGGTCCCCAGGCCTTCCTGGCTCTGTCACTTATTGACTGTGTGACCCTAGGCAAACCACTCAGCTTCTCTGTGCCCCAGCATGTGCCCAATGCCCCTTCAGAACGCAGTATGTGGCATAATGAAGGTATGTGCTCAGAGCAGTGCTGGGCACAGAGCAGGAGCTTAACACGTGTGAAACCCCCTTCAACCTCCCCACACTACACTGCTCCAGGCTGGGTGCCAGAGTGACCCTGAAGCAGGCACTCAGCTTGTGACAAGGCTGGGGGCAGCTGGGGGTAGCTTCTGGCCTGAGAGAGACTAATCAGATGTACAGTGGGAAGGACTTCGTGGGGACCATGGGAAGCTCCAAGGCTGGAGAGGGACTGGAGACCTTCTTCCCACCCTCTCCCCTCATTCCAGACTCCCAGGCCCCAGAAGCATCTCCTGGCTCTGCTTGGCTGCCCTCATTGCGGGGAGAGCCCCTGTTCAGCCCTGCAACTCCCTCAAGGTCACCTGAGCCAGTTTAATCTTCTTAGGGGCATGAGACTGCCCACTGTCTCAGCCCTGTCACTGTTGAGTGGCCAGTGTAAGGACTTCGGGAGCTCATAGGCTGCTGCACTCCCCCACCACAGGTCCCCCTGGGGGGGGTGGTCTGGAGCCCCAATACCCACTTCCACTCATGTACTGCTCACCCATCCTTTGCAACCTCCAGCTCCTTGTCTTAGTTCCACAAGCCATGCGGAGCTGCCAGGGCAGAATGAGAGCCAGGTCATTCCTGAGTCCCTGAGTTCTGCTCTCAAAGGGCTCCCAATCTAATGGAAGAGGCAGACAATGACAAGCTGGTGTCCTCTGTGTATTAATAGAGATAGCACATGGCATGGTGTGAGGGGGAGGGGCATTCCCAGAGGAGGCTCCTGAACAAGCCTGGGAACATAGGGGAAGTTTCCTGGAAAAAGGAATATTTGAGCTGAGCACTGAAGCATGCATGAGCAGGTGCTTACCACACAGATGAATGAGTGGGAAGGGTGTTCCATGCAAAAGGAACAGAGTGTGAAAAGGTGTGGCTGCAGACACTGGAGCCTGGGAGATAAGTCAGACCAAGTCTGGAGCCACAGAAAAAGTAACGTCCAGAACCAGAGGGCCAAGGAATACCTCCTGGGCTGTGCTGGGGTCGAGGGAGTGCCAGGCCAACCATCTCCCCACCTCCTGGAGCTGGCAGTCACGGATGCTGAGCAGCTCCTGGCTTTCCAAAGTCAATGAGTAACTTGGGGGGCTGGGCGGGGCCAGGCCTGCTGCTGTGGGCCCAGTGGCCTTTTCCACTCCTGAGCAAGCGTGGCTGAACCCTCCTACCTGCTCAAGTGCCCTGCCTTGCCCCACCCAGCCCAGCCTGGCCAGAGCCCCCTGGAGAAGGAGCTCTCTTCTTGCTTGGCAGCTGGACCAAGGGAGCCAGTCTTGGGCGCTGGAGGGTGAGGGGCTGGGAGTGGAGGGGAGGGCATGGCTGAGGCTGAGGTTGGTGGTGGGGAAAGGAGAAACACTGCCCTGTCCTCGCCATCTGGGAAAGAATTCCCAGGGCCTCATCTTAGAGGGGTTGTCGATTTGTCGCTGCTCTGCCTGCCCAGCTCCATGACAAGGGCTGGAAAATGATGAGACAAGGGCCGGGCTCCTGCTCCGGGGGTTCTCCTTGTCTAGAAGGTGGCAGTGGGAGGCAGGACAGTCCCAGAGGCCCTGAGCTAGGAGGACTCCTCCTGTGGTCAAGTCCTCTGTGACCTTGGCCAGACCCCAGCATTCAGGCCTTGCCTGCAACAAGAGGTGACTTCAGGAAGTGACCCTCCAAGTCTTCAGGAACTTTCCAGCTTCAAACTTTTGTGATTTGGGGGATTGCTAGAAAATTACCACTTTGGGATCTGCGGCCTGGGGAGGCTATGGTGAGAAGGAGCTGGAGGTCTGGAGGTGAAATTCTGATAGAGTGCTTGATGGACCAAGAGCCTAGAAGCAGGGTGGCTGGGCCTGGGGGCCTTGGTGGGCCTGGCCGAGGAGCAGGGCACTACCCTGCAGGAGATGGAGAGCCTCAGCTCCTTTGGAGGGGAGGAAGAGAAGACTAGTCTGCAGTACGATCCCACTAGTTGTGTGTGTGGGATGGAAAGCCCCTCCCTACCCACCTGGGCTGGATCCTCACTGCCGTGTCCCTCAGGCCTGTCCTGACCATGGTCCCTGCCTGGCTGTGGCTGCTTTGTGTCTCCGTCCCCCAGGTGAGCTAGGCCCTGCCCCCTCTCCTTCAGGTCTTGGCTTTGGGGGTTGACACCCTTGCCCCCAACTCCACCTGGACCAATTGCACTGACCGTGAGAACGGTGCAAGGCATGGGAGGGGTCAGAGCTGGGACTATAGAGCCACTGTGGGATGAGGAGGTCAAAGACCAGAGCGCGGGTGGATGGACTAAGGTACAGCCAGGCCCTGGGAAGGGGCGGAAATTCCGCTCTTCTGTTGGGTCTCAGTGCCCACGCAGGAAGATAGAGCCTGGTGACAAGGTGAGAATCCTCCCACAGGCTCTCCCCAAGGCCCAGCCTGCAGAGCTGTCTGTGGAAGTTCCAGAAAACTATGGTGGAAATTTCCCTTTATACCTGACCAAGGTGAGCCGGAGAGCTGGGGTTGGGGCCGGGGGGATCCCTCCCCGCAAAGTCCTGCTTCTCCTTCCTCTGGCACCCTTCCTCTTGCTGTTTCTCTTTGAAATCCTGCTTTCCAGAGAGTATGTACACGTTACACAGGTTGAGTGTCCCCTATCTGAAATGCTTGGGACCAGAAGTGTTTCAGATTTTGGATTTTTTTTTTTCTTCAGATTTTGGAATATTTGCATATATATCATGAGATATCTTGGGGAATGGAACCCAAATCTAGATAGGAAATTCATTTATGTTTCATATACATCTTATACACATAGCCTGAAGGTAACGTTATACATTTTTTTTTCTTTTGAGACGAAGTTTCGCTCTTGTCGCCCAGGCTGGAGTGCAGTAGCATGTTCTCAGCTCACTGCAACTTCCACGTCCTGGGTTCAAGAGATTCTCCTGCCTCAGCCTCCTGAGTAGCTGGGACTACAGGCATGCACCACCACTCCTGGCTAATTTTTTTTTTTTTTTTTTGTATTTTTAGTAGAGACAGGGTTTCGCCATGTTGGCCAGGCTGGTCTTGAACACCTCACCTCAGGTGAGCCGCCCGTCTTGGGCTCCCAAAGTGCTGGGATTACCACTTTGGGATTTGCGAGCTGGGGAGGCTATGGCCAGAAGGAGCTGACAGTACAGAGGTGAAATTCCGACAGAATCCTTGAGTGGCCAAGAGCCCAGTGTGAGTCTGCTCCTGGGCGAATATTTTTAATGATTTTGTGCATGAAACAAAGTTCTGACTATGTGTTGACTGTGACCTGTCACATGAGGTCAGATGCGGCATTCTGTACTTGTCACATCATATTGGCGCTCAAAAAGTTTCAGATTTTGAGTATTTCAGATTTCAGATTTTCGGGTTAGAGATGCTCAACCTGCAGTGGGAATGACTAACAGATTTTAATCCTAGTGGAGAGCAGAGCTTTAGATTAAAGAACGAAATCTCGGTGGTGAGGTTTCAAGCTTCAGAAAGAAGGGCAGAGAGTTTTGGGGAGCATCAGGTCCAGGGAAAAGAGTTCTGGCTCTGAGTCTCAGTCCTGATGCTTACTGGCTGTGTGACCTCTGACAGGAGCCAGATGTCTCTGAGACTCAGTTTCCCCACATGTAAAATGAGGCCATCAGGTGGAGGAGGGGCATCTCCCAGGCCTGGCCACCGCTCCCTTCACTTCTGTTCATTTCCATCAGTTGCCGCTGCCCCGTGAGGGGGCTGAAGGCCAGATCGTGCTGTCAGGGGACTCAGGCAAGGCAACTGAGGGCCCATTTGCTATGGATCCAGATTCTGGCTTCCTGCTGGTGACCAGGGCCCTGGACCGAGAGGAGCAGGCAGAGTACCAGCTACAGGTATGGCTGGGCCAGGTGTAGGGGAGAGCAGGCAAGGCAGAGCCAGACGCTGACTCCCCTTCCCTGCCAGGTCACCCTGGAGATGCAGGATGGACATGTCTTGTGGGGTCCACAGCCTGTGCTTGTGCACGTGAAGGATGAGAATGACCAGGTGCCCCATTTCTCTCAAGCCATCTACAGAGCTCGGCTGAGCCGGGGTACCAGGCCTGGTGAGTGACCAGGGCAGCCAATTTACAGTAAGGTCAGGTGGGCCTTGATGGAACAGCAGAGAGCGAAGAGATGGCCAGACAGTTGGCATAGGACAGGGCAGCCATTTCTGTCCCATTTCTTTTTTCTTTTCTTTTCTCTTTTTTCTTTTCTTTTTTTCTTTTTTTTGAGATGGAGACTCACTGTCACCCAGGTTGGAGTGGAGCGCAATGGCGCGATCTCAGCTCACTGCAACCTCCACCTCCTAGGTTTAAGCAATTCTCCTGCTTCAGCCTCCCAAGAAGCTGGGATTACAGGCACCCGCCACCATGCCCGGCTAATTTTTTTTGTATTTTTAAAAGAGACGGGGTTTCGCCTTGTTGGCCAGGCTGGTCTCGAACTCCTGGCCTCAGGTGGTCTGCCTGCCTCAGCCTCCCAAAGTGCTGGAATTACAGGCATGAGCCACTGCACCTGGCCCATCCTGTACCATTTCTGTCCCACCTTGTTCCTCCCTACTCCACTGAGGGTGCCATCCATTCTTGGCTTCAGTTTGCTCATCTGGGAAGTAGGACGAAAAGCCGTGGCTCATCTCCGGAGTCCTGATGTGATAATGGATAGGGAAGAAAGGACAGAGGAGAAATAGGAGAGGCATGGGAGACTCTCCCCACCCTCTCTATCCCTTACAGTTTGCCCTCCCACCGTGAACCAGGCATCCCCTTCCTCTTCCTTGAGGCTTCAGACCGGGATGAGCCAGGCACAGCCAACTCGGATCTTCGATTCCACATCCTGAGCCAGGCTCCAGCCCAGCCTTCCCCAGACATGTTCCAGCTGGAGCCTCGGCTGGGGGCTCTGGCCCTCAGCCCCAAGGGTAAGCCCGAGCGGGGTGTGCTGGGGAGGGAGGGTCAGAGAAAGCTGGAGAAGGTGGTATCTGAACCATAAGACAAGCATGGGTGGGAGCTTGAGAGGTAAAAAGGGAGGGAAGGGCACTCTAGGTGGAGACAGCAACAAGGCAGGGGGCTGTGGAGGCAGGGCCAGGCATGGAGAGCTAGGAAATGGTGTGAATGGAGGGCCTCAGCTCCACACTCCACGGAGACCTGGGCCTAAGGGACAAAGATAGGAACAGTCTAAGGGGTTGTAGCCTAAGATGCTGCTGGGCAACCTTGCGACTGATGGCGGAAGAGACCTGGACCTGGAAGCTCAGACCAGAGGCATGAACTAGGGTTGGAAAGAAAAGTGAATCAGGCATCATCATAGCCAGCCACGCATTCACCCGTCTACCGCCCAACAACCTACACAGTCCATCCAACCTCCCATCACTCATCCAAACACTCTCCTATTCACACACTCAAACTCCCATCCACCTACCAAGTCAACCACCCATTCATCCAACCAACCCATCATCTGCCATCTACCCATCTCCTCATCCTGGTCATCCACCTACCTCTCTAGTCTATCACGCATTCGTTGTGTGGAGAGATATGGAGGTGGCTTTGCAAACTGTCATGTCCTTGTTGGAGGCTCACAACAGTGCTTAAAGTTCCTCTCTTCCCTTGGCCAAGAGAGTGTCCCAATCACCTGCTGTATGCTTGGTTTTGTGTCTGGTATCTTGCTGAGAATGATGCCCTGGCCCCTGCTCCCTGGCTGCCTGCTCAGCTGACCATCCTCCCTGTTCTAGGGAGCACCAGCCTTGACCACGCCCTGGAGAGGACCTACCAGCTGTTGGTACAGGTCAAGGACATGGGTGACCAGGCCTCAGGCCACCAGGCCACTGCCACCGTGGAAGTCTCCATCATAGAGAGCACCTGGGTGTCCCTAGAGCCTATCCACCTGGCAGAGAATCTCAAAGTCCTATACCCGCACCACATGGCCCAGGTGAGTAAGTGGCTGTCAGTGGCTGAAGCAGCCCCATGGATGGTGCAGCCAGGCCCGAGTCTCATGGATATTTGGGGGCTGGGTCTGGAACCCTCATGACCCGTGCTCCTCCCTCCACTCTTCCCATTACTTCCCACTGTGGACTGGGGTGTTCAAGGCCCTGGACGCAGGCCCACAGCCCCTCGCCTGCTCTGCCATCCTCTAGCAGGCGTGACTCTGTGCTCTGACCTCTTGAACTTGCCCAGGGCTTCCTCAGAGAGAACAGCTGCCATCTCTTGCTGCCATGGGGATTGTCACCCCGGGCCAGGAATGTCTCAGGCCTCTTCTAGGAATGCCCTGGGGTCAGGCCCAGGCTGAGAGGGCAGAAAATAAAGTAACATGGTCACTCAAGCACTTTGGGCAGGGTCCAGGCTTGGATCAGGGCAAGGCCACTAACAACATGTGCCCTGAACAGAAGGATCCCACCTGGACTCCAGGCCCAGGGAGGGCAGCACCTTGCCTGGGTCACACAGTTGGGCTCAGGCTCCTCAACGAGAAATCAGATGGGGCGCAAAGGCTGACATGGATTGTTCCTGCCCCTTGGCCCGGGGTGTCCCCCCCAGGTACACTGGAGTGGGGGTGATGTGCACTATCACCTGGAGAGCCATCCCCCGGGACCCTTTGAAGTGAATGCAGAGGGAAACCTCTACGTGACCAGAGAGCTGGACAGAGAAGCCCAGGCTGAGGTGATATGAAGGGGGAGCCAGGGATGCAGGCTGGGGGTGCTTGGTCAGTGTCCAGTTGGCTTTTGGGGGTGTCACAACTACAACAGAGGCTGAGGCAGTGGGAAAGAGCCCCGAAGAGCTGGAGCTGGCCCACCGGAAGGAAACTCAGAGCCAGGCAAGGCTGGAGCTGCCCTTGGTCCTGACCTGAAGCCCCCTACTGCCCACCGCAGTACCTGCTCCAGGTGCGGGCTCAGAATTCCCATGGCGAGGACTATGCGGCCCCTCTGGAGCTGCACGTGCTGGTGATGGATGAGAATGACAACGTGCCTATCTGCCCTCCCCGTGACCCCACAGTCAGCATCCCTGAGCTCAGTCCACCAGGTGAGCTACAGGATGGGAGAGGGACGAAGTCTCTATTAACCACCTGGTCTTGCTCTTCTCTGGGATAAGGACCCAGCCTCAGGCCCCCATGTCAATGTCCCTCCATAACACACACACACACACACACACACACACACACGAGCTCAAATTCAGTTTAGTTTGGCACAAAATAAGGAGTGGGTGGGGTAAGGTCTCCAGGCTGGGCTGTGGTCCTATCCAGGCGGGTGCTGTCTTGGCAGGTACTGAAGTGACTAGACTGTCAGCAGAGGATGCAGATGCCCCCGGCTCCCCCAATTCCCACGTTGTGTATCAGCTCCTGAGCCCTGAGCCTGAGGATGGGGTAGAGGGGAGAGCCTTCCAGGTGGACCCCACTTCAGGCAGTGTGACGCTGGGGGTGCTCCCACTCCGAGCAGGCCAGAACATCCTGCTTCTGGTGCTGGCCATGGACCTGGCAGGCGCAGAGGGTGGTAAGTGCCCTGATTGGTGACCCAGGCCCCCTGTCCCCTCTGTTCCTACCCTGACCTCACCAACACGTCCACCTCTGCCCTAGGCTTCAGCAGCACGTGTGAAGTCGAAGTCGCAGTCACAGATATCAATGATCACGCCCCTGAGTTCATCACTTCCCAGGTAAGCAGACGCAGGGGAGAAGGCCTTGGGAAGGATGCTGGTGGGGGGCTCACCATCCCTCCTCCTCCTCCAGATTGGGCCTATAAGCCTCCCTGAGGATGTGGAGCCCGGGACTCTGGTGGCCATGCTAACAGCCATTGATGCTGACCTCGAGCCCGCCTTCCGCCTCATGGATTTTGCCATTGAGAGGGGAGACACAGAAGGGACTTTTGGCCTGGATTGGGAGCCAGACTCTGGGCATGTTAGACTCAGACTCTGCAAGGTGAGGGCCTGGGTAGCTGGGAAAGGGGCCCACACATGCACGCATGCATGCACATGTGCCTTGCCCAGGCCCGCACAGTGACCTGGGCCTCCTGGTTCCAGAACCTCAGTTATGAGGCAGCTCCAAGTCATGAGGTGGTGGTGGTGGTGCAGAGTGTGGCGAAGCTGGTGGGGCCAGGCCCAGGCCCTGGAGCCACCGCCACGGTGACTGTGCTAGTGGAGAGAGTGATGCCACCCCCCAAGTTGGACCAGGAGAGCTACGAGGCCAGTGTCCCCATCAGTGCCCCAGCCGGCTCTTTCCTGCTGACCATCCAGCCCTCCGACCCCATCAGCCGAACCCTCAGGTGAGCTAAAATCCCAGCCCCTTACCTGGACTGGATTGCCCCTGCTCCCTGGGGATGACCCCAGGGCCTCAGAGGGGACTCACATTATCTGTGGCCTGCAAAATTTCTCAAACTATGGCAAATGCCAAGGTTGTGACTCCTGGCAGGGATCGGGGCTGGATGGACTGGGTGGGGCATGGAGAGGGGTGTTTTGGACCCCATGAGAGCTCAGATTATGCCTCAGCACCTGGAGGGAGGACCAGGCCCTCCTCCAATGCCCCCCAACAGATTGCAGACAGACAAGGTTGTTCATAGACTCTGATTCCCTTGCAGGGTGACCTGGAGTGAGCAAAGTTGAAATGGGCCTCCCAGGCTCTAAGAGTTTCTCCCTTACCCACATGATCTGTTCTTCATCCCACACCCACCACCACCACCACAACAAATCCTGAAGCTGGAGAGAGAGACTGGGCCCCCCAGGCTTTGCTGTGGCCCCTGAGTCACAGAGAGGGTGTGGAATTTAAGCAAGTCACACAGCCCTGGGGGATTCTGAGCAAAACCCTATATGTAGTCCCAGTACCTCCTCACCTCCTTCTTTGGGCGGCAGGTTCTCCCTAGTCAATGACTCAGAGGGCTGGCTCTGCATTGAGAAATTCTCCGGGGAGGTGCACACCGCCCAGTCCCTGCAGGGCGCCCAGCCTGGGGACACCTACACGGTGCTTGTGGAGGCCCAGGATACAGGTATGGCCAGGCAGTGATGGGAGCCCCTGGGAGGGGGTACAAACCTCAGACAGACAGACAGCAGGACTGAGCTTCCTCCCAGAGGCCCTCACTGGCAACCCCCAGCCCCAAGCAGGAGAGGCAGATATGAAGCTGGGTTCAATGTTCCTCTCTGAGAATGGATCTACTCCTCCGGTGGGCAAGTCTGGCATCTGCCTCCCCTCTCTGATCATTCTCCTAGATTGACACACAAAATCTCCCAGCCCTGTCCTTTAGCCACTGGAGGGCCTCTCAGGGTGTCAGCTTCAGGGACTGGTATAGGGCCGGGGAGGTGGCAGGAGGACCAGGGGCTGCCCCTGGGGAAGGAGTGCTGGAGTGAATGGGCCACTGGAGCCAGGTGTGGAGGACACTGAACACTGCTCAGGACAGAGAGCTGGCCCTGGGGTGGGGAGCCCCGGGAGGCAGGTTTCAACTCTGAGCTGGGCTGTGATACAGGGCAGACCCAGCAGCAGTGAGCTCCGCCAAAGTCAGGGATGTCCACAGTGGCATGGGGATGATGACAGGTGGAGAGAAGCATGGAGGGAGCATGGCAGGGGAGTCTATAAGGCGAGGCTCATGGGCTGCGGGAGCAGCCCAGGGACCTCAGAGCTCACCCTCCCCCTGGCAACACCTGGCCAGCTCAGCACTGCCTCCTCTGCAGATGAGCCGAGACTGAGCGCTTCTGCACCCCTGGTGATCCACTTCCTAAAGGCCCCTCCTGCCCCAGCCCTGACTCTTGCCCCTGTGCCCTCCCAATACCTCTGCACACCCCGCCAAGACCATGGCTTGATCGTGAGTGGACCCAGCAAGGACCCCGATCTGGCCAGTGGGCACGGTCCCTACAGCTTCACCCTTGGTCCCAACCCCACGGTGCAACGGGATTGGCGCCTCCAGACTCTCAATGGTGTGTGGTGGGGAAAGGGAGGGAGGCTGTGGCCAAGGCAGGGAGGGGGTGTCACTTGGAAGTGAGATACCCTTCTACCATGGGGGTGGGGCTAGGCCTAGGGGGAGCAGCCCCCAGAGGGCCTGTCCAGGCTGGTGACCCTGGTCTTTGCCTGCTGTCCCAAAAGGTTCCCATGCCTACCTCACCTTGGCCCTGCATTGGGTGGAGCCACGTGAACACATAATCCCCGTGGTGGTCAGCCACAATGCCCAGATGTGGCAGCTCCTGGTTCGAGGTGAGATTGGGCTTGGGTGCAGCCTGCAGTTCCTGAGGGAACCGCTGGGATGCAAGGGGAGGGAGCTGGTACACATGCATACAGGCTGCTCATGTGGACAGCACATGCCTGTGCACACTTGCACACCTATGGCTGGGCACACATACCTGGGCACACAGGAACAGGCACAGAGGCACATACATTTTTTTTTGAGACAGAGTCTCACTCTGTCACCCAGGCTGGAGTGTAGTGGCATGATCTCGGCTCACTACAACTTCCGCCTCCCAGATTCAAGCAATTCTTCTGCCTTAGCCTCCCAAGAAGCTGGGATTACAGGTGTGCACCATCATGCCCTGCTAATTTTTGTATTTTTAGTAGAGATGGGGTTTCACCATGCCAGCCATGAACTCCTGGCTTAAGTGATCCACCCATTTCGGCCTCCCAAAGGGCTGGGATTACAGGTGTGAGCCACCACGCCTGGCTAGCGCATATATCTTCACACACATGTGAATACACACATGTGCAGAAACACACACATATCAGCCAGGTGGCTGGGCTGGGGGCTCTGAGCAGCTGGGGAGCCCTCCCCTCCCTCCCCTTACCTTCCTCCCCTCTCCCCTCAGTGATCGTGTGTCGCTGCAACGTGGAGGGGCAGTGCATGCGCAAGGTGGGCCGCATGAAGGGCATGCCCACGAAGCTGTCGGCAGTGGGCATCCTTGTAGGCACCCTGGTAGCAATAGGTAATGGAGGTTGGACATTACCTGCGTGGGCGAGGGCGATGGGTGGTTGGGACCACAGCCTCCAAATAAACACCTTTGTCCCCATGGTGCCCCTAGCTCTGAAAAAGGAAGCCCCCAACTCTCCTAGTCATTATGCGCCTGCCCTTTGATCATAGTCATTGTCATCATCATTGATAGTAGCATCTACGGTCACATGATTGCACATTGACTGTGTGGCAGGGACTATTGCCAGGAATCCTCCCAGCAACCCTGTGAGGTAGATCCTGGTATCTCCCCATTTTGCAGATGAGGTCATTGAGGCTCAGAGAGGTTAAGTGACTGGTCCAAGGTTACACAGTCAGGTTGTGACAGAACCCAGGTCTTTCTAGCCTAATTGCATCAGTCTAAGCCACCCCTTCTATCCCCTTTATTTCTTTAGCCCCTCAAATTTTCTCCTTGCTGGTTTTCCTTGCTGGTTCTAGCACACTGCTGTGATGAGCCTTTCTCTTGGAGGTCCATGGAGTTGGGATCCAACTTACTGGTTCCCCGATGTCCCCAAGAGAAGGGGACTTTGGAGGCTGAGTATACTGGGTCAGCCTCAGAGGGGTAGGGGCCAAGCCGGCCGAGGAGTCAAGCTTCTCCAGGCACCACCACAGAGTCATACCCAGCCCAGCCTCAGGATGCTGTCCAGGAAACTCATCTCTTCATTAATCCAATGCCAATCACAGGAAGTCCCTCGTGATGAACAAGTCCCACAGCCCCTTCTGAGGCCTGATACATCCCTCTTGGGCCCCACAGGAATCTTCCTCATCCTCATTTTCACCCACTGGACCATGTCAAGGAAGAAGGACCCGGATCAACCAGCAGACAGCGTGCCCCTGAAGGCGACTGTCTGAATGGCCCAGGCAGCTCTAGCTGGGAGCTTGGCCTCTGGCTCCATCTGAGTCCCCTGGGAGAGAGCCCAGCACCCAAGATCCAGCAGGGGACAGGACAGAGTAGAAGCCCCTCCATCTGCCCTGGGGTGGAGGCACCATCACCATCACCAGGCATGTCTGCAGAGCCTGGACACCAACTTTATGGACTGCCCATGGGAGTGCTCCAAATGTCAGGGTGTTTGCCCAATAATAAAGCCCCAGAGAACTGGGCTGGGCCCTATGGGATTGGTATGTCTGTGTCTCAGTGTCTATGTGTGCATGTGTGTGTGTGAGTGTGCACACACCTGCTTTTTCATCCCTTCCCCATCTCCTGCCACATAGAAAGGGTCTGGGCTTGAAGGACAAGACTGAGGTCCCCTGCAGGGAAGGACATGAAGACATCATATGGGCTATTGGTGAGAGCTTGGGGCCACAGCAAAGTGGGTCATTTTTGTGGGCATCCAGAGCCCACCAGCTACAGACCCTGGATGGGTGAACTCTATGCAGGTGATGGTCAAGGAGGGGTGTCTTTGAGGGTGTCATCTCTGTGTTTTCCTGGATGTCATCTTTGCTATGGGAAGGCAAAACCTTGTGAGTCCCCATCTTCTGCTCATGTGTGAGCACCTTGTGCTCCTGTGCATGAGTCACCTACACCCAGGGATGGGCAGAGGCCCCTCAGTCTCTGCAGGGCCCTGGGCAGGATGGTGAGGCCCCATGGGTCAGGAGCATGTGAGGTGAGGCTGGGGATGCGTCCTTCTGCCCCAGTGTAGGCTCCAAGGCACTGCTGTGTTTCACACACAGGCTGGTGAGTGCATGAGGGCATCTGCAGGAAATCAGAGAAGGGGAGTCACTTAGATGGAGACAATCGGAGCGGGACAGGCACCCCCGTGGCTTACTCTGGAGCTGCCCCTCTCTGAGGTGAACCCCTGACCCTGGCCCAAGATTAAGCCATGTCCTGATGCTCTGCTGAGCCCGGCTGAGCCCTGCTAAGTAGGAGCTGAGCTCTCCAGATTGACCTCTAATCCCTGACCTGTGGGTGACTCAAGATACATGCTGATCCCCATGTCCCCTTCTCAACCATCTCTGGGGAGTCAGGGTGGGACTTGCTGTCCCAAGCACCATGAGCTGATGATGGTCAATCACGGGAAAGGGAGAAAAACAACCTCTGTGGGGCCCAGGCCCTATTTTTAGGAGATAATCTCTCCACTATTGGCAGATTCTGTGGGATAGGGGCCAAGCCCAGCTAAGAGAGACAGGGCGGGCAACCTGGCAAAGACTCAGCCAGGATCCCCAGCCCAGGGGTTGGACTCTGAGGCTGGCCCCTGTCATCCTGGCTCAGGTACCCCCACTGGAGGCTCTGCTGGCTACCCTCATCCAGGCAGGGATTCCCTGCCCCTCTGCCAGGATATCCTCTGCTCAGCCTGCATGCACTCAGAAGTCTTCAGGGTGCAAATCTTCTGGAGGTAGTGTCTCATCTAATCTTCCTATCAACCTACGAGGGTGGATTATTGGCCCCATTTTGCAGTGGAGGATCTTGAAGATCAGGGAGGTTAAGGGCCGTAGCTGGGAGTCTTAGAACCACGGTACATGGCATAACTATCTGTCCAAGGTCCGTGTTACCTCTCTGGAAATGTCCACAGCGTTCAGGTGGTCTCTGCTCCCTCAAGATTTCCCAGCAGGGCCTTAGAGATCACCCAGATCAGCTCTTTCTTGTAAAGATGGAAAGGTGAATTGCAAAGAGAAGGAGGGAAATTTCTAGGTTCATACAGCCATAAGATGCGTCACTTGAGCTATAACCACCACTTTCTGGCCCTTATCCTAGATGGATAAGTAGGGAGATAGGAGGGTGCATGGGTGAATGAATAAGTGGATGGCTAGGCAGATGCATGGCTGGATGGATTGGTGGGTAGATGGATGGGTGGGTTGGTAATCGGGTGGATGGGAGACCCACAGACGAAAGGGTGGATGACAGGATACCAGGGCAAATGAAGGCATCTGCTCTAGTTTGAGGGCTTCTTCCTCGGGCCTCCAGGCCCCGGACCACTCTTGGTTGTCACTGCTGGAGCTGACCGCCAGGTCCACAAGCCCCTTCTCCACAGACAAGGGCCCAGGTTCCTTGGGCATCTGGGGACATAAAACTCTCCTGTATCCTCAGCCCCATTCTGCAGAGGAAGGTGGCCAGGTGCGGTGGCTCATGCCTGTAATCCTGGCACTTTGGGAGGCCAGGGTGAGAGGATTGCTTGAAGCCAGGAGTTCAAGGCCAGCCTAGGCAACAAAGTGAAACTCTGTCTCTACATAAACAGAAAGAGAGAAAGGTGAGGATCAGAGAGGGGGTGTGGCTTATCCTGGGTCGCAGAGGAAGAGAGACACAAAGCTGATTGGTCTCTAGGCTTGGCAGTGGGCCAGTGAATGCCTGTAGAGATTAATGCTAGTGAGGCAGGCTTCATTCTGTAGGCAGGGCCTCGCCCCTGCTAGAGCAAGGTGGGGGCCAACCAATAGCTCTATGGGTAGAAGAGCATGTGTTGTGCTTATCCATGCGATGTGTTCCCAGGAAAACTGCTTCACCTCTCAGAGCCTTGGCTTACTTGGTGATACAAGTTTTTGTCGTTAGGAAAACTACATGAGATAATCCCTGCACAATGCATTTAGCACAGTGCCAGGCACTGCAGGGCTCAGTAAATGTGACTTTCCCCAGTGCATGGATTGTTGAGGGACCTACATCCCCGCACTTACACACACTCCCTAGAGGTCCCAAGAGGCCCAGGCTTTTGGGAGGGAGTTTGGAGAGGGGCCCCAGCTCCAGCCCCAAAGCAAGAGTGCAAGACACCCCTTCCAGCCCCAGCTCCCTTCCAGTGCCCAGGTGCTCTTAGGGTCTGTGATGTCCAGGGTCTCACAGGGTTCTGGGCTGGAGCTGGAGGGGGTTGAGGGGTGGGCCCCAGCAGAGGCCTCATGCTCCCCTTCTCCCAGGCCCCTTCCAGAGGCACTGGGCCAGATCAAAGGGACCCAGCACGGAGGATCAGGAGGCAGCTTGGAAAGAATGTAAACATGAGGATATTTTTAAACTTTTTCCAGCCCCAGCGATTAGGGCTCTTGAAGCCGGAGGCCCAGAGGTCAGTCTGGCCCTCACCCACAAAGAAAGCAACAGTCTCGGGCCCTCAGAGACCCCACCCCACCCACATCTACCTACACCCACCCAGGACTCTAGCTGGGGCCTCGGGGCAGAAGTTCTTCCTAGGGTGTCACCTCCAGACACACTGCTGCGGCGGGAGGATGCGTTTCTAATGTGAGGGCCTCAGCGGCATGGGACCCTGACTTAAGGGGTGGTGGGGGCCTACCAGACAGGGCTGATGTTGGAAGACTGAGCTTGGGAGGCTTCTTAGTGGCCCAGTCACTCTACCAGGCGTGTGTGCACACGTGTGTCTGTGGGTGTATAAGTATATGCTGCAGTCTGGTCTGTGTGATGCACGCATCGGAATGTGTGAGTGTGCGAGGAGCTTGCCTCGGCCCACCCTTCCTCGTTCTTCCCTAGCATCCCTGACCTCCTCCCTGGGACCCCTTTGGTAGGTGGGTGACATGGGGGGGGTACAAAAGAGGAAGAGTCGCCTGAGAACAGGGAGGACGCGAGGAGAGAAAGGCGCCAGAGCCGGGGGCGAGGAGGCTGGGGGTACCAGGTCCGGGGCCATGCAATGAGTCAGGCTGTGAGAGCTGCAGGAGTCACTGATGTGGGGACTGGGACTCGGCTCCCTCCATCACCCCCATGTGTCACAGTTGGAGATGAGGCTCCCTGGATCTCCCGATTCCGGTGTCACAACTACGCTCACCATGGGTTCCATGACAACAGCCTCTTACCTTGTAGTCACGCAGCTACCCTCACACCCTCACAGGAGTGTCACAGGACTCATGCAGGGCCCCCCCAACACCACCCAGTGGTCGTATCCCAGTGACCCCTATCTGTGAGACATGAGGACCCTCACTGTCTTCACATCCCCACTGACCAGAAAGCCAGAATTCACAGGGGCACTCAGAAGCCAGACTAGACTGTGGTCACCAGGACAACGGGGTACCCAGCCCCTGGAGAGGCCTCGGCTGGCTATCTCATTCTCCAGGGGCTGCTGTGCCACCTTGCCCTGCTTGTGGGCCCTGAGAGGGACAATGTCCAGCTCCATGTCATACAGCTCCCCAGTGAAGGGCAGGGCTCAGGCCCCAGCTCAGGATCAATGTGGCGATGGCATCCCCTCCAGATTCCCCCTGCTGAGGCAGCAGCCACAAGGGATGAGGCTTGGAGTTTTACCCTAAGATGTGGTAGGATTTTGGGCCCAGGATGATGGGGGAGCTAGGTGGGGCTGGAACTGATGGAAAGGGGAACCTGGAGACTCATCCTCAGTCTGAGGCTGAGGCTGGACACCTAAAGACATGGTTTGTGTCCCTGTGGGTGCCCACTCACTGGGGCTGTTGCTATTCTTATCCACCTCCCAGTGGCGGTGGCAGTGGTAGTGGCAGTAGGGTCAGAGATAGCTGCTACGTGGGAGAGAGTCATGAGCACCAGCCCTTTATCTGACACATTCCCTGGAAACTTGGCAGGGCCTGCCAGCCTCTGGGGGCCTGGGCGGGGCAGGGCGTGAGGTGGTCACAGGGATAGGATGAGGGGGCTGGGCTGGGCTCAGTGCCGATGAGGACCCGCTCCAGCTGCCTCTCCCACAGCCAGGCAAGGTCCCCTCAGAATTGGCCTGGGGGGTTCTAGTGAGATTTCTTCCCATGCGGAGACTAAGACCACAGGTCACCCTCAGCTCCTACTCACCCTCAGTCCAACCCAGAACACCCCACCGTTGGCCCCATCTCTGAGCTTTGGGCACTCCAGAGAACAATGTATTGGCTTCCTCAGTGATGTGGCTTCTTCCACGGGAGAGCACTGAACTGTGAGCCACAGTGGCCCCATCTGGTGGCTGTCCTGCCTACTTCCCAGCCTCGTGATCTTGGGCAAGTCAATTCCCATCTCTGAGCCTCAATTTCCTCATCCCTCTCCTGGGCTGTGGTGGAGATGACAGGGTCCAGTGGTCAGGAAGCAGGCTGACGGCTGCAAAATGTGAGTGTGTGTGCACGTGAGCACTTGGGTGGGGGGGCCAGAGTGGGGAGAGGGAGGCATATGGGTCTCCCACTTTGGGAGACTCCCGCCCTATGGATTTTCCACTGGCATGTCGGCACCCTCTCCCCTAAAATAGGCTCTACGAGCCGTGTGCGACAGAGCCCAGACTGAGGGGCCTTTTTTTAGCTGGCCTTTGATTGTCAGCTCTCGAGCAGCTGCTATTTTGAGCCCCAACGCCTAGAGGAGTAGGGCCAAGTGGGGGCTGAGGTTAGCTCAGTGGGCCTGGCTGGCTCCCCGAAGGCATCCCCAAGGGGGCTGGCCATCCCATCTCACACCCTGCATTGCTGGCAAGGAGAGCACGACATCTCCTATAGATGGGGCCTAAGGGCTCCTCTGTCTACCTCTGCGGAAGCTGCAGACCTGGCAGAAAACAACCACATTTACAGAGCACACCCCACAGGCCACTGCCCACCCACCCCCACCCAGAGAAGAGCATGCTGTGGGGATTAACTGAGATAATACAAGCAAAGCCCTTACTTAGCACAGAGGCTGGCACATAATTGGCTCTCAAAAAATGGAACAGCTTCTGTTATTATTGTCATTACAGCTGCAGTCATTCTTGGTTTTGTTGTTATAGTTATGTTTTTACCAGATTTCTTTCCAGTCTTTTTTCTATGCATTTATTTTATGTTACTGGGTTCGGGACATGACCCTTCCCACCCCATCCCCATACATGTGTACACGCCTAGTTTCAGCAGAAAGCAGCCCCTCTCAGTCTGCTGGGGTGCCCTCTATGTCTCTGTGCTCCACTCCATACAGGAATCCCCCCTTCTATATAAGGCTTTTGGGGTTGACCCTCGAGATGGCACTTGACCTTTCAGAGTGGATGTAGTTGTGCCCACAGCTTCTGTGATTTCTTCAAATGCCATCAGCCACTGCCCCATAGGATTCCAGGCCCCCAATTCTGAATGTCCAGTTCTAGATGCTAGATCCCTGGCTGGCCACTGTACCTGGGTTCTAGAGCCCTCTGACTGGAACCTGAGGAAATGGGCTTGGTCCACAGCTAGATGTGAGAAAGTGGCATTGCCACTGCATAAGGCGTGGCAATGGATCCTAAGGACAAATGTAGATGCTCTGGGACTCTGGTTATGGGGTGTGTGTGTGTGTGTGTGTGTGTGTGTGTGTGTGTGCAGGGGTATGGGCTGCTGAGAAGAGGGGGATGAGGGTAGGAAGCCAAGTTCTGGGAAGTGGCTGGGGCAGGCCCTCCCCTTCCCTATTGGGGTCACTTCCCAGCAGGGCAGCAAGATCAGCTGGGGTTGGGGGGTCATATGTTCCATCCTTGTCCCAAACAGTTACTGCACAAGGTGAGACTTCCTTGTTACCCGAAGGACAAAAATAGGTCCCAGGTGATGGGCCACGATCCATGCCCAGAACCACAAGGGTTATTCTGAGTGGCAGGCACAGGGCCAGGCCTGGCCTCAGTCAGGTGGACCTGAGCTGGCAGTGGCATCCTCAGCCTGCGGGCTTGCTCTGTCCATTCAGGGACCCTAAATGTAGGTCGGGGGCTGGAACTGCGTGCAGGCTGACGCTCGATCGGTAGGGGCTTGAGTCCCAACTCCGCTATGTGACCTTGGGTAAGCCACTTGGCATCTCCGAGCATCTACCTCCTTCCCAAATGATGGGAACCCTGATCCCTGCCTCTCAGGGTGGGTGAGAGAATTTAGTGAGGCTGACAGATGGCACTCAATAGATGCACAAATCCCTGCTCATCTGTCCTGGAGTCTAGGCCCAGGGGTCCAGAGAGGGTAAGGGCCTTGCCTGAATTGCCTAGCAGCAGAAAGGTCCCTTCTCCTCCAACTCTGAAGAAGCAAGAGCCAGGCACAAGAGCACATTTCTGGGAGGGCATATAGGGATTTTCCAGGAACAGCTCCATCCAACTGGAGAATTCCATTCCCAGCCCTGCTGCCCAGGGCCCAGGCTAAGGAGGAGACACTCCAGCTCACTCTGGTTCTGTCCAGTTCCTGCTCCTCGCCGGCAGAGCCCAGGCAGAGTGCCCCACACCCTGTTCTCTTGCTGTTTGCTGTGGGGTTTGAGGGGCCTGAGGCTCCTAGGTGCCCCCCTCGAGGCCCTGGCACAGAACAGCTGGTCTGAGCACACAGTTGGTCCTCTCCCAACCCCTGATCCCTTCCAGGAGCCCACTGTTTCCTTCATCCAGCATGTCCTAGAATTTTCCCTGGACCCAGCTCCTGCCCTCAGGCTCACCCCAGATGAACATAGACAAGCTGACATGATGGACGCTGACTTGGGGACAGATGGCACCTGACCCAGCTCCAGGGTGGGGGTTGACAAAGGCAGCTGGAGAGGGGAAAGGTGGTCAGGTTGGGACAACTGTCTGGGCAAAGGCTCAGAGGTGTGGCTGTGCTCAGGGGATTGGGACACACTGCAAAGTTTCCTTAAGGCTGGAAGTCGCCTGATAGGCACCGGGGGGTGGGAGAGTGGGGGCGTGGGAGGTAGGGGGCAGGCAGAGGGTTGAACAGAATATTTATTTGCTGAGCTGGAATTGAGCCCTAGTCCCTTTCCCAACACAGACTTATCTCTTCCCCCCACAACCATCCTCACCAGAATTTTGGCCAGAAACAAGAGGAGTCCTGTCCGAGGAGAGCCCGGCTGGCTGACTGGAATCCCAAGACATGCCAAGGTGTTAGAGGCACTGCCAGGGAGACCCCTCGGCCCTTCACACAGTGGCTATCCTCTGGGATATTCCTGTATCCACAAAATGTATTTTCTGCACACACAGGTCCCTGGGAAATGACAGGACACCCAGATCTGCTGGGAGCAGAGTTCTCATAGGGTCCCAGCTGAGCCCTGGAACTCCCCAGACCCCCTCTGCCACTCCATCTCTGCGTCAGCCCAGCACCTGTGCCCTATCCGGCTTTGGCCACCATCTCCACCCTGGGGAGGGGGAGCATAACCCCCTCCAGCCTGAGGTTGGCGCCAAGGTTTAGGAGCCAGCACAGAAGCCTCTGAGAGCCATAAGGGTAGAAAAGGTTACCCGGTACTAAACCAGCCAGCCTCGGGGTGATCTCATCCACTTCCCAAGATAAGCCCCCTCCCCCACCCTCTGGCCACTGGCCAACAGGGTAAGTCACGAGGGAGCTGGTGGAAGAGTGTGTGTGAGGGCTGGGGGAAGGATTTCAACTTGGGGTCACACTGTACATTCTGTTTTGTGATCAATTCCCCCCAACATTTACAGTATTGACAATTAGCAGTTTCCTGTCAGATAAACTATAAAGATCTTCCCCCATCACTTTTTCTTTTCCTAATTATTTCTAAAGTCTGCCAGGATGGACACATCAGAATCTCTTTGTCCAGCCCTTGAGGAGGACATGTAAACAGTGTCCAGTTTCTCTTTCTTACAAACACCAGTGCCATAACCATTTTTGTTCAAATCCTCTTACGCAATTGCCTCTCTCTCTCTCTCCCTTTCTCTCTTTCTCTCTCCCTCTCTCTATTTCTCACTCAGTTGAGATAAATTCTGCCTGGTAGCAGGTGGGAGGGCAGGCCTCACTGTGTGCCTGAGTAGTTCTGGGCCCTTCCCCAAGCCAGAGGTGCCAGGCCCAGGGCAGAGGCCAGTCCAGGGCCACAGGGTCAGGACAGTGGACAGGCTATGGTCTGCTGGACTCTGCCTGCTCGAGGCGGGCTCCCCAAGCTTCCACCTGCTCTTGCCCACCCCCAGCCCCAAGGACTAGGCTGGCCTGGACACAGGGAAAGGCCATATACAGGGTATCACATGACCCATGCGTGCACACAGCCCCCAATCCCAGGCATAGGCAGAGGTCCCAGCCTCAGGGTGGGGCCCCCACACTCCGTCCAATTCACATCTTGCCTAGTGCTCCCCAGCTCTTGCTAGAATGCTTCCATAGACCAACAGCTCACTCTCCCTCCTAAGTTGCTGCCCGGCCTTTGGGGAGCAGGTGGAGCACATGCTTCTTATCAAATCAATACCTATTCGGTAGAATCACATGATTGCTGAGGAAGGTTTGGATTCAGACACCAGGGTTTCAAACTCGACTCTGCATTTACTATTTTTGTGACCTTGGGCACAACCTTTTACATGCCCAGGCTCAGTTTCTTCATCTGTAAAATGGGTTAATAATACTTGATCATAGGGTTGCATGAAGATTAAATGAGATAATACATGTAAAGTGCTCAGCAAGGCTCACAGATGTGACCTAGTTTATGATCACAAATTATCACAAATTGAGTCCCTACTATGTCCAGTTAACAGAGAGACTCCCTCACTGGAAGCAACTCAGAGTGGCTGAAGCACAGAAGTGGTAGAGGTATGAGATGGGGTTGAAGAGTGGGCAGGGCCAGGTCACACTCAGCCTTGCACATCATGAAGGGATTGTGACATTTTTCTGACTCCTTGGAAGCAGGGGAGGATGGTGGGAGGCAGAAATGGGAGGATGTCACTGAAAGCTTTTATTATTTTTTTTAATGATTTGTTTGTTTGTTTGTTTGTTTGTTTTAGAGACAGGTCTCTATTGCTCAGGCTGGAGTGCAGTGGCATGATCATAGCTCACTGTAACCTCAAACTCCTGGGTTCAAGCGATCCTTCTGCCTCAGCCTCCCAAGTGGCTGGAACTACAGGGGTGTGCGACCACTCCTGGCTCATTTTGTTCAACATTATTTTGTTACAACATTGATGAAGAAAAAAATCTATTTCTGGCTGGGGCTACTGTCTGTGTGGAGTCTGTAGAGGACTTTCTCTGGGTACTCTGGTTTCTTCCCCCATCCCAAAGATGTGCATGTTAGATTAACTAGCTTGTCTGCATGCTCCCAGTCTGCATGAGTGTGAGTGTACTCAAGGCAATGGCATCCTGTCTAGGCCTGGTTCCCGCCTGGCGCCCTGAGCTGCTGGGATAGGCTCCAGCCATCCATGACCTTGAACTGGAATAACTGGATAAATAATTCTATTACTTGTTTTTATTAATCTTTCTTTCTTTCTTTTTTTTTTTTTTTTTTGAGATGGAGTTTCACTCTTGTTGCCCACGCTGGAGTGCAATGACACAATCTTGGCTCACTGCAACCTCCGCCTCCTGGATTCAAGAAATTCTCCTGCCTCAGCCTCCTGAGCAGCTGGGATTACAGGTGCCCACCACCAAGCCCGGCTAATTTTTGTATTTTTAGGAGAGACAGGGTTTCGCCATGTTGGCCAGGCTGGTCTCAAATCCCTGACCTCAGGTGATCCACCTTCCCCAGCCTCCCAAAGTGCTGGGATTACAGGTGTGAGCCACCACACCTGGCCTTGTTTCTATTAGTCTTTCTTACACGTGTTTCAATGTTTAATATGAGAAGCATTTGGGTCTTTATTTAGAAGTCTGATGATATTTCTATCACCAGAAATATGCTGTAGGAACTTAACTCTTGTTTATGTCAATTAGCCTATGACAAAATTGGTTTCCTTGTATGTCATTTTGCTTAAAGCTGCAATTTCCAAGAACTACATTAAGTGAGGACATTATATAAAGACTTACTATATTCTATTAGTTGTTGTCAGGCCTCTGAGCTCAAGCTAAGCCATCATATCCCTTGTGACCTGCACCTATACATCCAGATGGCCTGGAGCAACTGAAGATCCACAAAAGAAGTGAAAATAGCCTTAACTGATGACATTCCACCATTGTGATTTGTTTCTTCCCCACCCTAACTGATCAATGTACTTTGTAATCTCCCCCACCCTTAAGAAGGTTCTTTGTAATTCTCCCCACCCTTGAGAAGGTACTTTGTGAGATCCACTCCCTGCCTGCCAAACATTGCTCCTAACTCCACCGTCTATCCCCAAACCTATAAGAGCTAATGATAATCCCACCACCCTTGCTGACTCCTTTTTCGGACTCAGCCCGCCTTGAGTCCAAAATAAATAAACAGCCTTGTTGCTCACACAAAACCTGTTTGGTGGACTCTCTTCACATGGACGTGCGTGAGACAGTTATAAGCAAGACTCTAAGGCCAGCCCAGATTCAAGAGGAGAGGAATTAGACCCCACTCCTTGATGGAAAGAGTGTCAAGGAATTTGTGGTTATCCTTAAAACCATAACAGGGCCAGCTGGAGCAACATGGCGAAACCTCATCTCCACAAAAAATACAAAAATTAGCCAGGTGATGGTGCACGCCTGTAGCCCCAGCTACTCGGAAGGCTGAGGTGGGAGGATCACCTGAGCCAGGGGAAGTTTGTCTCACGTGTCCGTGTGAAGAGACCACCAAACAGGCTTTGTGTGAGCAACAAGGCTGTTTATTTCACCTGGGTGCAAGTGGGCTGAGTCCGAAAAGAGAGTCAGCAAAGAAAGGGTGGTGGATTAATCATTAGTTCTTACAGGTTTTGGGATAGGCGGTGGAGTTAGGAGCAACGTTTGGCAGGCAGGGAGTGGATCTCACAAAGTACCTTCTCAAGGGTGGGGAGAATTACAAAGAACATTCTTAAGGGTGGGGCAGATTACAAAGTACATTGATCAGTTAGGGTGGGGCAGAAACAAATCACAATGGTGGAATGTCATCAGTTAAGGCTATTTTCACTTCTTCTGTGGATCTTCAGTTGCTTCAGGTGATCTGGATGTATACGTGCAGGTCACAAGGGATATGATGGCTTAGCTTGGGCTTAGAGGCCGGACATTGTTGAGGCTACAGTGAGCCATGATCCTGCCACTGCACTCCAGTCTGGGCAACAGAGTGAGACTCTGTCTCAAAACAAAAAGCCCATAGCAAGAAGCAAAAGTTGGAGGGTTCTCGGCTCCATCCCAGGGATAACCAGGGCACAGGCCCAATGCTTGCAAGAGGTGACTTCAGCTTGTGAGGAAAGACAAGGATCTCTTTCTCTTTTCCCACTCTTTCCTCCCTAACATTTTAAATGCATGTGCAAGTGCCTACTTCATACCAGGCACTGGGCTGATCCCTGGGGACTCAGAGGAGAGTCAGAGGAGGTCCCTGGTGCCGCCAAGAGGGCAGACAGACTGACAGACATTGGCAAGCTATCTGAGGAGATGTGATGGAGGTCCCAGTGCCATGGGAACTGGAGACAGGAGCTGGTACTGCCTGGAAAGCCAGGAAGTCTTCCCAGGGCAGGGGATGCTTCAGCAGAGTCATGCTGAGTCGCAGGAACAAGACAGGTGGAGGTGGATGGTGCAGTGGTAGGTGTTCCAGCGGAGGGAACAGCAAGGCCAAAGGCCTGGCATGTTCTAGGAACATGTGACAGCCATGCCCACCCTGCTGGGAACAGATGGAGGAGGCTGGAGAGGCCACCCTGGGGAGAGGGAGTCTGAGCTTTCCTCCTTAGGGTGAGGGGGAGCCATGGTTCGGAGCAAAGGAGTGACATGGTCACGATGACTGTGGTGTAGTGGGTGGAACTGACTAGACGGACAGCCGTCATTTGGGGCAGTGGAAGATAAAGGTGGTGTAGTCCATTATTGGAACTGGGACAGGGGAGGACAGATGGGAATGGCCCCCCGGGCTGCTGGAAGAGTGGTTGTGGGGACTGGCTGTAGGGAATGGGGTAGGGAGGATGGGGGTCAGAGGCATGGGGTGGTCCACAGAGGAGAACAGCCATGCGGGGGAAGATGGTCAAGGTGGCAGCCACTCCCCCACCATCTGGAGCTCACTGCCTGGCTCTGGCTTCTCCTGGGACCCCAGCAGTTCCTTCCCTACAAGACAGGGCTGGGTGACCACAGGACCGGCCCTTCCTCCACCCACACTTGTTCCCAGCCCCAAAGACATCCCAAGTCCCAGGAGGCTTTCCAAAGGTGCTCCAAGCTGCAGTCGCCAGGAGACCCAGCTTGGGCTGGGGACAGGCCTCAGGCCGCATCTCATGAACATTTTCCTCCAACGGCACTCAGCTGATGCCAGTGTGGTCAGATGGCGACATCTAGAGGCAACTTCTGCTTCATGCTGCCTCACTCACAGAACCCCACAGCCAAAGGCTCCCCACTGGTGTTCTCATCATGCCACCCTCAGGATTTAGTAACCAAGACACCAGTCAGAGCTTGGAAGAGCTTCTCCACCCCTTCATGCCAAAGCCCAGTACAGGGCTGGCAAGGTCCCTGGGACCCCAAGTGAACCGTGGACACTCTCCCCTTCCACAGGCCCAGGAGCATGCTGGCTGGTTGACAACCTTCCCCACACCATCCCTTCACTGCTTCGTTTCAGAGGAAGGGATTCTAGCAGCTCAGCCAACTCTCCGCTCATACAGCAATGTCCTCACCTCCGCCTCACCATCCGGGATCATCCTGTGTCCAGGGCCCTGAGTGAGAACACAGAATGGCCCTCACCTTTCTGTAGTGTTCCCCTTTTTCTGTTTTTGTTTGTTTGTTTTGTCTTGTTTTGTTTTGGAGACAGGAACTCATTCTGTCACCCAAGCTGCAGTGCAGTGGTGCGATCATCTCTCTTTGCAGCCTTGACCTCCCGGGCTCAAGCGATCCTCACACTTCAGCCTCCCAAGTAGCTGGGACCACAGGCATGCACTACTACACCTGGCTATGTAGTGTTCTTTTTTTGGCGAATTGTTCATTTCCATCCACCCACACCCAAAGCCCCTCTGGTACTGGACACTCCTCACCAACTTTCCTTGCTTTTCACAGCCATGCAGCCACTCACTGTTTGCCTCCTTCTCTCTCACCTGCTCCTCCCTGAATTGTCTATCCACCACACCATCAGTCCTCCCATCCTTCCTCACTCATTCCACAGGCAGCCTGTGCACCCCCAGGGCAGGACAGGGGACCAGGACTGTAGCCACAGGGGTGGGGATGAGGAGGAGGCAAACGAGGAAACAAGAATACCCAAAAGCCCTGGTATCAACATGCAGGGAAAGTGGGGGACTGAGGCAGGACTTTCTGCTTTGCCCCCTCCCTACCTCTATGCTGATGAAGAGCCAGCCATGCCTCCAGCCCTTCCTGAGGCCACCACATGATCTTGCTTATTTTCCCATTCCAGGAGGTCACCTGCAGGGCTCCTCCCACCTAGCCACAATGGCTAGTCCCGCTGCCTCCACAGTGGCCCTGCAGCCCCATCCCAGACCCACTGCACGGGGTCACAAGCTTGTGCAGGGTGGACAGAGCAGTAGCTCATGGCAGACATTCCTTCTGTTCATCTGTTGCAGGGAAAATGGGGTGAGGCATGGGAGGGGTTCCCAGAATCCCAGAAAGGCAGAAGGAGTTGAGATCTGAGACAGAGTAGGCTTTGGAGACTCCCTCCACAGACCACTCTCCCAGGGGCTAGGTTAATGGGCCTGCTTTGGGAAGCTGGGGCAGGTGAATCACCTGAGGTCAGGAGTTCGAGACCAGCCTGGCCAACATGGTGAAACCTCATCTCTACTAAAATACAAAAATTAGCCAGGTGTGGCTGCACATGCCTGTAGTCCCAGCCACTCGGGAGGCTGAGGCACAAGAATCACTTGAACCCAGGAGGTGGAAGTTGCAGTGAGCCAAGATCACGTCACTACACTCCAGCCTGGGTGACAGAGTGAGACTCTGTCTCAAAAAAAGAAAAAATGAAAAAAAAAAAAAAAAAAAGAAAAAGAACTGGGGCTGGACACGGTGGCTCACATCTGTAATCCCAGCACTTTGAGAGCCTGAGGCAGGAGGATCACTTGAGGCCAGGAGTTCAAGGCTGTAGTGAGCCATGACTGCACCACTGCACTCCAGCCTGGGCAATAGAGCAAGACCCTGCTAAAAAAAAAAAAAAAATATATATACATATATATATATATATATATATATATATATATACACACATATATATCAGAACTGGAGCCCAGGCCTCCACAGCCCCGCTCCCCCACTCCACCCTCCCTCCCACTTCCTGCCTTGCTCCTCCCAGCTAGATGATTTCCCAGATCAAGGCTGCTTGCTGGTAGAGAAAGTCAGGGGCCAATGGAGCAAAGATATTTGGACCCACAGACATCAGTAAAGGTTCATCCATCCCAGAGAGCTGATTGGAGCACTGGCCACCAACAATTCAGAGGATCACTAAGCTGGGGACCATTTAAGGGCATTTAGTAGCATCAAGTAAAATGGAAACAGAAACTCTAGAGATGGGCCAGGCATGGAGGCTCACACATGGAATCCTAGCACTTTGGGAGGCCGAGGCAAGAGGGTCGCTTGAGGCCAAGAGTTTGAGACCAGCCTGGATGACATGGCAAAACCCCATCTCTACAAAATACAAAAAAAATTAGCTGGGCATGGTGGCACATACTTGTAGTTTCAGCTATTCTGGAGGCTGAGGTGGGAGGATGGTTTGAGCCCAGGAGGCAGAGGTTGCAGTAAGAAGATATCATGCCATTGCACTCCAGCCTGGGTGACAGAGCCAGATCCTATCTCAAAAAAAACGAATAAACAAACAAACCTATAGAGATGAAAGGCAAAAAATAAGTCTATAAGTTTAATTCCTCCCCGCTCTATTTAAAGAGCTCAAACAGCTCAATTTAAAAATTTTAATTCTGGCCAGATGCGGTGGCTCAAGCCTGTAATCCCAGCACTTTGGGAGGCTGAGGTGGCAGATCACCTGAGGTCAGGAGTTTGAGACCAGCCTGACCAACATGGAGAAACCCCATCTCTACTAAAAATTAGCCAGGCATGGTGGCGCATACCTGTAATCCGAGCTACTCAGGAGGCTGAGGCAGGAGAATCGCTTGAACCCGGGAGACGGAGGTTGTGGTGAGCTGAGATCGTGCCATTGCACTCCACCCTGAGCAAGAAGAGCAAAATTCCATCTCAAAAAAAAAAAAAAAATTTAATTCTCCCTGTGTTCCCTTTATCATGTTCTAAAATGATGGGACATTGGCATGTGTATAAGTTAAATATATGTAGCTTTACTCATAAGAGCGAAAGCATTATCAGAGTCCACAGAGCTATTTTATTATTACTACTATTATTATTATTATTATTATTTATTATTTTTGAGACTGAGTCTCGCTCTGTCGCCCAGGCTGGAGTGCAGTGGCATCATCTCAGCTCACTACAACCTCTGCCTCGTGGGTTCAAGCAATTCTTCTGCCTTAGCCTCCCAAGTAGCTGGAATTACAGTTGTGTGCCACCACACCCATTTAATTTTTGTATTTTTAGCAGAGACAGGGTTTCACCATGTTATCCTGGCTGCTCTCGAACTTCTGACCTCAGGTGATCTGCTCACCTTGGCCTCTCAAAGTGCTGGGATTACAGGCATGAGCCACAGCACCCAGTCTTATTTTATTATTATTATTTTTGAGACAAGGTCTCGCTTGGCCGCACAGGCTGAAGTGGAGTGGTACAATCATGGCTCACTGAAGACTCCACCTCCTGGGCTCAAGCAACCTTCCCATCTCAGTCCCCCAAGTAGCTGGGACTACAGGAACACACCACCTTGCCTGGCTAATTTTTATTTTTATTTTTGTAGAGATGGGGGGGGCGGTTCTCACTATGTTGCCCGGGCTGGTCTCGAACTCCTGGGCTTAGGCAATCCTCCCACCTTGGCCCCCCAAAGTGCTGGGATTACAGGTGTGAGCCACCACACTCTGCCCATAAAACTATGCTATTATCAGCAATAACCCCCCAAAAGCCTTCTAGCTTCCTTTCAGTACCACCAACCTCTCCTCCCAGCCCCACTCATTCCAGGCCAAAATTGTGCAAAAAACTGTACATAATTCTCCCTTCCTGAAAGCCCAGTATTGGGACTTTGGACTTGGTTCAAATCCTGGCCCTACCGCTGTGTCGTGGGTGTTTTTCAACCTCTGGGCATCAATTTGATCTTGCTGAAAAGGAGGGTTGGCTGGGCATGATGGCATGAGCCACTGCACCCTTCCACTTCTGCCCACTTCTCTCTTCCGGGGCGAGGGGGTAATGTGCCAAGTTGGTTTTAATGTCTCAAGTTAAATAGTATGAAATTCTGGCAGGCTTTGGCCCTGAGTGTGTGGAGACCCTCACAACAAAAGCCTTCACTTCTTTCAGGTCTCCACACACACGGTCAACACTAAATGAGGATTTCCTGGGCAACAGCCACCAAACCTTTGCAGAGCAGCATACTTCTCTTTTGGGTGGACTCTTGAACAGCCTAAAATCTTCCACGGTCAGATAAAGGTGGTGAAACAAAGGTTGGCCTAATCTAGTACCTTAAGGACTGAAAAAAAAAATTAGGATTCAAACCAAAAGAAACTAAATTTCATTTTGTTTCTTTCATTTCCAAGTTTTAATTAAATATCTCTAATGGTTAGAAAATCAATGTCAAATACGAACATTGGTATACAGCTTAAAATACAAATGTCAGCAATTATTAAAGAACATGATTAATCATTGTTCCAAGTAAATGCTAGATCATTATTTCCCAGGAGGCAAGTTAAGCATCAGGTGCCTGAGGGGTAAGGGACAGGGCTTCAGTCGGCTCTGATAGCTGCATGGCTGTCCCAATGAGCTTTCCACTCAGATAGTGCCAGGGGCAGCTCTCATCACAGGCTGGCTCACTGGCCTTTATCCCCAGCTCCAAGGAAACACCAGGGCTTTTTCTGCCATGAGAATCGTGTTTCAGAGTCAAATGATCCACTTTAAGATGAAATTTGGACAGCTCAGTTCCAGAATATTCTAGTTTAACCTGGGAAGTTAAGACTTCCCAAAGGCTGAAGATAGGCTACTAGGGGCTGATGGACAAGAGTCAGGCCAGAGTCACTCTAAACACATCTTTGTTTTGTTCTGTATAATTAATTATACTGTATCTTCTTTAAGTAACTCAAGTTCAAGCTCTCTATATTTCACTTATGTTTAAAAGATGCCAATTTGATTGTGTCTAAACTGAACTTTACCCAGTGTGCTGAATACTAAAGACCTTTTAGGCCAAAGGAAAAAGATGTTTATATATTAACATACCTCAAAGTTTACATTTTCATTATAATAAATTAGCCTTAATGTTAACAAATAACATCTCAGAAAGCTGAATCTAAGTAGCCTGATCTATCATGCTAATTTGAGTTTGTTTTTTGTTTTTGTTTTTTTGAGATGGAGTTTCGCTCATGTTGCCCAGGCTGGAGTGCAATGGCACAATCTCAGCTCACTGCAACCTCTGCCTTCTGGGTTCAAGGGATTCTCCTGCCTCAGCCTCACAAGTAGCTGGGATTACAGGCATGCGCCACTATTCCAGGCTAATTTTTGTATTTTTAGTAGAGATGGAGTTTTACCATGTTGGTCAGGCTGGTCTCAAACTCCTGACCTCAGGTAATCCACCCACTTTGGCCTCCGAAAGTGCTGGGATCACAGGCATGAGCCACCGTGCACAGCCGACTTTTTTTTTTTTTTTTTTAATTCAAACTTTTTTTTTAGACACAGTCTCACTCTGTCACTCAGTCTGGAGTGCAATGGCACGATCACAGCTCACTCTGGCCTAGACCTCCTGGGCTCAAGAGATCCTCTCATTTCAGCCTTCCAAGCAGCTGAGACTACAGGCATGTGCCACACCTGGCTATTTTTTTTTTTTTTTGTAGAGGCAAGATCTATGTTGCCCAGGCTGGTCTCATACTGTACTCAAGTGAGTCTTCTGTCTTGGAATCCCAAAGTGCTGGGATTACAGGTGTGGGCCACTGTGCCTAGCCACGAATTTGAATTTAGAATACTATCTTATCTATCCATTTTTACCAAGCCCCAGAATCAAGAGAGATGCAGTTATATATTTTTTAAAAATCTGGTGAGGTGTGGTGGCTCATGCCTGTAATGCTAGCACTTTGGGAAGCTGAGGTGGGAGGATCACTTGAGCTCAGGAGTTCGCAGCCTGGCCAACATGGTGAAACTCTGTCTCTACTAAAAATACAAAAAATTAGCGGTGTGTGGTGGTGCATGCCTGTAATCCCAGCTACTCTGTGGCAGAGGCACGAGAGTCACTTCAATCTGGGAGGCAGACGTTGCAGTGAGCTGAGACTGTGTCACTGCACTTCAGCCTGGGCGACTGAGTGAGACTGTCTCAAAAAAAAGAAAGAAAATAAATCTAAATTATGCCAATATTATCAAAGTTTCTTACCTAAAATCATATACAATTTTAAGCACCAAAGCATACTTTCTTCAAAAGTTACATCCAAAATATTAAATGTTCAATCTCATTTTTCAGTTCATTTTAAGTCTCAATACTGAAATCTCCGTATAAAAGGAATAATAAATGCTTTGAAAGACCTGACAATTACCACTAAACTCCTCTCAAATCCCAGTGTCCTGGGGCAGTAGCCCATGTGCTTCAAGAAGTCCAATGACAGCAGGATAGTGGTCAGGGAGACAGGAGTTTAATCAGGAGGTGCTCCCCAGAATGTTCATGGAAAGAACAGATGATTCACAGTGGAAAAAAAGCAAATGATAAATAAGCCTTTCTTCTTTCTCAATATTACTAACTAGAAAGCAGGAAAATCTATTAGGCAGAGAAAAACCAGATATGCCTGGAGATACAGGTAAGGAGTCTGTGTTCTCTCAGCTGTCTCACAGGTTAATGAATCAGATATATTTATGACCCATGCTAGGCTCCAAAGTAAGATTCAGGTACTCTGTATGCCAGTAAAGGCTTCAAGGATACTCCAGGGTTTAGCTAGTATAAAGAATAAAGGACAAAGAAAATGCCAGACAACCAGCCTGAGCAACATAGCAAGATCATGTTTTCACCAAAAAAAGTTTTTTTAATTATCTGGGCCTGATGGTTCATGCCTGTAGACCCAGCTACTTGGGAGGCTAAAAGGGGAGGGAACATTGGAGTCCAGGAGTTTGACAGTGAGTTATAATGATGCCACTGCACTCCAGCATGGGCGACAAAGCAAGACCTTGTCTCAAAAAACAACAAAAAGTAAACGTCAGATAGAATCCTCAATTTTAGCAACAAACCCTCATGCTAGCAGAATGGAAGTGATTTACATTTTATTTTTGATTCAAGATCTAGGAGATAGGCTGGGTGCGGTGGCTCATGCCTATCATCCCAGCACCTTGGGAGGCCGAGGTGGGCAGATTGCTTGAGTCTAGGAGTTTGAGACCAGCCTGGGCAACATGGCAAAACCCTGTCTCTACAAAAAATTAAAAAAATTAGCCAGGCATGGTGGTGCATAGTCCCAGCTACTCGGGAGGCTGAGGCAGGAGGATCGTTTGAGCCTGGGCTGCAGAGGTTGCAGTGAGCCAAGATCATGCCATTGCACTCCAGCCTGGCTACAGGGAGACCCTGTCAAGAAGGAAAGAAAGAAAGAAAGAGAGAGAGAGGAAGGAAGGAAGGAAGGAAGGAAGGAAGGAAGGAAGGAAGGAAGGAAGGAAGGAAGGAAGGAAGGACGGACTAAGAGATAAGATGGATTTTTTTTTTTTTTTTTTGAGACAGAGTTTCACTCTTGTTGCCCAGGCTGGAGTGCAATGGTGCGATCTTGGCTCACCGCAACCTCCGCCTCCCGGGTTCAAGTGATTTTCCTGCCTCAGCCTCCCGAGTAGCTGGGATTACAGGCATGCACCACCACACCTGGCTAATTTTGTATTTTTAGTAGAGATGGAGTTTCTCCATGTTGGTCAGGCTGGTCTCGAATTCCCGACCTCAGGTGATCCATCCGCCTCGGCCTCCCACAGTGCTGGGATTACAGGCGTAAACTACTGCACCCAGCCAAGAAGGAATATTAATGGTTTCAGAATAAAAGGATCAAGGCTTAAATATTCAAAAGATAATTTCTTAGATGAAAACACATGACTAAACAGTTGCACTGAAAAATGTACAAAGAAACACCACCAAATTAGAAGTATCCCAACATTTGACTGAATGTCAGCTGGGACATAGACAAAAAACAGGAAACCAAACCTAGCTATTTGTTTTTCTTTTCAGTAGGTGGCATAAAGGGGTAAGATGAGAAAAGGGATCAACAAATGTAGTTCAACTTAATTGAAGAATTCTGCCTGACGTAGTAGAGGCAAATAAAATTGTTGGTTTTGTGGGATTATATTTGTTTCCATTTAGGGACACATTTCCTGTTGTTTAAATGCCACAGCAACTCATGAGATGAAATTCATCTCCAAAATGGATCCACATAACTGAATTTCCAAGTAAATACAAAGAGTCTACAGCCCACAGAAACCATTACAAATTACACTTTTATTTTTGCCCCAACTCCTATACTAAATATGGTCTAATTCCTGAGGACTAGCAATGGTGGTTTATCCCACAGTCTTGGGGCAAGCGTCCCATCTGATAAGTCTCACTCCTCCCTCCTGCCCACCACCTCTCAGGAAAGGATTCAGAGAAACTTGGTTAGAAACTGTTGTCCTTAAGCCTTTGTGTTTTCACCTCTCCAGATAGAGGTTGAATCTTAAGTCCACAATCCGCTAAATTAACCTGTCCTGTCTAAACGTCTATCACCACAACTACCACATGCAATCACATTTTCTCCTTTCCTGCAGCCATAGGAAGCAGGAACATGTGAAAGATTCTTTCAGACAATATTTTGCAGTTGGCAGGTGCAGGGTGAATGAGGGGTTCAGCATAGCAGAGGTAGAAGGATTGTGTGGAATTGACAGAAGAATGTTTGAGAGGTATAATCAGAAAGCTTAAATGCTGTGAATCAACCCCCAAAGGCTCAGCCCAGGAGGAAATTTTACTAATGCAGGAAAGGTCAGGAGTTAAGGCATAGACTAGTTACCTCCTAGCATGGCTCAAAGTTTCTGGAATGGGACTCAGTAGAGGGCACAAAAAGCTGCACCAGTAAGTTCAGCTGGTCCAGAGGCATAGATCCTATCAGCTGAAAACCAAAACAAGTCATTCCAAGCATGCTTACAGTAGGCGTGTTTGCAAGTTTAAGGATTCAGTTTTAAAATAAACGAAAACAGAACTAGAATGTAGTATTACAAAATTTCTCACAAGCATAATCACAAAAAAAAAAGTTAGGATATTGCATAGAAAAGGGTCCTGTAGTATGCTTTGTAAACCTAGACCTTAGTAATTTAAATAAAAGACAAACAAATAAAATATCTCTTCATAGTCTACAAGTCCATGATTGTGAATTCAGGAGAATTATCAAATTTGCAGATTTTTGTGGCAAGACCTAAGAAGCTCCTGAAGTTCTTTATTCTCAGAATCATGATTAAATTTACCCTTTGAAGGCTCAGGCTGACACAGTTTAACAACATCTTTATCAAATGACTGGGGCTACACAAGCCCAAGCCAATTCTATAGACTTTATGCTCTGTCCTCTCTGCATATAAGACTTAATCAGAACATACAGGGACATGAAATCACTGCTATTTCACTGTTTTTTAAAGCTAGGCTGTTTGTTTTTTTCCTCCTGTTAGTCTATTTAGCAAATTAAATCTGCCTGCGCTTTTAATAGTAAGGTTTGGATAGCTAGTTTAGGAGTAAGTGAAACATTTTAGAAGAGCATTTATGTTAACCTTGACAATAGGATGGGAGATTCTTAACCCCCCTTGTAATATGCACCGATTGATTCTGAGTTAAAATACACCACAGTGACAGTGATATCATCCCTGTACATCCTCGCCAAGTCCTCTGGCAATGTCAGCATCGCCGCCAGCCGCTCTGCCTCCATCTCCCCATACTCATTGTTCCCGATGGCATGTCTGATCAGCCGCGTGGCTGCATTTTGGTCAGCCTCGTGGAGCCCGCTGGCTTTCCTCTGCAGCAGCAGGCTCTGCATGAGCCCCAAGTTGGCGGGTCTCTGGGCCAGGTCTGTCTTGTGCCAATCTGCCTCAGCCAGGTGCCCCACCACCAGCCTTACCACGTCCTCATTGCTCAGCATGTCCCACAGGCCATCTGAGGCCAGCACAAGGAACTTATCCTGGGGCCTCAGCCTGTGGTATGTGACCTCAGGCTCAGCAGTCAGGTAGGGTGGAGTGTAGTAGTGTGGGGGTGTGAACTGGTAAATGTTGAGGGCCTCGGTATTGAAGCCCCTCTCCAGAATGCTGCGCTGCAACTCTTTACTCCACTTCAGCTGAACATCCCCAAAGGCCCTGCAGGGGATGAGGACGCCCAGTAGCCTGTCCTCCATGATGATCGTCCTGTCCTCTGACTCAGGGTGCTCCCTCTTTAGCCGGGACAGCTCGGCCTGGTTCCAGGCATTGTGGTCACGTGTAAGGGGCAGACAAGACCACATGCCATTGTCCTCTTGGACACCAAGGATGGCTCGGCAGTCACCAGCATTTGCCACGTGCAAGTGAATTCCATCAACATGGGCCATGCAAGCTGTTGCCCCAGAGAAAGCAACCTGGAGTGACAGGTTCCTTGTCACCTCATCTTCCAGGGGGGCCTGGATTTCCAGCGAGATGTCAGAATCCAGTCTCTGGAAGGAGTACATTAATGCTTCTTCAATGCTTAGTCCCATTTCCATGTGCAAATCAAGCAGTTCCTGCCAATAGACACGGAGGTGGTCAAGATGCACAGATGTGACATCCTTGTAGATACTGTCCCCTGGGTGCTTGAGCCAATGCAGGATGGGCAGCAAGGGTTTCATGCTTTCCATAGCTCCCTCCATGTGCTCCAGGGTCTGGTGGGACATCAGGGACACTGCCACATAGTAGAAGAGCCTCTCGCTCACTGCTTGGGCACATGCATGACCACCATGTCCATCGAAGATGCCAAACATCAGTCCATTGGTTTGCAGGCAGGAGGCTACACCTCGCCGGTCCTCCACTGGGGAATTGGCAGCCAGCTGGTTGCTCTCAAACCGCAACACTGAATTTGGGACTCTGCTTTCAAGGTCAAGAATCTTGTGGGTTGTCTCGCCAGCTCGAAGCACTTCATTTATCTGCTCAGGGCTGAGTTGCAAGTGAAAATCATCTTCCTCTGTTGATGTGTGTCTGTAGGCTTTGCACAGAGTAAAGCCACCACATGGGGAACTGTTTAGGGTGGGTGGCACCCGGGAAAAGAGCCTCCATTTTAATTTATTCCTATTTGAGACATACCTGGAGTATAAGCGTCTACCCCCTTGCAATGTGGCAATGCTGTTCCTTGTAGAATTTAAGATCCAGTAGGACACAGTACTTGACATTCTGAAACTATACCAGCAAATGTGTTCCTTCAGCAAAAAAGGATATTTTTAAACCTAAAAATTAAAAAGTTGAAGTTTCAAATTTAATTTCTTTTTTTTTTTTTTTTTTTTGAGACGTAGTCTCGCTCTGCCGCCCAGGCTGGAGTGCAGTGGTGTGATCTCTGCTCACTGCAAGCTCCGCCTCCCAGGTTCATGCCATTCTCCTACCTCAGACTCTGGAGTAGCTGGGACTACAGGCGCCCGCCACCACACCTGGCCAATTTTTTGTATGTTTAGTAGAGACAGGGTTTCACCATGTTAGCCAGGATGGTCTCGATCTCCTGACCTTGTGATCCACCTGCCTCGGCCTCCCAAAGTGCTGGGATTACAGGCGTGAGCCAAAGCACCCAGCCACAAATTTAATTTCTTAAAAATACTGACTTCTGAAAACATTTGCTAATATCCTGAACAAAAATGACTTAGAATAAACTATTTAAAATACACTAAACTCACTCTCACCAGCAGACTATAAGTGTTCATTTAAATATCTGCTTCGGGGGCCAGGCCTGGTGGCTCATGCCTGTAATCCTAGCACTTTGGGAGGCCAAGGTGGGTGGATAGCTTGAGCCCAGGAGTTCGAGACTAGCCTGGGCAACATGGTGAAACCCTGTCTCTCCAAAAAAATAAAAAAAATAAAAAAATTGCCAGGCATGGTGGTGTGTATCTATAGTCACAGCTACTTGGGAGGCTGAGGTAGGAGAATCATCTGAGCCTGGTAAGTTGAGGCTGCAGAAAGCAGTGATTGTGCCACTGCAGTCTAGCCTGGGCCTCACTAGAGAGGGAGTGAGACCCTGTCTCAAAGAAAACAAAAACAGGCCTGACGCGGTGGCTCACGCCTGTAATCCCAGCACTTTGGGAGGCCGAGGTGGGCTGATCACGAGTTCAGGAGATCGAGACCATCCTGGCTAACACAGTGAAACCCCGTCTCTACTAAAAATACAAAAATTTAGCTGGGTGCAGTGATGGGCGCCTGTAGTCCCAGCTACTCAGGAGGCTGAGGCAGGAGAATGGCGTGAACCCAGGAGGCAGAGTTTGCAGTGAGCCAAGATTGCACCACTGCACTCCAGCCTGGGCGAGAGCGAAACTCCGTCTCAAAAATAAATAAATAAATAAATAATCTGCTTCGGGCATAGTGGCTCATACCTGTAACCACTCCAAAGGCTGAGGCGGGAGGATCACTTGAGCCTAGGAGTTCCAAGACCAGCCTGGGCAACATAAGGAGACCTGGTTTCTACAAAAAATTTTTTTACAAATTAGTTGGGCATGGTGGCGCACACCTATAGCCCCATTCACTTGTAAGGCTGAGGTGAGAGGATTGCTTAAGCCCTGGAGGTCAAGACTGCAATGAGCTGTGCTCCTGCCACTGCACTCCAGCCTGGGCAACAGAGCAAGACCCTGTCTCAAAAACTAAATTTTATATACATGTATATTTCCCCACTAGTCTATAAACTCCATGACTCAAGCAACTATGGCTGCCTTACTCACCAACAGCTTTCCAGTGCCTGGCCCTGTACCCGGCACACACTAAGTCCTCAAATACTGGCTAAATATGACATTTTCAGAGGCCCAATAGCACACTAGCTGTGATACTATCTTGTGTAGCATCAGACACACTGCTGATGAGGTAACACTCCAGTTATCTATTGGTGGAATGGGAATATTAGTCTTAGAAGGTTTTGTGAGAATTTAATAAAATATGACGCTTCTGCTAAAAAAAAAAAAGTAGCTATTATTTTCATCATTAGGTATATACCCCTCTAAGTCATTCTGGGTATTTTTTGTTTGGTTTTTTTTTGTTTTGTTTTGTTTTTGAGATGGAGCCTGGCTCTGTCCCCAGGCTAGAGTGCAATGGTAAGATCGTGGCTCACTGCAGCCTTGCCCTTCTGGCCTCAAGGGATCCTCCTGCCTCAGCCTCCTACATAGCTGGGACTACAGGCATGTGCCGCCAGGCCCAGCTAATAGACAGGGTCTCCCCGTGTTTTCCAGGCTGGTCTCAAACTCCTAGGCTCAAGCGATCTTCCGCCCTTGGCCTCCCAAAGTGCTGAGATTACAGGTGGGAGCTACTGCGCACAGTCATTCTGTACGTATTTTTGTAGAGTTGTAACCCCAACTTTGAATCTGGCTTTCCTGATAAGAGTATTTTTTCACATCTGATGGCTACATTTTGACATAAATAATCACAACTTACTTAACTATTCTTTACGGCTGGAAATTTAGAGGTTGTTTCTACTACTTGCTATTTATTAATATAAAATACCAAACTGGACTGGGCACAGTGGCTCATGCCTATAATCTCAGCATTTTGGGAGGCCAAGGCAAGAGGATCACTTGAGGCTAGGGAGTTTAAGACCACCCTGGGTGATACAGCAAGTGCCCCATCTCTACAAAAATTTTTAGATTAGCTGGGCATGGTGGTAAGTGCCTGTAGTCCCAGCTACTCAAGAGGCTGAGGTGGGAGGATCGCTTGAGCCCAAGATTTCAAGACTGCAGTGAGCTATGATCACACCACTGCACTCCAGCCTGGGCGACAGAGCCAGATCTGTCTCTTTAAAAACAACAACAACAACAAAACCCCACCAAACTGTACTGCTTTATGCAGTAACCTTTTCTCTACTTAGGTTTTATCCTAGTTATTTCCCAAACAAGGAGTCAGTAGGTCCAAGGGTGTAGACTCATTGCCAAACTGATTTCCAAAAGCTTCACATCTGCCTCCTCAAGGGGGTGACGAGTTTCCTAGTCCCTTCACTAGCCCTGGTGGTACTTTTCCTTGGAATATAATAAATTAAATTAAATTAAATTAAATTAAATTAAATTAAAAAAAAAAAAACAGAACAAAACCTTGACCCATTATAATGAGCTTTTCATGTATGAATCCTGCCCTCGGGATCTCGAGATCATTTGTCGGGACCTCAAGAGTTCCCAGGACTGAGGACCGTCCCTTCACTCCCCCACCCCCTGCCAGCCCACCCCGCAGAAGTCGGTGCGGGGGCGGTCTGTCCGGGAGCAGAGGGCGCCTGACGCTCCGGCCCTGCAGTCAAGGCAGGCAGCGGTGCAGGGTGATACACCGCAGCCAGGACGCAAACCCTCTTGCATCCTTAAAGAAAACAGACAGGTCCCAAGTTCAAATCTCTGACTTCAGCCTCATCGCTAAGTGCATGGACTCCGGAGCCCACCAAAACCGATCTCCCTAGAACCCCGGCACGGCCGTACCCCAGCTGGGTGCCCCCGGGCGACCCGCTTGGTGCCTCTGAGCCCCGGCTTGCCAGCCTGTAAAACAGGGGCGTGCAGTCGGGACACAGAGCTCCAAGGGGTGCTCGATAGGCCAGAGCAGCTAGTGGGGTGCCCCGGTAGGCAGCCAAGGGTCCTCGGCGAGCCCGCGGGCCCACGTGGCGCGCGCACGTGAGTGGGGTGACCGTGGTCGTAGGCCCAGCTGGTCCCTCTCCGCCGCGGACCCGCCCCCTCACCTCAGCTCTCCCTCCGCCCAGTCACCTGAGCCGGTGCCGCAGGCCGGGAGGGTCAGGCGCCGGCGAGGCCTGGCGGGGAAAGAGGTGTCCACATCCCCCGCTCGTTACCTTCCCTACCTCGGACCCTCGCCCGCTTCTCACCAGCTGGCGAGGCCACAGCCGCCCGCTCCGTCCGGTCAGTTCAGCGCCTGCGCACAGTGCCACAACTGCGGCCACCAGGTCCTCACCTCACCCAGGCGGTCCCTAGTCAGGACCCAGCTCCAGAAGGAAGCGCCCTCCCGCCAGCCCTGGTTGGCTCAATTGCGGAGGCGGGCCCTTGATGGACAGAGGTATTGCCCAATGGCTAAAGAGGATGAGAGGCGGGCAGAAAGGCGGGACCCGGGAGGGGGCAACACCGCCCCTTACCCCCTGCCTGGGTGCTGAAAGTGTTCGAGCGCGGGGCCACAGGACCAGGCAGTCACGTGCCTGAGATCGCCAGCTACGTGGCCGCTACACTCTGCATACCCCGAACCCAGCGGCCTCCCCAATTCCTCACCGTTGTTAGAACACCTCACTGCTTCCTCTCCACTTCGGTGTCGACCACTCCAGAACCCTCTCTTGAGCGCCACACCCTGATGTCCAGCCACCTGGACACCTGCCTCTGGAGGCCCCCAGGCGCCTCAAACATAACTTACCCCAAACTCAGCTTTCTGCCAAACTTGCTTTTTCTCTTCTCTCCTAACCCAGTAATGGCCCCACCATCTGCCCAGAGACCCAAGCCAAAACCCTGGGAGGCATCTTGACTCCTTCCTCTCCCTCACCCTCTCTTTCCAGTTATCTAATGCTGTAAATCCTATCTCCTAAATCTCTCTCCACTCATCCATCCGGCGACGCAGCCACCCTATTCCAAGCCTCTCACTTGATTTTACGGTTTTCCCTCCTCCACCTTTGACTTGGTCCTAACCACAGAGCAGAGCAGCCAGAATGACGCCCCTCCCACCTTTTCTCGTGGTTGGTGGGTAGAGACAAGGTCTTTCTATGTTGCCCAGGCTGGTCTCAAACTGCCGGGCTCAAGCAATCCTCCCACCTCAGCCTCCCCAAAGTGCTGGGATTACAGACGTGAGCCATCACGCCTGGCAGAATGACACTTCTAAAACTCAAATTCCAAGGCCGAGTGCGGTGGCTCCTGCCTGTAATCCCAGCACTTTGGGAGGCCGAGGCGGGGGGATCTCCTGAGGTCAGGAGTTTGAGACCAGCCTGGCCAACATCACGAAACCGTCTCTACTAAAAATACAAAAATTAGCTGGGAGTGGTGGTGCGCGCCTGTAGTCCCAGCTACCTGGGAGGCTGAGGCATGAGAATCATTTGAACCAGGGAGGTGGAAGTTGCACTGAGGTGAGATCATGCCACTGCACGCCAGCCTGGGAGACAGAGTGAGAGTCTGTCTCAAAAAAAACAAAAACAGAAACAAAAACAAACCAAAAAAACCCTCAAATTCCTGCCCTAAAGTCTTTTTTTTTTTTTTTTTTTTTTTTTTTTGAGACGGAGTCTCGCTCTGTCGCCCAGGCTGGAGTGCAGTGGCGGGATCTCGGCTCACTGCAAGCTCCGCCTCCCGGGTTCACGCCATTCCCCTGCCTCAGCCTCCCAAGTAGCTGGGACTACAGGCGCCCGCCACTACGCCCGGCTAATTTTTTGTATTTTTAGTAGAGACGGGGTTTCACCGTTTTAGCCGGGATGGTCTCGATCTCCTGACCTCGTGATCCGCCCGCCTCCGCCTCCCAAAGTGCTGGGATTACAGGCGTGAGCCACCGCGCCCGGCCTCCTGCCCTAAAGTCTTTAGTGGTTTCCCACAAACCATTAAGCTTTGAACTGACCATTATATTGGCCTGCTACTGACAATTAACTCAGCACGGCTGGCGGCTGGTAGGTTGAGAGAGACAGCGAACCCCGACACCAGATAATCCCTCCGTCCCTTCTGGTCCTAACATTGTGGCATTCCAGTGATGACCTGCTTCCTTATAAATTATTTTCACAGAACTCTTGTAACTATGGTAAGTCAGATGGAGTCCTTCCCTGGAGACAGAGAAAAATGGGAGACAACCAGAAAAAGCCACTTGGAGCCCTGAGAGTGTGGTTTTCCAGAAGGAAGACACCCTGGCTTACCTGGGCAGCCTGGCCAGCCTCCTGGACCCAAGGACGTGGTCACAATAAAACTGCTCATGTCAGACTTGCCCTTGTATATTTATAGTTCCACTCACCCTTAGCCCTTTCCAGAAGTTCAAAGTCAGGACTGGCAATATCTCTCTTCCTGCATATTAAGAGGACTGTTTCAGACCCAAACTAAAAAAAAGTCTAAGGGTTTCTAATAAATGAGTGCAAGAGAATGCAAAAGCACACTTCTTCCCTCCCCCCAGCAGACAGGTCATATAGGGTCACAACGGGTTACCCTTCCGGACAGAGGCAGCAGTGTTTAATTATTCAATCTGCAGGTGTTATGGGTGCCCACAATGTGTCAGGCCCTGGGCTGACTGCTGAGACACACAGATGGCGGCCCCCGCCACTTTCCTGAGAAAAATTACATCATTCCACCAAGCCTGAAACCACTGAGTTTTTCTAAGTTACCACACACACCCACTTCCAAAGTAAAAATGCACCCTGGAGGATTTTATGTGCATTGGAACTTTCATTTCAAGGCTATAACCAGTTCAGTCACCCTATATAGGATGGCCAGCCGAAGTCCCTCACCGGATCTCTCAAGGCTTCCTTGTCCCAAGGTCTTATAAGCAAATACGATGGAAAAGGATTACTTCTCTCTCCTTCGAGAAAGGGAAAGCATAGCTCGATTGGCAGGTTTTTTTTGTTTTTGTTTTTGTTTTTGTTTTGATATGGAGTCTCACTCTGTCACCCAGTCTGGAGGGCAATGGTGTGGTCTCGGCTCACTGCAACCTCCGCCTCCCGGGTTCAAGCGATTCTCCCGGCTCAGCCTCTCAAGTAGCTGGGACCACAGGCATGTGCCATCATACCCGGCTAATTTCTGTATTTTTAGTAGAGAGGGGGTTTCACTATGTTGGCCAGGTTGGTCTCAAACTCCTGACCTTGTGATCTGCCTGCCTTGGCCTCCCAAAGTGCTGGGATTACAGGCGTGAGCCACTGTGCCCAGCTGTTCAATTGGCATTTTTAGAGAAAAGATGTAAAAATATTCAGCCTCACTCAAAACCAAAGAAATGGCCAGGCACAGTGGCTCATGCCTGTAATCCCAACAATTTGGGAGGCCGAGGTAGGTAGATCACTTGAGCTCAGGAGTTCGAGACCAGCCTGGGCAACATGGTGAAACCCCCCCATCTCTACAAAAAATACAAAAATTAGGCTGGGGGCGGTGGCTCACGCCTGTAATCCCAGCACTTTGGGAGGCCAAGGTGGGCAGATCACTTGAGGTCGGGAGTTTGAGACCAGCCTGGCCAACATAGTGAAACCCTGTCTCTAATAAAAATACAAAAAATTAGCCAGGTGTAGTAGTTTGTGTCTGTAATCCCAGCTACAGGAGGCTGAGGCAGGAGAAGTGCTTGAACCTGGTAGGCAGAGGTTGCACTCCAGCCTGGGTGACAGAGTGAGACTCTGTCTCAAACAAACAAACAAACAAACAAACAAAACAAAAATTAGCTAGGCGTGGTGGTATGCATCTGTAGTCCCAGCTACTCAGGAGACTGAGGTGGGAGGATGGGAGGATGGCTTGAGCCTGGGAGGCAGAGGTTGCAGTGAGCCAAGATTGTGCCACTACACTCCACCTTGGGCAAAAGAGCCAGACCCTGTCTCAAAGTAATATTAATAATAATAATAAATAAAAGAAAAAGAAATGCTAATTAAATGAACCATTAATTTTTGTCAGTCAACCTGGTAAATATTAAAACAGGGTTTAAATACATAACATTGGCAAGAGAGCATTGCCATCTTAGCAGGGAGTGTGATATGGTTTGGCTCTTTGTCCCCACCCAAATCTCATTTCAAATTGTAATTCCCACTTGTCAAGGGAGGGATCTGGTGGGAGGTGATTGGATCATAAGGGCTGTTCCCTCATGCTGTTCTCATAATAGTGAGTGAGTTCCCACGAGATCTGATTTTGTTTTTTTTTTTTAACAGAGTCTCGCTCTGTTGCCCAGGCTGGAGTGCAGTGGCGCGATCTCAGCTCACTGCAAGCCCCGCCTCCCGGGTTCACGCCATTCTCCTGCCCAAGCCTCCCAAGTAGCTGGGACTACAGGTGCCCGCTACCATTCTCGGCTAATTTTTTGTATTTTTAGTAGAAACAGGATTTCACTGTGTTAGCCAGGATGGTCTGGATCTCCTGACCTCGTGGAGATCTGATTGTTTATAACAGACAGTTTCCCCTGTGCTCTTGCTTGCCTGCCGCCATTTAAAACGTGTCTTGCTTCCCCTTTGTCTTCTGCCATGATTGTAAGTTTCCTGAGGCCTCCCCAGCCATGCGGAAATGTGAGTCAATTAAACCTCTTTCCTTTATAAATTATGCAGTCTCAGGTATTCTTCATAGCAGTGTGAAAACTGACTAATACAGAGCATACATGGAGGCTACTCAATGGGCATACCTTTGATCCACTAATTCTACTTATTTCAATTTATCCTAAAGAGACAAAGGTGAACATTACAAATTTTTTACAGTAAATATACATTACTCCATCTAGCATAACTTGTATAATGAGGGGGGGAAAAGCAAAACTATTTTTATTTTATTTTTTATTTATTTATTCTTTTTTTGAGACAGAGTCTTGCTCTGCTGCCTAGGCTGGAGTGCAGTGGCACAATCTTGGCTCACTGCAACCTCTGCCTCCTGGGTTCAAGCAATTCTCCTGCCTCAGCCTCCCAAGTATCTGGGACTACAGGCACACGCTGCCACGCCTGGCTAATTTTTTTGTTTGTTTGTTTGTATTTTTAGTAGAGACGGGGTTTCACCACATTGCCCAGGCTGGTCTCGAACTCCTGAGCTCAGGCAATCGGCCCGTCTCAGCCTCCCAAAGTGCTGGGATTACAGGTATGAGCCACTGCACCCAGCTGCAACACTATTTTTAAAACAGCCAGATGCAAGAGAATCTCTTGAACACAGGAGGCAGAGGTTGCAGTGAGCTGAGATCACTCCAGCCCGGATGACAAAGCAAGACTCTGTCTCAAAAACAAAACAAAACAAAAACAAAACCACCCAGGTGAGTGACAGGGGTAAAGAAATGGACCTCTTGGATGATTCCTGCAAAGTCCCCTGATTCCTCACCTATGCAGACAAGACTTTTTTTTTTTTTTTTTTTTTTTTTTTGAGACAGGGTCTTGCTCTGTCGCCCAGGCTGGAGTGCAGTGGCGCAGGAACAGCTCACTGCAGCTTCAACCTCCCAGGCTCAAGCGATCCTGGGACTACAGGCGAACACCACCACACATGGCTAATTTTTGAATTTTTTGTAGAGAGACTCCCACTATGTTGCCCAGGTGATCTTGAACTCCTGAGCTCAAGTGATCGCCCACCTTGGCCTCCCAAAGTGCTGGGCTTATAGGCATAAGCCACTGTGCCTGGCTACAGACAAGACATCTATGGAATGTTAGGAAAGCTGGATTTGAGGATGATCTTGTGTCAGGAAGACCTGAGACAGTGGCAGCCAGTTTCTATCTCACTGTTAAAGCTGTAGCATCCGGCCACGCATAGTGGCTTATGCCTGTAATCTCAGCACTTTGGGAGGCTGAGGTGGGCGGATCACTTGAGGCCAGGAGTTTGACACCAGCCTCGCCAGCATGGTGAAACCCCGTCTCTACAAAAATACAAAAATTAGCCAAGTGAGTGTGGTGGTACATGCCTATAGTCCCAGCTACTCAGGAGGCTGAAGCACAAGAACCGACTGAACCCGGGAGGTGGAGGCTGCGGTGAGCCGAGGTCATGCCACTGCATTCCAGCCTGGGCAACAGAGCAAAATTATGTTGCGGAAAAAAAAAAAAAAAAAAAAGCTGTAACGTCCACGCTGATATCTAGGACAATTTGTAAAAATCTCAAGTGTCTTTGTTCTTTGTCAGTTAGCAGAAAAGTTTGTCATTGCAGTAGTTCTGTGGCATTCTCACTCCCCAGAGCATCTGAATAAAGCCAGAAGAGCTACCCCTCCCTGTGGGGCAGCTAGCTCAGGGATGGTTTAGCAAGGCTTGAGGCTGTGCCAGTGAAAAATGCTTGAGAATTTTTGAAAAATACAAGTCCTTCTTCAGCCCTTTATTCAAATCTCCTCTGAAGTAACACCACCAACAAGTTTACCAGGTTGTCGGGAGGCCTAAAAATTGTTGTTTTAAGTGCCTCAAGCTAAAGCCAATGCTAAGGCTTGCTCTCCTGTAGAGGAGGATGGGCAGACTCTCTGGGGGAAATATGACCTGTGTTTTTCAGCCTCTTTTCCAAAGAGGGGCAATTCCTTTCACTCACCAGAAAGAGCAGCTGCACACAAGACTGCAGTGATCTGTGCCCTAGGGGCAAAGCAACTGCTCTCTTTGCCACCATCAAGTCCCACTCATCCCCAATCAGGCCTTATTCAGGAGTGGGCTCATTATTTTCCATCACCTTGGTCAGGGGTGGTGGCTCATGCCTGTAGTCCCAGTGCTTTGGGAGGCCAAGGCAGGTGGATCCCTTGAGGCCAAGAGTTTGAGACCAGCCTGGGCAACAGAGACAGGCCAACAGAAGAAAACAAGAAGAAGAAGGAGGTAGAGGAGGAGGGAGGAGGAGGGAGGAGGAGGGGGGAGGAGGGAGGAGGAGGAAGGAGGAGAGGGGAGGAGGGAGGAGAGGAGAAGAAGGGGGGAGGAGGAGGGAGTGGAGGAGGGGGTAGGAGGAGAAGGAGGAGGAGGAGAAGGAGGAGAAGGGAGGAGGAGGGGGCAGGAGGAAGGGAGGAGGAGGAAGGAGGAGGAGGGAGGAGGAGGGAGGAGGGGGAGGAGGGAGGAGAGGAGAGGAAGGGGGAGGAGGAGGGAAAGGGGGAGGAGGAGGGAGAGGAGGAGGGGGTAGGAGGAGGGAGAGGAGGAGGGGGTAGGAGGAGGAGGAGAAGGAGGAGAAGGGAGGAGGGGGGAGGAGGGGGAGGAGGAGGGGGGAGGAGGAGGAGGAAGAAGGACAGGAGGAGGAGTAGGAGAAGAAGAGGAGGAGAAGGGGGAGGAGAGAGAAGAATTTTCCATCACCCTGTGGGTCTCAGGACTGAGGCCCGGCTCTGCCACCTACTTGCTGTGTGACCCTGCGGGCCAGTCACTTCCTCTGAGCCTCAGTAAAACTACATGGAAGGGCATTTGTGTGGGCTTTGTGGTTGTCGTTTGCACTCCAATTGGCAAATGACTCACATCCTTTCAAGAAGGGTAGTTTGGAGAGTAGAACGGCCTAAAAGTCTGGTGGGCGTGGACGGAGAAGAGGAAGCTGGGAGAGGAGACTCCGAACCTCCGAGGCTCAAGCGGCGCGCATTTGCGGCCGAGGCTTCAGGGGACACGGCCAGCAGGGGGCGCGGCCCGGCGAGCTCGCTCCCAGGAGGCGCATGCTGTAGGAGACCGCAGAGTCGGCTGCGTCAGCAGGCAATGGCCTTGGAGCACCGGCCTGAGCTACCCAGGGAGACGGTGGATCTCCAGGAAACCGCGAGTGCCTAGGAGCCCCTCCCCACCTTTTCCGGGGAAGCCCTGGTCGGAGCGAGCCGGTGAGCAACTCTATGCAAAAAGCATGCGAGCACTGGGGGCTGCGCACAAGGGTGGTGTGCAAGGGTGTCAGCACCCCAGGTTGGGGCTGCAGGGATCTCACCTCGGCCTGAGCAGGCGCGCGGTTGGAATTGGCCAGGACAGAACACCAAGTGGAAAAACACGTTTACGACAAAGAGAAGGCGTTTTGATAACAACAACGATTTATTTCTGTATTTCTTCTCTATCCCCTTTTCCTCCCCGTGTGCACACCTGTTTATATGCAGAGAAAAGTTTAGTAGGACACACAAGCCAGCAGTTACCAATGCTTATCTCTGGGTCATAAAACTGTAGGTCTATTTCTTTATTTCTTTATTTTTGAGACAGTCTCCCATCAGGCTGCAGTGCAGTGGCGCAATCATAGCTCACTGCATTTGAACTCCTGGGCTCAATAGATCCTCCTACCTCAGCTTCCTAAGTAGCTGGGACTACAGGTGTGCACCACCACAGCCCAGCTGGAACTCTTACATTCTTTATTTTTCCATTTATTTCATTATTTACTATTCTTATATCTTTTTAATTAAAAAAAATTTTTTTTTACTAATTTATTTAATAGAGACATGGTCTTGCTATGTTGCCAGGGCTGGTTTTGAACTCCTGGGCTCAAGCAATCCTCTCCAGTCACCCAAAGTGCTGGGATCACAGGTGTGAGCCACCACTCCAGCCCTACTCATTTTTTTTTTTTTTTAAATAGAGACAGAGTCTCGCTCTGTTACCCGGGGTTGGTGTCAAACTCCTGGACTCAAACAATCCTCCTGCCTCAGCCTCCGAAAGTGCTGTGATCACAGGCGTGAGCCACCGCCTCTGGCCTACTTTTCTTATTTTTAAACATGGAACATATATTTAATAATCAGGAACAATTCATTAAAGTCTGCCTTACACACTTACACATAGGAGTGGGAGGGAAGAAGACACAGCACACCCACTCTCTGGGGCAAGAAGGCAACAGAGAAGAGGCCAGGTTGCAGCTGCACCTGCCCTGTGGGTGAGGACTGGAGGCACCGCCCTTGTAGATAGGAAATCCAGGAAGGCTTTCGGGAGAGATCTGAAGGAAGTTATGGAGAGAAAACAGCAGGGGCAAAGGTCCTGGCCTTGTGGGCCAAAGGAAGGGCTTGGATTTTATGGCCAGGGCTGCCTGCCCCATCTCCAACCCTTGGGCCAGGGCTGGAAAGGACTTGAGAGGGCATCTCCCTCCTGCTTTCCTAAAGCATGCTCCCTGGAACACGATCCCACAAAATGTTCTGAGAGAAAAGATCCATAGCCCACTACCCCACCTTGGAAGAGATTCAGAATGCACAGTGTGTATAGTCAAGGCTTTAAAATTCTGCAGTAAAAGGAATCCATCCAGTTTTATTGCAGCAATGCCAAATGTTTCCCCATGAACCTCCTCTTTGCTGTAGAAACTAGTCACATCTGGCTGGACCCATGTACTTTGTGAGACACCCTTCTATCCATTTTTTTTAAGACAGAGTCTTGCTCTGTTGCCCAGGCTGGAGTACAGTGGCGTGATTATAGCTCACTGCAGCCTTGACCTCCTGGGCTCAGGCAATCCTCCTGCCTCAGCCTCCTGAGTAACTGGGACTACAGGCATGTGCCACCACTCCCAGCTAAGTTTTATTTTTTGTAGAGACGAGACTCACTATGTTGCCCAGGCTGGTCTCAAACTCCTGAGTACAAGCAATCCTCCTGCCTTGACCTTCCAAAATGCTGGGATTGGAGATGTGAGCCACCTCGCCCAGCCCATCCATTCTTTAAGGTGTAAAATAAAGTACAGAGACCTAAACTGACTTCTGCAGGTTCTCTTTTTTTTTTTTTGAGACCGAGTCTCGCTCTGTCGCCCAAGCTGGAGGGCAGTGGTGCCATCTCGGCTCACTGCAACCTCCACCTCCAGGGTTCAAGCGATTCTCCTGTCTCGCCCTCCCGAGTAGCTGGGACTACAGGCGCGTGCCACCACACCCGGCTGATTTTTTTTTATTTTTAGTAGAGACGGGGTTTCACCATGTTAGCCAGGATGGTGTGGATCTCCTGACCTCGTGATCCATCCACCTCGGCCTCCCAAAGTGCTGGGATTACAGGTGTGAGCCACCGCACCCGGCCTTCTTCTGCAGGTTCTCTAGAATCCCACTTTAAGCTCCTGGCTGAGGTGGGTCTGGACCCCATTCTCTGGACTCCCATCAAGCCACTTTCCTGGAAGCTTCCCACATTTAGTAGTTGAAGGAGCCAGTTTGGACATCTCCAAAGTCAGAGAGAGAGCTCCTGTATGCTCCTCCAGGGAAGACAGTTAGCATCTCCAGCTCCATGCTGTGGTTTTTTATTTATTTATCTTTAGATAATGACTATAACTTAATTTTAATTTTTTATTTTATGCTTTTTTTTTTTTTTTTTGAGATGGAGTCTCACTGTGTCACCCAGGCTTGAGTGCAGTGGTGAGATCTTGGCTCACTGCAACCTCCACCTCCCGGGCTCAGATGATTCTCCTGCCTTAGCCTTCCGTGTAGCTGTGATTACAGGCATGCACCACCACGCCCAGCTAATTTTGTATTTTTAGTAGAGACAGGGTTTCACCATGTTGGCCAGGCTGGTCTTGAACTCCTGACCTCAGGTGATCCACCCGCCTTGGCCTCCCAAAGTGCTGGGATTACAGGCATGAGCCACCATGCCCGGCCTATGCTTCTTTTTCTTTTCTTTTTTTTTGAGACAGAGTCTCACTCTGTCGCCCAGGCTGGAGTGCAATGGTGCAATCTCAGCTCACTGCAACCTCTGCCTCCCAGGTTCAAGCGATTTTCCTCCTCAGCCTCCCAAGTAGCTGGGATTACAAGCACCCACCATCATGCCTGGCTAATTTTTGTATTTTTGTAGAGATGGGGTTTCACCATGTTGGCCAGGCTAGTCTTGAACTCCTGACCTCAGGTGACCTGCCAGCCTTGGCCTCCCAAAATGCTGGGATTACAGGCGTGAGGCACTGCACCTAGCCTCTTTTTCCTTTGCAAAATCATTGGTAAAGAAAGACTATAATTTAAATATACCCATGCATTGCCTTCATTTCCAGGGTGCTAACAATGTATGGGTATTTCTGAGCCTGCTCCCTGACCCCCACTGCCTCCATGGGAAATACAGTTTCAAACACACTCATAGAAAGTCAAGCACTCTTTAATCAGCCATTAGCAACAATCAAACCCTATAAACCTTCACCTGAACAACCCAGTTCTCCATAGAAGTCTGAGAATCCAAACTGGGTATATTTTCTTCCCTGTTGAGGACCAGGAGGACACTTTGGCCTGGAGGCTTGTGTAGGAAGTGCACAGCCCATGACCTCTACTTTCCCCAAAGACAAGAGCCTCCCCTGGCACAGGGTACCCCATGTGATGTGGCAGTTTAAGAGGCTGGGCAGACACAAGAATCCCAGCACTGCCATTGGTCAAATGAGTGACTTGTGCAAGGAACCTCAACTGCATTTGGAGCCTCAGTTTCTCTATCTGCTGAATGGGGGCAGCCGTTCCCATGTATATTGTGGGGGCAGACCCTCCCCCAGCTGTGTGTTCACTGCAGAATGGGGGGCAGGGAGAAGTATGCAGAGTGCTGGAGCACAGCTGCCCTCCTTTCCTTGGCTCAAGAGCTATTTCTGTCTGAAGAACTAGGACCTGTCACTGTAATCAGGGCACCCCCATCTCCAGGCTATGCTGAAGACTGGGTCAACTTTATTTTATTTTTAAAAAAAAATTTTTTTGAGACAGAGTCTGGCTCTGTCACCCAGACTAGAGTGCAGTGGTGCAATTTCGGTTCAGTGCAACCCCCGCCTCTTAGGTTCAAGCTTCTCATGCCTCAGCCTCCCAAGTAGCTGAGACTACAGGCAGACGCCACCACACCGAGCTAATTTTTGTACTTTTAGTAGAGATGGGGTTTAGTAGAGATGTTGGTCGGGCTGGTCTTGGTCTCCTGACCTCAAGTGATCCACCCAAGTAGATCAAGTGATGGGTCTCCCAAAGTGCTGGGATTACAGGCGTGAGCCACTGCGCCCCGCCTTGGTCAACTTTTTTTTTTTTTTTTGAGATGGAGTGTAGCTCTTGTTGCCCAGGCTGGAGTGCAATGGCACAGTCTCGGCTCACTGCAACCTCCGCCCTCCGGGTTCAAGCGATTCTCCTGCCTCAGCCTCGCAAGTAGCTGGGATTACAGGCACCCACCACCATACCCGGCTAATTTTGTATTTTTTTTTATTAGAGATGGGGTTTCACCATGTTGGCCAGGCTGGTCTCGAACTCCTGACCTCAAGTGATCCACCCACCTTGGCCTCCCAAAGTGCTGGAATTATAGGCATGAGCTACCATGCCTGGCCTGGGTCAACTTTAATTTGGCTTTTTCTCACACCTTCAGTTCCATGTAACTGCCTCCAGGCCCTTGCCCTTGCTGTTCCCTGTTTGGAATGCCCTCTTCTTTTTCTTCTTTTTTTTTTTTTGGAGATGAAGTCTCGCTCTGTCACCCAGGCTGGAGTGCAGTGGCTCGATCTCAGCTCACTGCAACTTCCACCTCCTGGGTTCAAGCAATTCTCCTGCCTCAGCTTCCCGAGTAGCTGGGATTACAGGCATGTGCCACCACGCCTGGCTAGTTTTTTTTTTTCTTTCTTTTAGCAGAGATGGGGTTTCACTGTGTTGCCCAGGGTGGTCTCGAACTCCTAACCTTGAGACCTGCCCTCCTCGGCCTTCCAAAGTGCTGAGATTACAGGCGTGAGCCCCTGCGTGCTGGGATTACAGGCGTAAGCCACCGCGCCCGGCCCTCTGCCCTCTTCTATCCTTCATAGTTTCGGGGAGAAGTGCACGTCCTTTCCCCAGGAGTCCAGTGGTTGTGGCGCTGGCCAGCTGTCTGCTCCGTCCAGTGCCGGAGCTTCTAGCCAGCAGAAGAAGCAAGAGCTGAGGGCATCAGTGAAACAGGAGATAAACAACAGCAAAAATATTTTATATAGTTTGACAAGTAGCAACCTGCCAGGCAAACTCTTTTCCAGCACAGCCAGGCTCAGGCCCCGGGTGGTGGATCCCCGGCTAGGATGCACTGAAGACACAGCCGCAGCTTTAAACGTGGCCACCAGGGGGCGAGAACAGATTGCGGGAAGCACCTGAGCTTCTCATTTCCCAGAGTGGAGGGAGGAAGAGTGTGGAAGAGTGTGGAGTGTGTGTGTGTGTGTGTGTGTGTGTGTGTGTGTGTGTGTGTGTGTCTTCACTCCTTTTCAGGGACCTAGTGTGGGGCGGGGGGCTTTACTCCTTTTCAGGGGCCTAGAGCTTGCTCAGACTTCGTTCTGGGATAGACCAATCGTGGCCCGAGCAACTCCTGGCTGTGTGACCCAGAGCAAATGTCTTAATCAATTTGATCCTCAGTATCTCAGTTGCAAAATGGGAATAAGGCCGGGCACAGTGGCTTATGCCTGTAATCCCAACATTTTGGGAGGCCGAGGCAGGAGGCTCACCTGAGGTCAGGAGTTCGAGACCGGCCTAGCCAACCATGGCCAAGGTGGTGAAACTCGTCTCTACTAAAAATACAAAAATTAGCCGTGCGTAGTGGCAGGTGCATTTAATCCCAGCTACTCGGGAGGCTGAGGCAGGAGAATCACGAACCTGGGAGATGGAGGTTGCTGTGAGCCGAGATCCTGCCACTGCACTCCAGCCTGGGCGACAGAGCAAGACTCTGTCTCAAACAAACAAACAAAAATGAGAGAAAGAATAGTACCTATCTCAGAAGGTTTGGGGTCTTGGCTGGGCATAATGGCTCATGCATGTAATCCCAGCACTTTGAGAGGCCAAGCTGGGAGGATTGCTTGAGGTCAGGAGCTCAAGACCAGCCTGGGCAATATGGGGAGACTCCATCTCTACTAAAAATTTAAAAAATTAGCTAGGAGTGGTGGATACTCTGGGGGCTGAGTTGGGAGGATCGCTTGAGCCCAAGAGGTTAAGGCTGCAGTGAGCCATGATAGCGCCACTGCACTCCATCCTGGATGACACAGTGAGACCTTCTCTCAAAACATTAATTAATTACTTATTTTTTAAAAAGGTCTTGGGTCTGATTAAATGAGTCAGTTCATGGACTGTTCACTGATGGGCCATTCCACAGGCACATGGAGCATGTTCTCAAAGACACCAAAGGAAGGTGCTCTAAAACAATTTGTTACTTAACATTTTATTAAAACAAAAGCAACATGAGGGAAATCACAATTATGTTTACCTTCCCTGTAGTTACTTGTCAGTTCGGTATCATTTTGGACTATTTTTCTGTTTAGTGACATACTTGAGGACCCCGTCATCCTCTTGGTGTGTGACTTAAGTGGGTTTTCAGCCCACAGAGGTCTCCACAGGAGCTATAGATGACAGGGCCCCCACTGTCTGTTCAGGGGTGCAGTTCGTGGAGGGCCCAGAGCAGTTGAGCAGAAGAGGTCCATGCAGGACCCAGAGAAGTATAGGTTCTGTTGCATCCTCTGCAGAAAGCCTGGGGTCTTGGGCAGCAAGGCCCTTATAGGGTCCCCCCACCTTCCACCCCCAGAGACCAGCCTGCTCCCCCAGGATTTGGCTATGGGGATGCTGCACCTCAGAGTCCCTTGTCAATGTTCCCACCTGGGCCTCCGCCTCCTTCAGACCAACCCCAACACTTTATTCACTGCCCTCCTGGGGTGCACTTCCCCCAAGCGTAGCTTCTCCTCTCGTCCCCTAGGCTTGTTGTACCATTCTGAAGAGCATCTCGGGGAAGGGATTGTCACATGGATGGGGAGACCCCTGGCATTTGGGGTGGTCACAGGTGCCAGGATTCCTCCCCAGTTCCACACAACAAGGGATTGTTTGAATTCTTCCTGACCTTCGAGTGTCCCACCAGCATGTTCAGACAGGTGAACGATCTGTTTTGTTTTGTTTTTTGAGACAGACTCGCTCTGTTGCCCAGGCTGGAGTTCAGTGGCACAATCTTGGCTCACTGCAACCTCTGCCTCCTGGGTTCAAGCAATTCTTCTGCCTTGGCCTCCCTAGTAGCTGGGATTACAGATGTCCACCACCACACCCAGCTAATTTTTGTATTTTTAGTAGAGACAGCGTTTCACCATGTTGACCAGGCTGGTCTCGAACTCCTGACCTCGGGTGATCCTCCTGCCTCGGCCTCCCAAAGTGCTAGGATTACAGGCGTGAACCACCATGCCCAGTCTTGTTTTGTTTTGTTTTGTTTTGTTTTGTTTAACCAGGTCTCTACAGGTATCTGATGAACAATCTGTTTATCATCATTTGAACCTACAACCTTGCTCTGTTTTATTTGGAAACACAAAGGGATTTTTGCACAGTCTTAAAATGTAGAATATTTTCCAAGAATACAATTATCATGTGAAATGAGGGAAGATGGTACTTTGTGTTGAGAATTTTACCAGGAGTTATCATCATCTAGGAAACTCACACCGTGGGGGCAAAGAGACTCACTTTCCTCTGCCTGGTATGCATCTGAAGCCGCTATTTATGGAGCTTCAAAATAAGGTACAGGCTGGGTGTGGTGGCTCATGTCTGTAATCTCAGCACTTTGGGAGGCCAGTGTGGGAGAATTACTTGAGACCAGGAGTTCAAGACCAGCCTGAGCAACATGGTGAAACCCTATCTCTACCAAAAAATACAAAAATTAGCCAGGCATGGTAGTGCACACCTGTAGCCCCAGCTACTGGGGAGGCTGAGGCAGGAGGATCGCTTGAGCCCAGGAGGTCAAGGTTGCAGTAAACTATGATCGCATCACCAGACTCCAGCCTGGGTGACAGAGGGAGACCCTATCTCTAAAAAAAAAAAGAAGAAAAACAATATGGGTACAAACATCAGAAGACTTCATCACATCTTTAGTGGCGTTGTCCCCCACCATTTACATACTGACATAAATATTATTTTTATTTAAAATTACATGATTTGTGTATATACATACAATTTTATTTTTTATTTTATTTTACTTTTTTTTTGAGACAGAGTCTCACGCTGTCGCACAGGCTGGAGTGTAGTGGCACGATCTCAGCTCACCGCAAGCTCCGCCTCCTGAGTTCACGCCATTCTCCTGCCTCAGCCTCCCAAGTAGCTGGGACTACAGGCGCCCACCACCACGCCCAGCTAATTTTTTGTATTTTTATTAGAGACGGGGTTTCACTGTGTTAGCCAGGATGGTCTTGATCTCCTGACCTCATGATCCGCCCGCCTCGGCCTCCCAAAATGCTGGGATTACAGGCGTGAGCCACCGTGCCCAGCCTATAAATACAATTTTATTTATATTCATTTAAATACATATATTGTATTATATATTATAAATTACTGCCCTTTATATTACAATTAAGGCATCAAAGTGATTTTTTGAAATTGCGTGCATAGATTAGTTTGAATTTCATTTCAGGCTCATAATGGGAGGCATTGGATTTATTAATATAAAAGTAGGCTCTGAGAATCTCACAAACATAAGCAAAAAATCCGGAAATAAAAGAGGTTTCTGAAAAGAATGACTTCATTTATTGGAAGTTCAAAGTCAGGCAAATATCATTTATACTCTTAGAAGTCAGGATGATGTTTACTTTGAGAAGGTAATAACTCGGTGGGGACATGTGGGGCTTGGGGTGCAGGAAATACACTTTTGTTGATCTGGATCCTACTTACACAGATGTGTTCAGGTTGTGAAAGTGCATCAAGGGTATATACTGGCCAGGCCTAGTGGCTCATGCCTGAAATACCAGCACTTTGGGAGGCTGAGGCAGGTGGATCACCTGAGGTCAGGAGTTCGAGACCAGTCTGGCCAACATGGTGAAACCCGGTCCCTACTAAAGATACAATTAGCTGGGCACAGTGGCGGGCGCTTGTAATCCCAGCTACTCAGGAAGCTAAGGCAGGAGAATTGCTTGAACCCAGGAGGTGGAGGTGCAGTGAGCCGAGATCACGCCATTGCACTCCAGCCTGGGCAACAAGAGCAAAACTCCGTCTCAAAAAAAACCAACCAACCAAACAACCAAACAAAAAAAACCTTAAAGAAGGAGGGTATGTAGTTTTCTGTACCTATATTACATTTCAATAAAAAAATTAAAATCAAAATTAACATCACCAAAAAAGGTACAAATCAATATCAAGTGCCTATTGATATTGATATGACACTGAAAATTGATCATTTTTAATTATATTCCAACAAAATAACCTCAATATTTTCATGCAAAAACATCAAACAAACCCAATTTGAGGATATCTTACTACCTAACTAGTTGTCTTCCTTCCCCCTCCCTCCCTTCCCCTCCCTTCCCCTCCCCTTCCCTACCCTCTCCTCCCCTTCTTTTTTTTTGAGACAGGGTATCCCTCTGTTGCCCAGGCTGGAGTGCAATGGTACAGTATTGGCTCAGTGCAGCCTCAACCTCCTGAGCTCAAGAGATCCGCTACCTCAGCCTCCTGAATAGCTGGGATCACAGGGTGCTGCACCACCATGCCCTGCTAATTTTTAAATTTTTTTTGTAGAGACAGAGTCTCACTGTGTTGCCCGGAGGTGGTCTTGAACTCCTGGGCTCAAGCGATCCTCCCACCTTGGCCTCCCAAAGTGCTGGGATTACAGGCATGAGCCACCGCGCCTGGCCCTAACCAGTATTTCTCAACCTTATCAATGTGGTCAAAGACAAAGCGATTGGGAAGTTGTTCTAGATAAAGGGAGACTAAAGAGACTCAGCAGCTAATTGCAGTGCATGGTCTGGGTTTTTTTTTGTTGTTGTTGTTATAAAGGCCTTATTAGGACAATTAGCAAAATCTGAACAAAGTATGTGGATTAGATAATAGTATTGCAGCAATGCTAGTTTCCTGATTTCGATTCTTGTACTGTGGTTATGTAAGAGAATGTCCTTGTTTTTTTGTTTTTAGACAGGGTCTCATTCTGTCACCCAGGCTGGAGTGCGGTAGCACGATCTCTGCTCACTGCAACCTCTGCCTCCCGGGTTCAAGCTATTCTCCCACCTCAGCCTCTCCGGTATCTGGGACTACAGGTGTGTGCCGCCATGCCCAGCTAATTTTTGTATTTTTTGGTAGAGACGGGGTTTCACCACGTTGGCCAGGCTGGTCTCGAACTTCTGACCTCAGGTGATCTGCCCACCTCAGCCTCCCAAAGTGCTGGGATTACAGGCATGAGCCACCATGCCTGTTCTCATTGTATTATTCTTTTGACTTTTCTGTACGTTTGAAATTATGTTAAAATAGCCTGGCGTGGTGGCATGCGCCCATAATCTCAGCTACTTGGGAGGCTGATGCAGGAGGATCCTTTGAACCAGGAGGTTGAGGCTGCAGTGAGCTGTGATTGAGCCACCAGATGCCAGCTGGGGTGACAGACTGAGACCTTGTCTATACAATGAAAAAAATAAAACATAAAATATCAAAATACAAAGTTAAAAGAAAAAAACTTAAAAAACATATTTAGAGGTGAGGAGCTCTGGGTCTGATAGCAGAACCTTAAATGCTGGCTATTCATTTCCGTTTCCACAGTTGCAAGCCCAGTTTTCAGAAAAGGGGCAGAAAAAGAAGGAAGAAAAAGAAATGCAAAGCCCAGCACCTCCGGCCATAGCAGGTTCTGAGTGCTTCAGATACTGAGGGTTCATCTCTAGGGGTCTTAGTTTACAGCAAAGACTTGGCAAGGTTGGCTTAGGTGGTTAAGCTCTCGCCTGCTAACAGACACCTGATATTTTTCTCCAGGCCCCCTCTCATTTATTTTTGCTCACTGGTACTTCTCCAAACCCCTGCATCATGACCTATGACCTCTGACCTCACGGGGTGCCAGGCTCAAGGCAGGCGCCTCAAAGACTGTAAAACTGGATGCTGATGCCCTGACCTGAGCCCCTAGGAGTTGCCATAGCCACCCCTGCTGCCGGCTAAAGCAGCCAGGTTGGCGCTGAGCACTCCATCCCCAGCCTGGGGTCAAAGGGTGCCTGTGAGCCTCTTTGCACTCAGTGGACCAGAGCTGCAAAGTGGGGAGGGGTTCCCCTCCAGGGTCTTTCCACTACCCCCAGAAACCACAGGTTTCTGGATTTAGTGCTCGGGCCAGACCTTCGAAGGCTTGGCGGCCTCCAAAATATCTTTTCAGCTCACCTGGCCCTGCCTGGAATTGTACCATTAGAGCCACGCTCTCCAGGAAAGAAATCATTTCCAAGCATTGACTTCTCTGAAAGTCAGACCTCGTTGTTGTATGGGTCATGGTTCACGAACTTGGATATGTGAAAAACATAGAATGCCTTTATTTTCTGTAAATCAATTAAATCTCGCTCTGCGCTCCTATTATTGGGCTGCTGGGAAATTCAGCCTACAGATGGTCCTGTCACATTGATGGACTAAGGTCTGGGGGGCTTGGGGTCTCCTCCAGTTATTAGCCCTTGCTGGTTTTGCCCCAGCCCCGTGGCCCCTTTCAGTTTAGGAGGCACATGGGGTGACCCATAGCCTGAGATCTTGTGTGTTTTGCCCCCCAGCTCAGCCACAAGTCTGACTCTACTTCTGGGGAGGGAATCCACTTTCTCTCCTCCTTCAAGTTCTACCTGAGGCCTTCCAGGACTCCCATGGACACATTTTACAAATGGGGAAACTGAGGCCTGGCGAAGCGCTCACACAGCAGACTGAAAAGGAGGCGATAACATCCTCCTTTTCATCCCAACAAGGTGTTACTGACTGTGGCCTTCGCAGCGGCACTTGCATTCATCAGGCAACCATGTCTTACCTGTGCACAGTGCACATCCAATGGCAGGATTTCAGGCACTATGACAAGCTGCCAGGGAGTTATTTGGAGCGGGGAGTTCTTCTTTCTTTCTCTTTCTTTCTTTCTTTCTTTCTTTCTTTCTTTCTTTCTTTCTTTCTTTCTTTCCTTTCTTTCTTTCTTTCCTTCCTTCCTTCCTTCCTTCTTTCTTTTTTTCTTTCTCCTTCCTTCTGTCCGTCCTTCCTTCCGTCCGTCCTTCCTTCCTTCCTTCCTTCCTTGCTTCCTTCCTTCCTTCTCTTTCTCTCTCTTTCTGTCTTTCTTTCTTTCATGAGATCTTGTTCTGTCATCCAAGCTGGAATGAAATGGTGTGATCAGAGCTCAGAGCTCCTGAGCTCAAGCTATCCTCCCACCTCAGCCTCTTGAGTAGCTAAGACTAGAGGTGTGGACTGCCACCATCAGCTAATTTTAATTTTATTTATTTATTTATTTTTGGTAGGGACAGAGTCTTGCTATGTTGCCAGGCTGGTCTTGAATTCCTGGGCTTAAGTGATCCTCCCACCCTGGCCTCCCAAAGCACTGGGATTACCAGTGTGAGCCACTGAGCCTGGCCAAGTGGCAGGGGTCTTTCTGTTACATAATGCTGTGTGGATAGAGTGAAAAGTCATAAATCCTAGCTCTCCTGCCAACTCACTTTGACAGACTGTTTCCTCTTTGGGCCTCAGTTATTGTATCTATATAATAGGATTAGCTTAGATGCCCTAGGATTCCCTAGATGGCTTGTGTGATGTTGTTCTTGTTGTTTTTGTTGTTGTTTGAGACAGAGTTTTGCTCTGTTGCCCAGTCTGGAGTACAGTGACAGGATCATAGCTCACTGTAGCCTCGACCTCCCAGACTCAAGCAATCCTCCCACCTCAGCCTCCTGAGGAGCTGGGACTACAGGGACATGTCACCATGCCCAGCTAAGTTTTTGGTATTTTTTTTTTTTTTTTTTGTAGAATCATTGCTATTGCCTTGCTCTTCATTCCCCAAGCTGGTCTTGAACTCCTGGGCTCAAGGAATCTGCCTGTCTTGGCCTCCCAAAGTGCTGGGATTACAGGTGTGAGCCATGACACCCAGCTCCTAGATGGCATACTGACCCCATCATGGCTCGCTCTGGCTGAAGAAGTTATACCTCCAAACCCTGCTCCTGAACACTCAAGATCAGCAGTAGCAAGGGCCTATGCTCCAGGTCCCTGGGGGGTCTAGGTAACTGGAGAGACAGGGCTGTGTGCCCTCTGGTATCTCCTGTGTCTGGACATTCATGCTGAGAGCAGGAGCTGAGAAAGGAGGAGGAGAAAGAGATTCAAGTTCTTCCCAAAAACCTGAGGGACCCCCAGGGCTCACGTGCCCCTATGCCTTTCTCGCAATGCCAGTCTAAGAGGGCCTCTTGGTAGGAATAAAGGAACCATCTGCTCACCCTCCTATGTCCCAGAAGACAAAAGCACTTGAGTTGCAGCTGGAGGAATGTAGGTTACACTCATAGACTGCCAAACTGGAAACTGCCAGGGTCCAGGCATGATTCCATCCTGCAGGGCCGAGGAGAGGCAGCAGAAGAAGTTGATGAATTGCACTTGCCAGAATTTGCACTCAAGCCCTGGGTTAGAAGGTGGATTCAAACTAAGTGATGCCTGGTGCTCTCTAAGCCTCAGGAAGAGTCCTCTTCCTCCAGCCCAGGAGGTCCTCAGCCCCTGCTTTAGACCTCAATGACCCCCATGGCCTGTGGATGTAAGGGTAAAGCTCTACCTGGCATTTGAAATCTCTGCAGCCTGGGAGCCCCTGTCTCCTCAGCCCCACTTCTTCTTTTTGTTGATACAGGCTGGGCAAGAGCCAGGCCTTCTTTTTCTGTCTGGTAAATGCTCTCTGCAGCTGAGGCTTCTGCCCCTCTCCTGGAATGCCAGCTTCTTTATTCTGGGCCCCTCCTCCAGGAAACCCTCCCAGACTAATCAAATCTCAACCAAGCCAGGACTACCACCTCCCCTGACTCCCAACACTCCTCTGCAGTCAGTTCCTTGCTGAGGGTCTTGGCCTTTCTCTCAGTGGAACAGGAAAGGCCCTTCAGGGTGGCCTGGGGCAGAGCCAGCCACACTGGAGTGAAGTGGGGTTAGAGAGGTTTCCTGGGGGAGGAAGGCCCTAGCAGAGGGAGCCAATTTGGCATCAAATGTTCTGAGGCTGCTCTCGTGGAGGACAGAGGCCGGGAGCAGATCTGACTCATTCCTGCCACTTTGCCTGGCTGCACGCCCAGCCAGAGGGCTTTCTCAGACACCTGTCCAGCAGAGTGACATCCATTTAGGACTGTACTGTCTAATATGGTAGCCAATGGCCACATATGGCTTTTTTTCCTTTTTCTTATTTTTTAAAATTAGCAATGGGGTCTCACTGTGTTGCCCAGGCTGGAGTGCAGTGATTATGCACAGATGTGATCATCATGCAATACACCCTTGAAGTCCTGGCCTCAAGCAATCCTCTTGCCTCAGCCTCCTGAATAGCTGGGACTAGAGGCACATGCCACCATACTGGGCCACATATGACTTTTTTCTTTTTTTCTTTTTTTTTTTTAAGATGTGCAGTCTGGGTGCAATGGCTCGTGCCTGCAGTCCCAGCACTTTGGGAGGCTGAGGCAGGTGGCTCACCTGAGGTCAGGAGTTCAAGACCAGCCTGGCCAATATGGTGAAACCACGTGTCTACTAAAAATATAAAAAATTAACCGGGTGTGGTGGCGGGCATCTGTAATCCCAGCTACTCGGGAGGCTGAGGCAGGAGAATTGCTTAAACCCGGGAGGCTGAGGTTGCAGTGAGCCAAGATAGCACCATTGCACTCCAGCCTGGGCAACAAGAGCGAAACTCTGTCCCAAAAAAAAAAAAAAAAAGATGTCCAACTATATACTGACAAATAAGGCTTTGAGCATATGAAATGGGGCTGCCCTACGCTGAGATGTACTGTGAGCGTAAAGCACACACTAGATTTCAAAGACTTAGCACAAAAAATGTAAAATATTTCATTAGTTTTTTTCTATTAATATTAGTGACAGATTAAAATGCATATATTTTGGATATAATTGGGTTAAATTAAGTACATTATTTAAATGACTTGTTTCTTTTTACATTTTTCTTTTCTTTTTTTTTTTTTTGAGACTGAGTCTTGCTCTGTTGCCCAGGCTGGAGTGCAGTGGCGCGATCTTGGCTCACTGCAACCTCTGCCTCCTGGGTTCAAGCGATTCTCCTGTCTCAGCCTCCCAAGTACCTGGGATTACAGGTGCACACCACCACGCCCAGCTAATTTTTGTATTTTTAGTAGAGATGGGGTTTCACCATGTTGGCCAGAGTGGTCTCGAACTTCTGACCTCAGGTGATCCGCCCGCCTCGGCTTCCCAAAGTGCTGGGATTACAGGTATGAGCCACGGTGCTCAGCTACATTTTTGTTTTTGAGACAGGGTCTTGCTATGTTGCCCAGGATGGTCTTGAACTCCGAGGCTCAAGTGATTCTCCTGCCTCAGCCTCCCAAAGTGCTAGGATTACAGACATGAGCCACTGCACCCGGCCTTATGTCTCTTTCTATATATTTTATATCAGTATTAGAAAATTTTAAATTACAAAAATGGCTCACACGTCATTTCCATTTTACAGAAGAGGAAATAAGCTTCAGAGGGTTTGAGTGACAGATGGTGCAAAACCCAGGTATGACCCGGGTAAGTGGGCCCTTGGATTTGTGAGCAGATAAGACTTCAAAAGAGATACATTCCCCAGGCCTTGCTTCTGGCTAGAGGATAAATGCCAGAACATTTCGTGATCAAAGAGTCACATCTCCTCCTCCCCCCGAGTCTTGACCAACCAGCAGTACATTTGGCCTTTGAGGGTGGCCTCAGAGTTGATGTTGTGACCCATGGATGCGAGAGGATCCCCAAGATGCTCAGGCTGTTGTCTGACCTCTCTCCCCAACCCCAGGCCAGCTCCAACTGCATCCGAAAGCCTTCTGCCCTGCTCCAACCCCTCTTAGCTTTGACATCAGCTGTGGCTCCCTCCCAGGCATCAACTATCAGGTTATCTTGCAACCTCCACCTCAGACCTATTTCTGTTCCTGTCTCCAGCTGTTGCTCAGTCCACAGATCACTCTCCCCACAGATGAGCACGCCAGTGGGTATGTGTCCAGCGCTAGCCATGAGGGGACACTCCCAAGCCTTTGCAACAGCAGCAGCTATAGGGTGACCATGGGATTGGAAGACAGCCCTCTGCAGAAGGAGCTTCAGGGGGATCAGATCTTCACAACCATCCCACCTCCTGAGGCCCGCCCCATAGAAGGGACTTGCTCTGGGGCCCACAGCCTGCACTGGAGGGAAGACTGTGACCCTTGCCTGGGCACAGACTCCGCAGGCTGTGGCTGCTGGCAGGCCCACAGCCCTGCCTGGATCAATCCAAGGGCCACCACTGGCTGCCCAGGGAGGGCCCCTCTGGGGTCCTGGGAGCAAGTAGAGCTCATCTTGTCTTGGGTGTCCCAAATGTCCCCAGCATCACTTCCAGGGGAAAATCTTGTCCTGAATGAGGACTTAGGACCCAGTCCTGGGTCCCTTGAGGCCAGGTGTGCTGGGATCCAGCTGGGACATCCCATTTGGATATAATAGGGTCAAATCTGGGGCTGTAATTATAACATAAGGAGGCCACTTTCAGCTTTAAAATAGTTTTAAATTTAAAAAGTGAATAAGGGAAAGGACTTAGGGAGTGAGGATTCTTGGCAGTCTCGGGGTAATTATTATAAAACCAGCTCCCATTTTCCAAGTCCTCTGCAGCGCCGGGCCTGTGATGCCACCATCCCTGGGAGGGGCTGGACAGGGTCCCTGGCACAGTTAGCAGCATTGGGGCTATTATGCCACCTCCAGATGGCCACCACCATACCCATCCCACCCTCCTTTGAGCCCAGTTGCTCTAGTATAGAGTAGAAGAGTTACTGGACAGATCCTGGTTCAAATCCTGCTCTGTGACCTGCCTACCTAACCTCCCTGAGCCTCATCATCCTCATCTGTAAAATGGGGTAACAGCAGTTCTTGGATCGCAGGGAGAGCTGGACGTCTGCCTCAGGCCCTTTACCTGCTTTAACAGGAACATTACTGGCGTTGCTTCCCTGTTACCACAGCTGCCTGCCTCCAAGCTGAGCAAATGTTGTCCTCCAGACACCTCTCTCCCTCTCCTCACCATCTCCTCAAAAGTGGAGGGAGAAAATGGCCCCTACCTAGATCAGGCCAGGGGCGCCTGCAGGGTAACTCTCTATTTGGCCTGCTCCTCCTGTATACCCCATTCCTCCCCACTCCGGAGACAGGTTTGCCCTAAGCATGGGAGTGGGAGGGGGGTCCATAGAGCAAGCCTCTCCCTTCCCCAGATCACTGAGGTCAAAGTTAATCTAAGACCCAAAAGTGCCCTGTGGCCTGGGAGTTCCCTTCTGGTATAGTAACATTGACAGGAGCTGTGGTCAAAGTGAGCTGATGACATGCACCACCAGCCCCTCCTGGCCCTGCAGTGGGGCCTCCTTCCCAAGGGTGTTCGGACATTCCATCTCCCCGCAGCCCCCTCCACTGTCCCTTTCTCCCCCTTCACAACTAAACTTATGCATGTGAGGTCCCAGTTTCTCACCTCCCCTCACTCCTCAGCACCCCCAGTGTCTGTCTCCGGCTCCTGCCGCTGTCTCATCTGGGTCACAATCATCACTTGGTCTCTAAGCCCAACTGTGAACTTGCCCTTGGGCACTTTTTTGGACTTGGACTAGGGACTAGGGTGAGGATGCACATTTAAAAAAAAGCACTCTAGGGCCAGGCACGGTGGCTCACACCTGTAATCCCAGCACTTTAGGAGGCCCAGGTGGGTGGATTACTTGGGGTCAGGAATTCGAGACCAGCTTGACCAACATGGTGAAACCCCATCTCTACTAAAAATACAAAAATTGGCCGGGCATGGTGGTGCGCACCTGTAATCCCAGCTACTCGGGAGGCTGAGGCAGGAGAATTGCTTGAACCTGGGAGGCGGAGGTTGCAGTGAGCTGAGATCATGCCACTCACTTCAGCCTGGGCTACAGAGCAAGACTCCGTCTCAAAAATAAATAAATAAATAAATAAATAAATAAATAAATAAATAAATAAGTAAAATTAAATAAAAATAAAAATAAAACCCCCTCTTGGGGTTGTGCGTGTGCAGGGCCTGGGCCTGAAGGCACATGCCCCCTTAGATTTTCCTTCCAGGACCCCACAATGCTGCGTGTCCAATGTGGCCAGCTCCCTGTAGGGTTCCCAGAGCAAGTGAAGGCTCCACTTTCTGCTCAGGGATATGCCCTGGTCTCCTCTCTATCCTGAACAGCCAAACACTGTCTTTTGGGCACCACCTCCTAAATCTCTCTCATCCAGCCCTCTGTCTCCCACCTCCCTCCACCCTGTCCCCTCCCGCCTGGACACAGGCCACCCCTTGCTCCCTGCCACCATTCCTGCCTGCCCATCCGCATTCCTCAGGGATGTTCCCCATTTGCAGGCCTGGCCCTGCCCCTCCTCTACTATAAGCCCTTGGTAGCTCCCCGTCAGCCTGGGGAGGGGGTCCCAGGTTTCCCCCAGGGCTCTAGCCCCTTTGAGCCTTTTGAGCCCCACAACCACACTGGGCTCTCTCTCACCTCTGAGCCTGCACACTTGCCCTTCCCTTGGCCTCAAACATGCTGTTCCCTTCTATCTGATTTGGAATACTGGTTGGAATTTCATTTCTTCCTTTCTTTCTGTTTGAGAGGGCCTCGCTCTGTCGCCCAGCCTGGGGTACAGTGGTGCGACCTCAGCTCACTGCAACCTCTGCCTCCTGGGTTCAAGCGATTCTCCTGCCTCAGGCTCCTGAGCAGCTGGGATTACAGGTGCACACCACTATCACCCAGCTAATTTTTGTAATTTTAGTAGAGACGGGGTTTCAGCAGTTGGCCAGGCTGCTCTCGAACTCCTGAGCTCAAGTGATCCACCTGCTTTGGCCTCCCAAAGTGCTGGGACTGTAAGCGTGAGCCACCACGCCTGACCAGAATTGCATTTCTTTGCTGAGTGACATGGTCTTCCCCTCTCATCTGCTCCCATAGCCCCTTCCCTGCCCTTTGTGTAACCCTCACCTGCTCACCACTCATATCCCTCCCAACACATAGTGCTTAACTCACCACCATTGCTCCCCAAAGCCTAGGACGGTACTAGAGACAGCACAAGCACTCAATTGGTATTTGTTGCATGGATACATTAATTTATTAATTCAACAGGGATGGACTGTCATGTAGGTGGCTTTGGTGACTGGGTGGGGACAAGGGGAGATACTGTATAAGCTATAGCCAGGGCCTGCCCGTGGCAGCAGGTGGCTGGAGGGAGAAGGCCACGTCACCTCCAGCATGCTGGGTGCTGATTTTAATGGCCTGGCAGTGAGGTGCGTGCATGGCAGAGCCTGCAGAAGAGGTAATGCCGAGAGGGCAGCTCTGCCCACCTCTAATTATTGCTTGAGTCTCTCTGGTAGTGTCAGCTGCCCGCCCCAGGGAGCTCAGTCTCCTCCATCACAGTGTGCGCTCGGGGTGGGGCTGCTGCCACTGCCAGTGGGGAAGACCAGAGGAGGTTCCCAGGGTCTTTGGGTCTTGGAGAGCAGAGGCAGCCCCAGGCTTGGACCCTGCTTAGCTCCTGTCCTTCCTGTCCCCAGGGCAGCTGAAGGGTGCCCCAGACTCAAGGGTCCCATCCAGAAGCCTCCAGGGTGACCAAGGAGCAAACTGGCTGAAGGAGGGTCCCCAGCACCCCCCAGGGAGGAAGCCTCAGATGGTTTGGTGTCTGCTGACATGGAAGCCCTTGAGAAGATGGTGCCCTAGTGGCCGGCTAGGCAGATGGGCAGCTCAGGCCCGGAAGGAGGCCTTTACCACGCGGCCCTTCAGTGGCTGTGGTGGCCGGAAGTTGTTCACCATGTGGATCCTCTCATCGTCCTCCGAGGTAAAAAGCAGGCTCCGGAACTTCCCCATCTTGAGGAAGCAGAAGGAATGCTCAGGGCAGATTGGGGGTGCTGTGGTCCTCTATGACCCCAGATGCATCATCTGGCATACCTGCCCAGCCAGCTCTACCCCTCCCTCCTCCTTCCCTTAGGGTCTGTCCCTACTCTTCCCCACTCATTTTTCTCTGCAGGACCCTCATTTATTTACTCACTAAAGGGTCTGGGCTCTGCTTTACCTAGTTCTAGTTCCAAGCCCATCTAGCTAAGACTTATCAGCAAATGTAGCATTCAGATTCCAACACAGTAGCGGGGGTGGGGGTCCCAGGATCCAGGTATCCCCGCTCCCAGCCAGTGTCTAGGTTCTGGTGATTAACAATCAAGCTAACTCCCAACCAAGAATCTATACATTTATTAGTAAAAAATGGGGAGGAACCTTGAAGGTGGGATCACGGGCTGTGGGGTGCTAGTTGGAGAGTCACACTGCCTGGGGTGAGCCCTGAGTGCCATGTCCCTCCATCTGGTCCTCTGAGAGGACTCACCTGCCTTTCAGAGATGCAGATGGGCTCCCGGAGCACAATCCAGGTGACACTCTCACTGAGTGGGGGAGTCGTCAGAGAGCCCGGGTAGGTCCAGTAGTGCCGGCTGGCAGGCAGGAGGCACTTGGGGTTGAAGCAGCTGAACTGGGCTTTGGTGCCCTGGAACAAGGTGGAGGAACCCAGGAATCAGCATAGACCTCCCACTGGGACCAAACCAGCAACTTCTCCACCCATCTCTTTCTTTCTTTTTTCTTTTCTTTTTTCTTTTCTTTTCTTTTTTTTTTCTTTTCTTTTCTTTCTTTTTCTTTCTTTCTTTCTTTCTTCCTTCCTTCCTTCCTTTCCCTTCCTTCCTTCCTTCCTTCCCCTCTCTCTCTCTTTCTTTCTTTCTTTTTCTTTTTCTTTTTTTTTGAGGTGGAGTCTCACTCTGTCACCCAGGCTGGAGTGCAGTGGCACGATCTCGGCTCACTGCAACCTCTGCCTCTTGGGTTCAAGCAATTCTCCTCTCTCAGCCTCCCAAGTAGCTGAGATTGTAGGCATGCACCACCATACCTGGCTAATTTTTGTATGTTTAGTAGAGACAGGGTTTCACCATGTTAGCCAGGCTGGTCTTGAACTCCTGACCTCAAGTGATCCGCCTGCCTCGGCCTCCCAAAGTGCTGGGATTACAGGCATGAGCCACCATGCCCGGCATTCTCCACCCATTTCTATCAGCAGGATTTAGGCCTCTCTGTGTCCACTGATGCAAATTGTGAGCAAATGTCTGTGATCCCAGATGCCATCTTCCAGCCTGAGCCGGGCCCTCTCATCCGTTTGCTTGTATGTAAAAGCTGTGGCTCCTGGAGGTATTTGGCCACGATCTTCCCTCCCTTGCCTTCAGCTGCCCTCAATGACATTGCCTATTAGACCACCATTAATGTGACAAGCATCTTATCAATTTTATACCTAGCCGGGCTTCATGCTGGACACCCAAGGGGGCTGCTGACCCCGATGAGGAATCAGGTGCAGGGCCCTGCTGATGCTGACCCTCCTCCTTGGTCTCAGCAAGGGTTTACTCCCAGAATGAAGGACTGGAAGGGCCCAACTTGTGAGCCAGCCTCTTCCTCTCTCCCCATCGGGCTGCTTGGGTCAGGGGCAGGGACTTTACCTTGAACCGGACCATGTAGAGCGCATCTGTCAGACGATTCATGCTGGGGTGCTCGTCTCCTGTCTGTCAGGGAGAGGGCAGTGTGAGCCCAGAGCCCACTGTGTTCTAGAACTAGGGGCAGTGCCAGGCCTCCCATGCCCCTCCAGGCCCCAGCAAACCACCACTCACCTCCAAAAAAACACCAACCACAGCCAGGCCATCAGGTGCTGAGGCCGCCTCCCCAAAAGTGCTGTACTTCTTGGCATTCCAGTGAACCAGATGCAGCTATGGGGCAACAACAGGCCAATGCTTCGTGCCTCCCAGAGGCAATGGGAACTCTGAGCCAGGCTCCCCTCACTCCCACCAGACCCCTGGCCTCTTTGCAGGAAGGGGAAGCTGTCAAGCCTCCAAGGATTAGGATGCTGGGGGGTCCAGGGGAGCCCCAGAGGGTCACAGGTAGCATCCACCCAACTCTGGGCCCAATTCTTTTCTGGGCTCCGGGGGACCCAAAGAGGAATCTGGCCCAAGCCCTGCCTTGCAGGGAACGAGCTGTGAAATCGATCATGAACATCCAGCGTGACACCTCCTTGAGGAGGTGGTGCCTACAGCTGAGTCCAGAGAATAAGCAGAGGGTTATCAGAGGGAAGCCTTGGGGAAAGGCATTCCAGGCAGAGAGAACAGCACAGACAAAGCTTGGTGGTATGAAGGAGCCAGGTGTGGACAGGGGATTCGTCACATGCAGCTCAGTGTATGAAGAGGTGAGGGGAAGGATGAGGCCAGGCAAGATCAGTTCATGCACAGTCTTGAATACTGGGCTCAACCCTTAAAGGGCTGTCAGCAAGGCTGCAGTGGGACTGGGTAGCCCTTCAGAAAACTCCACGACGCACAGACCAGGAAGGATAGCAGTGGACAGGGTCAGATGGAAGACCCTGTGCTGGGGGTGGGTAGAAAATATCTCTCCCAAAGGCCCCGGGTGCTCCTCTTCCCCCTCTCCAAGGCCCGACCCCAGGCATCCTCAAGCCCCTGACTACCCAGGCCTGCGTTCCTTCCCATGTAGCAGAGGGATTCAAGTGGAGGAGGGCCCGTACCTCGCTGGGGAAGGACTTGCCGTCCACCGTGTGCTCAGAACCCACATCGTGCTTCTTGCCCCAGTGGAAGTGAAACTGCTTGAGGCGGTAGGGCCCTTCCAGGGGGCCCCCAGTCACCACTGTGGGTAGAAGTGGGGCGAGTGGCAATGAGTAGGAGAGGACCGACAGCCCAGTGCCAGGACCAGGGCAGCAGCCCAGGAAAGGGACATTTTTTTTTTTGAGTCAGGGTCTCGCTCTGTTGCCCAGGCTGGAGTGCCATGGTGCAAACATGGCTTATGATAGCCTCAACCTCCTGGCCTCAAGCCATCCTCCTGTCTTGGCCCCCCCGAGTAGCTGGGACTATAGGCATGTGGCACCACACCTAGCTAATTTGTTTATTTTTTGTAGAGATGGGGTCTCTCTATGTTGGCCAGGCTGGTCTTGAACTCATGGGCTCAAGCAATCCTCCTGCCTTGGCCTCCCAAAATGCTGGGATTACAGGCACGAGCCACTGTGCCAGCTGAGATACATTTTTCCTTTTTTTTTTTTTTTTTTTTTGAGATGGAGTCTCGCTCTGTCACCGAGGCTGGAGTACAGTGGTGGCACAATCTCAGCTCACTGCAACCTCTACCTCCCAGGTTCAAGCATTTCTCCTGCCTCAGCCTCCCAAGTAGCTGGGATTACAGGCACCTGCCACCACATCCGGCTAATTTTTTGTATTTTTAGTAGAAAGGGAGTTTCACCATGTTGGCCAGGCTGGCCTCGAACTCCCAACCTTAGGTGATCTGCCCACCTCAGCCTTCCAAAGTGTGGGATACATTTTTCATTTGGAAAATTCACTGGGCTGACTGGGCTTGGGTTGGTCCCCACTGCCCCCTAGACCCCTGTCCCTTGAGCTGGGCCAGGGCAGAAATCCTGACAGCCGGCAGGTGGCAGAAGGGTCTGGGACTGACAGAGGACAGCTCTCTATCTAGCTGTCCTCCCCGCTCCTGCCCGATTTCCCATGGAGGGTGGGACCCTGCCTCCCAGGACCCCCATTATCACTGACAGTTAGGCCTACCATGTCTGAAACCCTGATCCAGGGCTAGGTTGAAGAGACTATTTTGTTTAGTCTGCATAGTAGCCCATGAGGGACAGAACTTATTATTATCCATATTCTACAAAGAGAGAAGCTGAGGCACAGTGATGACGAGGCATTTGCTCAAGGTCACACAGCAAGGCACTGAACTAGGGTATGAACTAGTATCTCTTATGTCCAAAGCCCAAGCCACTAATCACCAGGCAACACTGCCTCCCTAGAACCTTGAAACTTCTTTAAACTTTGTGCTTTTCCAGAAGAGGAGGGTAGCTCCTGAGGGTCTCTACCTTCCTGGACAGGCCCAGGTGCCTCCAGTGCCGCCTCCCCCAGAAATGGCCTCTTCTGAGGGCCCCACTTGTGCTGGCTTTGTAACTTTCTTGCCTTGACACCCAGTGAGCTGGGGCCATGCACGAGGCCTCCTGGGACTGATAGAATTTCCAGCTGAAAGGGATCTGGAGGTGGAGGGAGCCCCAGCTAGGCTTGAATGTGAGCTCCTGGATCAGATAACACCCCAGGCTCAGAGTTCCACTGGTCCCTTCCATGATGGGTGACCAGGGTAGGGCTTTGGCCCTGTGGCCTCCTTAAGCAGGAGGACAGGACAGTCCAGAAGTCCCTCTTTCTTGCCCGGTCTTATCAAAGAGGCAAGACCTGGGCACTGGCTAGGAGTCTGGGAGTAGTAGCTGTGGGTGGGGCCCTAATCAGGCTGCCCCATCCCTGGAAGCAGGAGCGGCTGAGCCTGCAGGCTAAGCAATTGGATAGGTCTGCAGATGCCACCCTCCAAAGCATGCCTCACCTGGGACCCTATAGTGTGGGCTCCTAGAGAGGGAGCTCCCTCCGTAACACCCCTTGACCTTGGACCCCTTAGCCTCCTCCCCCAGTTCACACACAGAATGTGCTGCCATTCACGGGGCACTCAATGTGTGTTTGGCACTCTGCTGGCATCAACCCGTCTGACCTCTGGAGTGACCCACAGTGGGTGAGTGGCAGAGCCCCACCATCTCATTCCTCTTTTCACTGGCTTCCTGCGCCCTCCGGCCTGGGCATTCTGGGTGGGGGAGGGAGCCCCAGCCAGGCCTGAAGGCAACACCCCAGATCAGTAATCCAAAGGCATGTCCCCCTGTGTCTTCTCCCACCCCAGTGGCCTTCATTGAGCTACTGATTTCTTAGTTGAGCCCCCAGTGCCCTCTGAAGGCTGTTAGAAGGGACAGTCATATGAAAACTGTTCCTTGCCAAACTATCATCTAGGGTCAGCTAGAGCCCCACGCCCCCTCCCCAAAGCTCTGAGTAAGAGGCTTTTCTTAGAATTCAGTACCAGGAAATAAATGCTTTGTCTCTCTCCTGAGGATCTGCTAGACTCCCTTTCTTTTGCAGCAAAAACTATAATCAATCCTCTTTCTGTTTTTTCCTAGCCTACCAGGGAACTCAGAACTAAGTAAGATCACTCTTCTCATGAAAGGTCTGGCTTCCTTCATCCTCTTTGCCTTTTAATTTTCCATTTGAAACTTAAGTTCCTTTGAGGGCTTTTATTGTATTTGTGGGGAGGGGAGAAGGAGGAGGAAGGAACCAGTTATTAATACTTCCTTACACAAGAAACTCTAGTAGGTTTCTTCCTCGCCCCATTCCACCACTCTACCCAGTCGTAAGGCCCAGTCATAAGGACGAAAATCCCTTCAATGAACAGCACTCCTGTCTAGGAATTTATCATGAAAGAATCTGGACTCTAATCCCAGGGCAAAGAGGCCTTGGAAGGAGCTGCCACGAATTCCCACTGGCCTCTTACTGGCCCAAGATGGTTGGACCTTGAAGTCATAGGTGAACTGGAGAGAGAGAGAGAGACCTTCAGGCTGGACCAGGCTGCTTCTGGCCCTCCCCAGCTCATCAAGCCTCTATTTGCCCATCTGAGAGATGGGTTATTGAGAAGAATAAATGAGCGGCTTGTGACTTTAGCAAGGGGTTTGGCACTTGTAAATTTTAGCTCCCTTCTCTCTCCCTGCTAGGCTTGGCCAGATCACACAGCGAGGAGGGCTTGGCAGGTCAGTGATGGGGCAGAGAGTGAAAACAAACCTGATCTGTAGCACCACAAGGAAGGGAAGGAAGGGAAGGAAAGAAATTAGCATTTCCTGAGCATCTGCTGTGTGCCAGATCTATCGACCTTACTTGGTTTTTTCATTTTTCCCCTCTATGACCTAAGAGGGTAGGTCTTATTGCTCTCACTTTATACATAAGGAGACTGAAGATCAGCCCAAGGCTTCACAGCTGGTGAGAGGAGGAACCTTTCTTACCCACCATAGCATGCTTCCTGAGACTGCCCAACACAAGGTTAGGACCCTAAGGGGCCAGGGGCCAGGTGCCAGGCTTTGGCAGGGGCCACTTACCGGTTCGGTCATCGCTGTCATTGAAGTCTACCTGGACAGAGTGGCCATTGTTGGTGATGCTGAGGGACATGCAGGCCTCATAGGAAAGCTCCAGTGGTTGCAGGCTGGGAGAGTACACAGCCTGGCTGGAGATGATATTGATGGGTGATTGGCGATCTCCCTGGGCAATGGGATACAGCTTGTGCCAATGCGAGGGGCCTGCAGGTGGGGAGGAGGGCAAGGACTCAGGCCAGCCAGGATCTCTGGGCTTCAGGCCGAGGACACCCATAGGGGAATGGTCTCTTCAGCATCCTTTCAGAGGTGAGCCCCTGCATTGGAGCTGCACAGCTTGGAGTTCCAATCCCAGCTTTGCCATTTCCCCTTTCAGCCTCCATTTCTTTGTCTGTGAAATGGTCTCACTAAAACTCACCTTCCAGTGCTGATAGGAGGCCCAGAGAGGTACTGTATGGAAGGGAACATAACAGCTACAGGCTCGGGGTGGCTCAGAGTAATAAGTCTCCCCAACAGGGAGACCTCCAGACATCTGAAGTCTCTGACCTGACCCCATCAGTATCTCACCTCTTTCTGTGCCTTGGGCAATTTGGTGTTGGTGTTTGTGATAAATAACAACAAAAACTCACATCAACCTAGCTTTGACTCTGTGACATGTATTTGCCTCTCACAACCACCTTGTGAAATAGAAACCAGCAAGATCCCCATTTCACAGATGAGGGAACTGAGGGCCACTCACACATGTGTGCATGCATATGTACTAATATAAATACAGCATGTGCATGCACTGCCCCCAGCTGCCCTCCCAATGTGTGTGCCTGCAAGTCCATAGAGATCTTCCTATGAACACATTAATCTTTCTATGATCTTCCATTGTGCACACAGAGCAGCCAGGCCCAGAACATTCATGTGTACAAACACACACACAGCCCTGCAGACTACATCTGACACACGCATATGCTCTCTCACACACAAACCCCTCTGTTGGAGACCCAAGTTTGCATAAAGGACCACAGCAAAACACATGCCCATGCACACACACACACACACACACACACACACCTGCATACACACCCACAGGCGCCCACCACCTGCCTCCCAGAGGATCCATCTGCAGCCGAGAGGCTCAGCATCTCCCTGGGGAACATCCTGAGATGCAGCCTATTTTTAGAGCTACTGCCGGCTGGTGCTTCTCCCCCTTTTTGGCTTCTTAAGTTTTCCTGAGAAAACAGCAGCAGGTGCCGACAGAGCCGTGTCCCCAATGGATGACTCAGAATCGTGGCCCGGCCCCTCTGGGTTATTTTTGAAGCCCTGTGAACACTGCTGCATGCCGGCACCTCTGTCCTCTGTCCTTCCCTTCCTCGACTGGACAATCCAGCTCTGCCTGGGTGATGGGGTGGCTGCTTTGGGGGAGCAGGCCCATGGAGCAGGCTACACAGGACACTGGGTGCTCAGAGCTGGTGGGCATGACTAGCAAGAAGAGCTGGAGGCAGGGGACTCTGGCTCTGGGGGAAGCACCCAAAAGGTGGCTCAGAGCAGGTGCTGGGAGAAGATGATCCCTATGGGTCCTGTCCATCTGCCCCATGTCTGCCTGTCTCTCCCTCTCTGCTTGTCTATATCATCTTTTTCTGAATGTCTCTTTCCAGCTCTTGCATACCCAGATCTGGGGGTTCTCTTCCAAAATATGCTCCTTTGTTCTTGGGGCCCCAGAGGGAGCCAAAGACTCCACAGCACCCTCCCTCTGGTCTACTGCAACTTTCTGGCTTCCCAGACTGTGGTCCCCCACCCAACCTCACAAAGTGACTGCCTCTCCGCAGAGGAGTGGGGCTGGGGGATGTTCCTCCCATCATTACTTTTTCTTCTCCGCACCCCACCTGTCTTGCACTGGCTCCCCAGGGAAATAGGGAACCCCTTACCCCACACCCCCACCCCTGCTTGGTAAGAAATGGCCCCAAAGGGAATTGACTGCCCCAGACCCACACTCCAGCCGTCTGGCTCTCACCTTCTGCCTCTTCTCCCTTTCTCTGAGTCCTAAGGAAACTGAGGCAGGATGAAGGAGCTCTCTTCCGCGTCAGCCCAGGAGGCTGGTGTGGGCCACGGGCTCCCACGACTCACACCCGGACGTGCGCAAACACCCTGCTCGGTGTAGACACCCAGACACATGCTTGCGCCCCCAAGTGCCCCCTTCCCTCACGTACCGGCCGAGAAGGCAGCTCGGCCACTTCTGCGGGGAAATTCTCTCCGGGGGACACTGCGCCCTTGCCACGCGGAGCCCCGCTCCCCCGAGGTCCCCGCTCACTTGCCGTGCGCGCTCCCCGCAGACACCCGCGCACAGCGCTCCGCGGCGCCCGCCCCCCGCTGCCCTGGGCCACCCCCACGCGCTGCGCACGCCCGGGGCGAGTGAGTGAGAGTCTGGGCCTGGGTCTGAGCGGGCTGGGCAATCAGGGGCTTCGCGGAGGAGGCGGCAGGACACAGCCGCCAGGTCGCTTGCTGGCGGCGGGGCCACCCGGGGCGCAGCGCGGACTTTGCGTCTGGCGCGGGGGACCAAGGCTTGGGCCAAGTTCGGGGGCCGGGATGGGAAGAGGGGTCCCGCCCAGCCTGGAGTGTGGGAGCTTTCCGGTCTGGGAAACCAGCTGGGCAAGAGGGTTGGGGCGAGTGCAGTTGGGTCGGGGGTCCGAGCCAGAGGCGGTGGGGGAGGTCTGTGCCTACCGTCGTCCTGGCCGTAGCCCCAGCCGTGGTGGCCGGTCATGCCGCTGCCGTCCCCGCAGCCGTGCACCTGCCCGGTCGGCTCGGTCCGCTCGTTCGGGCTGCGGCTCCGGCCCCGCTCGCTACCGCGGAGCAGCCTCTTAAAGCAGCGGCTGGCGGGAGGAGCAGTTCCCGGGGGACCCGCCCCCCACCCCCCAGCAGGGCCAGAGAGGCCGGCCTGCCCCGCCCTCGCCCGCCGGCGAGCCAGTTGAACCCCGAGCGGAGATTCAGGGCAGGAGGAAGTAACCCTCTCCCCCCAACTCCCACCCCTGCCCTGGCTGGGCGACTATCCCTCTTTTTCCCCCAGCAACCCGTGCGGACTCTGGGACACTAGATGCCCGTGCCGCACATGGCGTCCCTTCCCTAGGCTTGCCCCAGACCTGCAAATGCCACCACCAGAGACCTGAGCTCTGGGTCCTGAATCTTTTGGGGTTGGAAAGTCCCCTTTAAACTGCAAACTACACTGACCATCAAGTGTCCAAAACTGGAGCTTCCACTGTTTGCCAGAGGCTGTTGCAGGCGCTGGACCAAGCTTTGGGTCCTTCCTATGGTATAACCCTCTCTGTTACCCTACAAGGTTGGGTGCTTCCATCAGCCCTATCTGACAGAGGAGGGGAGTGAGGCCCAGAGAAGTGAAGTGACTTGCCCAAGGTCATCTAGCCAGGGGGTAAAGGGTTCATTAGCTGGGGTTCTTACTCCAGACACTGGGGGTTTTGTGGGATTTGTTTGTTTGTTTGTTTGTTTGCTTGTTTGTTTTTAGACAGAGTCTTGCTCTGTCACCCAGGCTGGTGCTATATCAGCTCACTGCAACCTCCACCTCCTTGATTCAAGTGATTCTTCTGCTTCAGCCTTCCAAGTAGCTGGGATTACAGGTGTGTGCCACCACATCCAGCTAATTTTTGTGTTTTTTGTAGAGATGGGGGTTTCACCATGTTGCCTGGGCTGGTCTTGAACTTCTGGCCTCAAGTAATCCACCCGCCTTGGCCTCCCAAAGTGTTGGGATTAGAGGAGTGAGCCACCACTCCTGGCCTGACACTGGGGTCTTTACCATTTCTCCTTGGTGCTGGGTACAAGGGTGTGCTGTGAGTGTGGGGGTCCGGGAACCCTGGGGTAGATGCAGGGACAGGAATGGCAATGTGAACCCTTGGCCCAGGTGGAACCAGATCCCCCAAGGGGGAGTGAGAAGGAGTGGCATCAACCAATGGGCCTGAAGACAGGCAGACACCAGGTGGCTTCCCCATGGAGCTAAGTCTGAGGCTCTGACTTCCACCCTCCCTGTTATTTTGTCTACTGCTTCCTCCTTTCTTCAGGGACTCTGCTTTGTCCCTCCATAGCCTGCTGTTTGTCCCTCCTCTCCTGACCTCCCCATAACCTTCAGTACACCCCCTGGGAGCTCAGACCCTCCACCCTGCACTCAACCCCAGTGCCTGCCTTGGCCCAGTATTTTCCCACCCACGAGCCCTGGTCGTTGTTGTGCCCTCCACCTGGTGCGTCCTCTGTCTTCCACCCACTGGCTCCAGCCGGCCCAATCTGATTCATCTTAGCACGTGGCCTTGTGCCAGGGAGAGGGCTTGTCTCTGGCTAGTCCTCAGCAGGCAGTTTTGGAAAGACAAACAGAGGGGTGGATGGAAGGACAGATAAATGATCCCACCCGGGGTCCTGTACTCAGCAGGAGTCGAACAGCCACTAGTACAATGTCTGCTGTCCAGATCTTGAATAGAGACACTCTTTCAGGCCCTGCTCTTGGCTGACCTTGTACAGGAATCTGCCATCTTGTCTGCCTGGCTCCCCTTCATCTCTGTGTCTGTCTCAGTTTCCCTCTCCCAGGCCCTGAACCCCAGATCCTCAGATAGAGCTATGGAGATTAATTGATAACTGGTTGGGTGGGCCAATGTCAGTGACTGCCCAGGCCTGCGAAGATGGCCCTCTCTGATCCAGGAGCAGGAAGGGATCCTTAATATAAATATGACCCTAGGGTGGGGCAGGGGACTTATGACAGAGATAAGTAGCCCCCAAGACCAGATGTGACAGAGAATCCAACACTGTCAAGGCCCCAGGTCTCCAAGCTGGAAATGGCATCTACAGATCAAGAAGACAAAGGCATGCTTCTGGGTGAGGCCTGGACCTTCTGTCTCCCAGAGAAGCCAGCCACCCTTTACCTGGGAGAGCTGCCAACATCCTTTACCTGGGAGAGAGCTCTGGGGATAGCCCAAACTCCATTGACCCATTTCCTCTTCAGAGGGACTCAGGTCTTTTTCATATTTATTTGTAGTTCTTAAAAGATACAACTGGGCCTGGCACAGTAGCTCATGCCTGTAATCCCAGCACTTTGGGAGGCTGAGGCGGGCGGATTACCTGAGCTCAGAAGTTGAAGACCATCCTGGGCAACATGGTGACATCCCGTCTCCACTAAAATACAAAAAATTAGCCAGGCATGGTGGCAGGTGCCTGTAGTCCCAGCTACTCGGGAGGCTGAGGCATGAGAATTGCTTGAGTCCAGGAGGCGGAGGTTGCAGCGAGCCAAGATTGCACCACTGCACTCCAGCTTGGGCTACAGAGTGAGATTCTGTGTCAAAAAAAAAAAAGATACAATTGGAATTCTTCATATAGTTTTGCATCCAACTTCATCTACATAGTAACCCTGGGGGGATTTTTACCCCATTTTACAGATGAGAAAAGCAAAGCTCAAGAGAGGATGAGTGATGGGCTCGAAGATGCACAGTGAGTGACTGAACAAAGATGAAAACCCAGGGCTGCTGGGTCCCTCGTTCAATATTGTCCAAAATCACTGGAAAGGGAGGAAGCGGATTTTAAATTTGACTCTCATTTGTGTGTGTATGCAAGTCCTCTCTAAAAGGACTTAGGAGAAGCTAGGGAGAGTGTTTACCTACAGGGAGGAGACTGGACACCGGAAGGTTGTGGAAGGTTGTGGAAGGGTGTGGTATGGCGTGGGAAGGACACTCTTTACTGGTACTCCTTTGTATCTCTTGAATGAATTAAGGCATGTATTACCTCTTTAACAACCAAATAAAAGTTGATCCAGTTCTTTCCTTCCTGCAGCCTGTCTTCAGCATTTTCTCTGGGTACTGGGAACTCAGGAAAGTGAGAGGAGACAATGGAGACTGCCCTTCTAAGGTGAAGCGCCAGCTGCCCCAGCAACCCACTCAGGTCAACTTGGGGGAGCCTGTGCCTCCATTCAGGTGCCTCCAGTCTCAATTACATGCTGTTTTTAAAGCCGAGTTGATTTCTCTGCTTGAGAGTTTTCTCTTTGGTCTCACTGGTGTCAGTGGCTCCTGGTTTTTGCTATTTATATGGGAGGGGAAAATGGGGGATGTGAGGGCTGTGATGGAGGCCTGGGGGAGGAAGGCATGAGCAGCCTGTACAGCCAAGTCTCATTCATCAAACGACCTTGGCCTCCAACTTTCACTTCCTTTTTTCTTTTTTTTTTAAAGATTATATAGAGACAGGGGTCTCACTATATTGCCCAGGCTGGTCTCAAACTCCTGGCCTTAAGGGATCCTCCCACCTCAGTCTCCCAAAGTGCTAGGATTACAGGTGTGAGCCACTATGCCCGGCCTTGTTGGGTACATTTAAAATCCCAAATATTTCTTCTCTAATTATAGTAGTGACATCTATTGTAGAAAATTTGGAAGTCAGAAAAGCATACAGCAGAAAATTAAAATCACTGGTCATGTCACTACTCAAGGATCACCACTGTTAACATTTTAGTGACCATCCTGCCAAGGTTTCCTTTTTTAATTATATTTTTATTTTTTCCATAAGTTATTGGGGTACAGGTGGTATTTGGTTACATGAGTGATTTTTTTTTTTTTTTTGAGACGGAGTCTTGCTCTGTTGCCAGGCTGGAGTGCAGTGGTGCGATCTCGGCTCACTGCAACCTCCGATACCCTGGTTCAAGCGATTCTCCTGCCTCAGCCTCCCAAGTAGCTGGTATGACAGGCATGTGCCACCATGCCCAGCTAATTTTTGTATTTTTAGTAGAGACGGGTTTTCGCCATGTTGGCCAGGATGGTCTCGATCTCCTGACCTCGTGATCCGCCCGCCTCAGCCTCCCAAAGTGCTGGGATTACAGGCGTGAGACACCGTGCTGGGCCATGAGTGAGTTCTTTACTGGTGATTTGTGAGATTTTGGTGCGCCCATCACCAGAGCAGTATACACTGCACCATATTTGCAGTCTTTTATCCCTCACCCTCCTTCTATTCTTTCCCCCAGGTCCCTACAGTCCATTGTATCATTCCTATGCCTTTGCATCCTCATAACTTAGCTCTCACATATCAGTGAGAACATACGATGTTTGGTTTTCCATTCCTGAGTTACTTCACTTAGAATATTAGTCTCCAATCTCATCTAGGTTGCTGCAGATGCTGTTAATTCATTTCTTTTTATGGCTGAGTTGTATTCCATCATATATACATATACCACAGTTTCTTTATCAACTCGTTGATTGATGGGCATTTGGGTTGGTTCCACGATTTTGCAATTGTGAATTGTGCTGCCATAAACATGTGTGTGGAAATATCTTTTTCATATAATGACTTATTTTCCTTTGGGTGGATACCCAGTAGTGGGATTGCTGGATCAAATGGTAGTTCTACTTTTAGTTCTTTAAGGAATCTCCACACTGTTTTCCGTAGTGGCTGTACTAGTTTACATTGCTACCAGCAGTGTAGAAGTGTTCCCTGATCACCGGATCCATGCCAACATCTACTGTTTTTTGATTTTTTAATTATGGCCATTCTTGCAGGAGTAAGGTGGTATCACACTGTGGTTTTGATTTGTATTTCCCTGATCATTAATGATGTTGAGCATTTTTTCATATGTTTGTTGGCCATTTGTATATCTTCTTTAGAGAATTGTCTAGTCATGTCCTTAGCCCACTTTTTGATGGGATTGTTTGTTTTTTTCTTACTGATTTGTTTGAGTTCCTTGTAGATTCTGGATATTAGTCCTTCGTCAAATGTATAGATTGTGAAGATTTTCTCCCACTCTGTGGGTTGTCTGTTTACTTTGCTGACTGTTCCTTTTGCTGTACAAAAGCTCTCTAGTTTAATTAAGTCCCAACTATTTATCTTCGTTTCTATTGCATTCACTTTTGGGTTCTTGGTCATGAAATCCTTGCCTAAGCCAACATCTAGAAGGGTTTTTCCAATGTTATCTTCTAGAATTTTTATAGTTTCAGGTCTTAGATTTAAGTCCTTAATCCATCTCGAGTTGATTTTTGTCAAAGCTGAGAGGTGAGGATCCAGTTTTAATCTCCTATGTGTGGCTAACCAATTATCCCAGCACCATGAGTTGAAAAGGGTGTCCTTTTCCCACTTTATGTTTTTGTTTGCTTTGTCAAAGATTAGTTGGTTGTAAGTATGTGGTTTTATTTCTGGGCTCTCTATTCTGTTCCATTGGTCTATGTGCCTATTTTTATACCAGTACCACGCTGTTTTGGTGAGTATGGCCTTACAGTAGAGTTTGAAATCAGGTAGTGTGATGCCTCCAGATTTGTTCTTTTTGCTTAGTCTTGTTTTGGCTATGTGGGCTCTTTTTTGGTTCCATATGAATTTTAGAATTGTTTTTTCCAATTCTGTGAAGAATGATGGTGATATTTTGATGGGGATTGCATTGAACTTGTAGATTGCTTTTGGCAGTATAGTCATTTTCTCAATATTGATTCTACCCATCCATGAACATGGGATGTGTTTCCATTTGTTTGTGTCATCTATGATTTCTTTCAGCAGTGTTTTGTAGTCTTCCTTGTAGAGGTCTTTCGACTCCTTGGTTAGGTATATTCCTAAGTTTTTTGTTTTGTTTTGTTTTGTTTTTTGCAGCTGTTGTAAAAGGGGTTGAGTTCTTGATTTGATTCTCTGCTTGGTCGCTGTTGGTGTATAGGAGAGCTACTGATTTATGTACATTAATCTTGTATCTGGAAACTTTGCTGAATTCTTGTATCAGTTCTAGGAGCTTTCTGGAGGAGTATTTAGGGTTTTCAAGGTAAACAATCATATTTTCAGCAAACAGTGACAGTTTGACTTCCTCTTTACCAATTTGAATGCCTTTTATTTCTTTCTCTTGTCTGATTGCTGTGGCTAGGACTTCCAGTACTATGTTGAAGAGGAGTGGTGAGAGTGGACATCCTTGTCTTGTTCCAGTTCTCAGAGCGAATGCTTTCAACTTTTCCCCATTCAGTATTATGTTGACTGTGGGTTTTTCATAGATGGCTTTTATTACATTGAGGTATGTCCCTTGTATGCTGATTTTGCTGAGAGTTTGAATCATAAAGGGATGCTGGATTTTGTCATGCTTTTTCTGCATCTATTGAGATGATCATATGATTTTTTTTTAATTCTTTTTTTCTTTTTTTTTTTTTTTGAGATGGAGTTTTGCTCTGTCACCAGGGCTGGAGTGCAATGGTGTGATCTCAAATCACTGCAACCTCCACCTCCTGGGTTCAAGCGATCCTCCCACCTCAGCCTCCCGAGTAGCTGGGATTACAGGTGCACACCACCATACCTGGCTAATTTTTGGTATTTTTAATAGGGACAGGGTTTCACCATGTTAGCCAGGCTTGTCTCGATCTCCTAACCTCAGGTGATCCACCCGCCTGGGCCTCCCAAAGTGCTGGGATTACAGGCATGAGCCACTGTGTCCTACCTGATTTTTGTTTTTAATTCTGTTTATGTGGTGCATCACATTTAGTGACTTGCGTATTTTAAACCATCCCTGCAACCCTGGTATGAAACCCACTTGACCATGGTGGATTATCTTTTTGATATGTTGTTGGATTCAGTTATCTAGTATTTTGTTAAGGATTTTAGCATCTATGTTCATCAAGGTTATCGGTCTGTAGTTTTCTATTTTGGTTATGTCCTTTCCTGGTTTTGGTATTAGGGTGATGCTCTGTCAAGCTTTTCTGATACAGGTTGAGTATCACTTACCTAAAATTCTTGGGACCAGAAATGTTTTGGATTTCGATTTTTTTTCGGACTTTGGAATATTTGCATATACATAATATCTTGGGGATGGGACCCAAGTCTAAACACAAAATTCATTTACGTTTCATACTTACCTTAGAGACATAGCTTGAAGGTAATTTGACACACTACGTTAAATAATTTTGTGCATGAAACAAAGTTTGTGTACATTGAACCATCAGAAAGCAAAAGTGTCATTATCTCAGGTCCCCCATAGCATCATGTAGGTGCTCAAAAAGTTTCAGATTTTGGAGCATTTTGGATTTCGGATTTTTGGATTGGAGATGCTCAACCTGCATGTATTAGTAGTATGTAAACAGTCAAGGCCAGGTGTGGTGGTGTGCCTATAATCCCAGCTACTCAGGAGGCTGAGGTGAGAGGATCCCTTAAGTCCAGGAGTTTGAGACTGTAGTATGCTATAATCACACCTGTGAATAGCCACTGCTCTCCAGCCTGGGTAACATAGAGCGACCCCATCATAAAAAAAAAAAAAAAAAAAAGGAAAAAACAATTGAGCAATCCGGATCATAGGATGGCTTTTTGACCAGTTTTTTCCCACCCAGTGCCCTATGGTAAATGTTTCCTTGCTTGATCGGCCTTGGAGAACTTGCCTCATAATATTCATTCACACACTGCTGTGATTTTGTTATTTCTAGTTTTCAGTGTGGCAAATATCACTGCAGTGAACATCCTTACTTGCACATCTTTAGTATTTTTTTTTGAGACCCAGTATGATTTTTTTTTTAAGAGATGGGGTCGGCCGGGCGCGGTGGCTCACGCCTGTAATCCCAGCACTTTGGGAGGCTGTGGCGGGTGGATCTCAAGGTCAGGAGATTGAGACCATCCTGGCTAACACGGTGAAACCCCGTCTCTACTAAAAATACAAAAAAAATTAGCCAGGCGTGGTGGCGGGTACCTGTAGTCCCAGCTACTCAGGAGGCTGAGGCAGGAGAATGGCATGAACCGGGAGGTGGAGGTCGCAGTGAGCCAAGATCGTGCAACTGCACTCCAACCTGGGCAACAGAGCGAAACTCCGTCTCAAAAAAAAAAAAAAAAACACACAGTGGGGTCTCACTGTGTTGCTCAGGCTGGTCTGTCTCAAATTCCTGGCCTCGAGCAATACTTCCACCTCAGTCTCCCAAAGGACTGGGATTACAGGCATGAACCAATGTACCTGGCCTCCTTACTTATACATCTTATATGTGTCTGATGATTTCCTTGGAATAAATTGATAGAGGTAGAATTACCAAATCAAATGATATATACATTGCTAGGAACATATTTTAAAATGTACAAAGTATGATGGCAATAGTTTCAGAAATTTATTCTTTAATTCAATAAACATTTATTGAAGATTTATTAGATGTCAACTGCTGGGCCAGGCACAGGTGATACAACTGTGAACATTATAGACTTATAGCTGCCTCAAGGAGCTTATGGGGTTGGGGAGAGAGGCAAGAGATCAGCCAATGAGGACCAGGGTGAGAAGGGATAGGATGTGCAAGGACAGGCAGAGAGGGCTAGTGGCCTGGGAGGATGTCCTGGGTTATGACTTCTTCCTGGCTGGTCTCCCACAGACTATAATCTCTGTAAGCACAGAGCTAGCCCCAAACTTCCTGACAGCCCAAAGGTCCAGTCTGCCCTCGTTGAGATCAACTGGACTGGATAAAATAACAGATCTGCACTGGGGTCTGGTCAGATCTGTTGGGGGTATTTATTTCTTTTTGTTTGAGACAAGGTCTCACTCTGTCACCCAGACTAGAGTACAGTGGTGCAGTCATAGCTCACTGCAGCCTCCAACTCCTGGGCTCAAGTGATCCTCCCACCAAGTAGCTGGGACTACAGGTATGCCACTATGCCTGGCTAATTTTGTTTGTTTGTTTGTTTGAGATGGAGTTTCGCTCTTTCACCCATGCTGGAGTGCAGTGGCGCAATCTCGGCTCACTGCAACCTCTGCCTTCCGGTTTCAAGCGTTTCTCCTGCCTCAGCCTCCTGAGTAGCTGGGATTATAGGCGCCCACGACCACGCCAGGCAAATTTTTATATTTTTAATAGAGACAAGGTTTCACCATATTGGCCAGGCTGGTCTTGAACTCCTGACCTCATGATCTGCTCACCTCGGCCTCCCAAAGTGCTTGGATTATAGGTGTGAGCCACAGCACCCGGCCACATTCTTTAGTTTTTGTAGAGACGGGGTCTTGTTATGTTGCCCAGGCTGGTCTCTAACTCCTGGCCTCAAGTGATCCTCCTGCCTTGGCCTCCCAAAATACTGCAGGTGTGGGACTACAGGTGTGATTACAGGTGTGAGCCACCGCACCAGACTGGGGTATTTGTTTCTAACCCCTGCACCACCTCTTAATCTTTGTTACTTCACTCTTCTCCCCAAACATCTGCCCTCTGTCTGTAAAACGGGGTTAGCAGCAATATCTGTTGCATTGGGTGGTTGTGAGCTCACGAGGTGATGCATGTCAGGGGCCTGCCTGGCATCATAGTAAGTGCTCAGAAAGCCAGGGTAGGATCAAGCATGTATCAGAATCACCTGGATGATTTGTTAAAACAGTTTCCTGGGCCTCACTCTACAGTTTCTGATTCAGCAAGTATGGATAAGGTCCAAGAATTTGTGTTTCTTTTTTTTTCAGAGACAAGGTTTCGCCATGTCACCCAGCCTGGTTTCGAGCTCCTGGGCTCAAGCAATCCTCCTGCCTTAGCCTCCTAAGTGTTGGGATTACCGGAGTGAACCACCTTACCTGGCTTTCTTTTTTTTTTTTTAATACTTAATTTTTTTTAAGAGAGGAATGTCTCACTCTGTTGCCCAGGTTGGAGTGCAGTGGCGAGATCATAGCTCACTGCAACCACAAACTCCTGGGCTCAAGTGATCCTCCCACCTTAGCCTTCCAGGTAGCTAGTACTACAGGCATACACCACCATGCCTGGCTAATTTTTAATTTTTTTTTTTCTTTTTGTAGAGACAGGGTCTTGCTATGTTGCTCAGGCTAGTCTCAAACTCCTGGCCTCAAGGAATCCTCCTGCCTTGGCCTCCCAAAGTGCTGGAATTACAGTCATGAACCACTGTACCCAGCCAAGAATTTGCCTTTCTTTTTTTTTTTTTTTTTTTTTTTGAGACGGAGTCTCACTCTGTCGCCCAGGCTGGAGTGCAGTGGCGGGATCTCGGCTCACTGCAAGCTCCACCTTCCTGGTTCACGCCATTCTCCTGCCTCAGCCTCCCGAGTAGCTGGGACTAGAGGCGACCACCACTGCGCCCAGCTAATTTTTTGTATTTTTAGTAGAGACGGGGTTTCACCGTGGTCTCGATCTCCTGACCTCATGATCCACCCGCCTCTGCCTCCCAAAGTGCTGGGATTACAGGCGTAAGCCACCGCGCCTGGCCGAATTTGCCTTTCTAACAAGTTTCCAAAGTGATGTTGATGCCGCTGGTCCAGGACCACACTTTGAAAACCAATAGCTTAAATGAATTACACCATGGCTTCCTGGTCTGATATATCTGGTTTCCACCCTCCACAACAGGGAGAACTCACCAGTGGGCCCTGAATTCTTTCATGTCAGGGCCGTCAAAAGAACTGTGTCTGATCAGCCTCCTCTGCTCCAGCATAGGCACCTTTACATGGTTTTACGGGTTGAATTATTATTATTATTTTCACTTTCATCTCTACAGAAAATAATCTAAAAATTAGCCAGGTGTGGTGGTGGGTGCCTGTAGTCTCAGCTGCTCAGGAGGCTGAAGTGGGAGGATTGCTTGAACCTAGGAGGTTGTGGCTACAGTGAGCCATGATTATACCACTGCACTCCAGCTCAGGTGAAAGAATGAGATCCTGTCCCCCACTGCTGCCAAAAAATAGTAACCAGACTCCAAAAGCATAGGCAACAAAAGCAAAAATAGACAAATGGGTTTATACCAAATTAAAAAGCTTCTGCACAGCAAAGGAAATGACAGAATAAAGAGACAACCCACAGATTGAGAAAAAAATATTTACAAAATATACATTAGATCAGGGACTAATATCCAAAATGTACAAACTCAGACCGCTCAATAACAATAAAACAAATAACCCTATTAAAAATGGGCAGGGCCAGGTGCAGTGGCTCATGCCTGTAGTCCCAGTACTTTGAGGGGCTGAGGCAGGAGGACTGCTTCAACCCAGGAGTTTGAGACAAGTCTGGGCAATATAGTGTGACCCCACCTCTAAAAAAATAATGATAATATTAATACAAAGCTTCTGGGCTGAATTATGTCCTCCTCAGAAGTTACTGAAGTCCTAACCTGCCAGTACCCGTGAAGGTGATCTTATTTGGAAACAGGGTCTCTGCAAGTGTAAACCAGTTAAGATGAAGTCATCAGTGTGAGCCCTGATCCAATGTGACTTGTGTCCTTAAGAGAGGAAACACAGAGACATGAGGGGAGAATGCCATGTGATGATGGAGGCAGAGACTGAAGTGCTGTGGCTGCTAGCCAAAGATTGCCAGCAAACCCCCAGAAGCCAAGAAGAAGCGGACGGATTCTCCCCTACAGGTTTCAGAAGGAGCATAGTCCCACCCGTGCTTTGATTGTAGACTTCCAGCCTCCAGAACTGTGAGACAATAAATTTCTCTTGTTTTAAGTCACCCAGTTTGTGGTTCTTTGTTACGACATTCCTAGGAAACTGATACCCTGAGGTATCATTTTACAGACAACACCAACACAAACCTTTTCAAAATCATTTACTTCTTCACGGGCAATATGACTAGCCTTCTACCAAATTTGTGGGTGTTTCCTTTCATGAAGTCCATAGGTATGAGAAACTAAGCAGTGAACTCTCATCTGCTGCCTTTTGACCTTCCTACTTTCCCGGAGTGTATTTTATTATCCCTTATATTTTACCTGTCCACTTGGAGAAGGAAATGTGACAGCACAAACACATGATGAGCTGGGAAAGCCTCACACCTCTGTTTCCCATCAGTGTGTTCCATGGGAGCTGGGTAAGGGCAAGGGAAGGTATGGGAAGGTGTACTCTCACCCTAGTCCAGGAGACCATGCCCAGGGCAAAGTGCAATTCATCATCACTGCATCATTACCATCAAACTGTGCCATCTCTCTGGTCCCCATCCTAGGGGATTGGGGGTGGGGATCTGTGTTCATTTTCACCTTATTTCAGGCAGTTATTAACCTGAAGGTGCCTGTAGGGTCTGCGAGATAGCAGGGAAGGAGTCTTCGTCTCCCTCACAGATGGTCACCTTGTCTTCAGCACCACCACCCCCCTCCCAATTGTTCTCATGGGGTAACCTCCTTCCTTGGCCTCCCATCCCCACAGGACAGCCGTTCTCTTCCTGAAAGGAGGGTCTTTTCAGGAAGTGGAGGACTTTAAATTCCTCCTTGGATCTATGTTCACAGTCTTCAGAACCCAGCCTGTCCCAACTGTCTCTCAAACCTTCTCAACCACTCCCTATCCTTCACCTGACCAAACTTACTCTAGCACCTACAGCTTGCTATGCCTTCTTTGCTTCCTAGAGATGGCACCTGCTGTTCCTTATGCTTAAAACACCCTTCCAGCTGGGCACAGTGGATCATGCCTATAATCTCAGCACATTGGGAGGCCAAGGCGGGCAGATCGCTTGAGCCCAGGAGTTTGAGACCAGCCTGGGCCATGACGAAACCCCATCTCTACAAAAAATGTACAAAAATTAGCCAGGTGTGGTGGTGCATGCCTGTAGTCCCAGCTACTTGGGAGGCTGAGGTGAGAGGATTGCTGCCTGGGAGGTTGAAGCTGCAGTGAATTGAGATCACACCACCGAACTCCAGTCTGAGCAATAGAGAGAGACCCTGTCTCAAACAAAACAAAACAAAACAAAACAAAACACTCCTCCATCTCCAAACCACATGAAACATTCTTGGAGAGGGGGACTGGGGAGGTTCTTCTGTGCACCCCTGAGCACCCTGCTTCCCTCTATCTAGAGGAAGGCCACATTGTCTGGTAAGTGCTTGTTTGCTGTCCCTCTTCCTTCATGAGACTAAACTCTCCAAGAACAGAGCCCTGGACTTGTCTGCATCTGCAGCAGGGAGCCCCTAGCTTTGTGATTCAAAATAGGCTTGTGGGCTTTTCATGAGAGGAAGAAATGGGTGAAAAATAATGATCATCAAAATGAAAGTTATTATTCATGCAAGATTTGGGGGGAGTCTGGCCTCCTGTATTCAAAATCTCATTTAAGGTCAAAAGACACTTGGGACCCATTTATCCCCACTGCACAGGTGAGCACACTGAGGATTTGAGAGGTAAAGAGTAGATCTCACAGCCAGTTAAGTGGTCGAAATACAAGTATGCCTGATTCCAATGCCCCAGTCGCCCCCAATTACTGCATGGACAGAGGGCAAATTGGCAGGCTAGCGGGTCTGCCTTTCTGGCCGATGGGGACCAAGAGCCCCAGACCCGCTCGGGTACCAGGGCCGCTTAGGCCCCGGCGTACCGGCGACGCGTGCGCAGTGCAGTGCGGCGCCCCCTGCAGGCAGCGCGCAGGAGACGGTAGCGGCGAAGGGGCGCTCAGTGCGCCTGCGCGCTTGTGGAGCTGGTGGCGGCGCTCCGCAGGGGCTCGGCTGTTTTCCGCGCGGCAGGCGCGGCCATGGCGCAGCTGGGAAAGCTGCTCAAGGAGCAGAAGTACGACCGGCAGCTGAGGTGAGCCGAGGCTCACCGAGCCGAGGGCGGGCCGGCGGGCTTTCCAGCATTCGGGCCGGGCCTAAGGGCGCGGGCGGCGCGGTCGGGCCTTCCTCAGGCCTTCTTCCAGGCTGGGCCGGGCCGTGCGGGGCGCGGGAAGCCGGCGCTCGGAGCTCCCGCCCTGGGCCAAAGGTGCTCCGCGAGGGCTGGGACCCCTTCCCCCGCCACGCGGTGTGCAGTTCGGGGGACGGGGTCCCCAGCGCCAGCCGGGTAGCTAAGGCGGCTGCCGGCCCCGTTGCGCCCAGGCTCCTCGTTTTCCGAATGGGGAGGCCCGGGGCGCACCGCATCCCGGCCGCGAGGGCGGCACAGAGGGTTAGGTTTTGTTCTCAGCCAGCGCTGTCCAATGGAAATAAAATGCTAGTCTCATGTGAGCCGCAAATGTAATTATAAATTTTCTAGTAACCACACTAAAGGTAAAATGAAACAGATGAAATTGATTTTTAAATACAATTTAACCCAATATGTCCAAAACATTACTATTTCAACACAATATAAAAAGTTCTTGAGATATTTTACTTAAATTTTTATTTTTATTTTTATTTTTGTTTTTGTAGAAACGAGGTTTTTGCCACCTTTCCCCAAGCTGGTCATGAGTATTTTCCTTTTTAAAACTGTCTTGGAGGACCGGCACGGTGGCTCACGCCTGTAATCCCAGCACTTTGGGAGGCCGAAGCGGGCGGATCACCTGAGGTCAGGAGTTCGAGACCAGCCTGGGCAACATGGTGAAACCCTGTTTCTATTTAAAAATTCAGAAATTAGCTGGGCGTGGTGGTGCGCGCCTGTAATCCCAGTTACTCTGGAGGCTGAGGCTGGAGAATCGGTTGAATCCAGGAGGTGTAGGTTTCAGGGAGCCGAGATCGTGCCACTGCACTCCAGCCTGGGTGACAGAGCGAGACTCCGTCAAAAAAGCCCCCCCAAAACTATCGTATAAATATTGTATTTTACACTTACCAGCACATCTCAGTTAACACTAGCCTCATTGCTTGTGCTCAGTAGTACATGTGGCTAGCAGCTACCTTAATGGACAGTGCAGGCCTAAGCCATCAGGAGGGTCCTTGGGTACTTCCCCACCCTTGCCTTTTCTCCTTGCACTACCCATTCCTTATTTATTGAGCGTCTTCTGTGTCTTGAGGCTGTGGAGATAACAAAGCTGCTCAGCTTTCCTCCTTCCTGGAGCCTCTGAGACAACAGAAGTTATATGTCCCCAAGGACTGGAGCTTCTGTTTGCGCCACCAGCCTAGTGCTGTAGTAGAGGCTTTAGGCACTTAGTTCTGAGAGTACCCTTGAAAGCAACCATTTCCTGTGCTTTACAGTTGGAGAAACAGAGTCTTGGAGAAGTTAGGTAATTTGCCCAGAGTTCCCCATATCTTTGAGCCAGGATGTAAACTAAGGCTCTTCTGGCTTTTTCGGAGGTACTCAGTTACATCCTGCTTCCAAGCTTTTCGGAGAAGAAACAGGGTAACAGTCCTTATAACCAACTTAGGTTTTCTTGTAAATTCTTGGAGTTCTTGTGTTTCTAATGCAGGTATAACTGTACATGACAGAGCTGAGAAGATAGTTGAGGTTACTAAGCAACTCTAACAAAAGAGGGTTTTTGCTGAGGGCATTCCATTTAAGTCCCAAACTTTACTTTCATAGTGAGAACTGGTTTTGAAGTGTCAAAGGGAAGCAGTTAGAAGCAAAATGCAGCAGTCAATAAGCCCCTCCTTACTTCACGTTAGTTGGGCCAGCAAGATAGTAGAGAGGACTGATTCATTTGGCCTATTCTTGAAACATGTTACTTAGAGACACACCAGGATTCTTTTTTTTTTTTTTTTCAGGGACAAGGTCTCACTTTGTGACCCAGGCTAGAGTGCAGTGGCTAGAGTGCAGTGGCAAGAACACTGCTCACTGCAGCCTCAACTTCCTGGGCTCTAACGATCCTCCTGCCTCAGCCTCTTGAGTAGCTGGGACTACAGGCATGTGCCACCATGCTTAGCTAACTGTTTTAGAGATGGGGGTTTGCCCAGGCTGGTCTCGTACCTCTGCACTCAAGTGATCCTCCTGCCTCAGCCTCCCAAAGTGCTAGGATTACAGGCATGAGCCACAGTGCCTGGCCTCAGTATTCTTTTTGTTTTATTTTTGAGGTGGGTCTCAGTATGTTACCCAGGCTGGAGTGCAGTGGCTGTTCGCAGGTATGATTATTGGCACACCACAGCCTTGATCTCCTGGGCTGGAGTGATCCTCCTGCCTCAGTCTCCCAAGCAGCTGGGACTACAGGCACACACACTATCTCACCCTGCTTGAGATGCACCAGTATTTTTTTTTTTTTTTTTTTGAGACGGAGTCTCACTGTGTTGCGCAGGCTGGAGTGCAGTGGCGCGGTCTTGGCTCACTGCAATCTCCGCCTCCTGCGTTCATGCGATTCTCATGCCTCAGCCTCCCTAGTAGCTGGGATTATAGGTGCGTGCCACTGTGCCTGGTTAATTTTTGTATTTTTAGTAGAGACGGGGTTTCACTATGTTGGCCAGCCTGGTCTCAAACTCCTGACCTCAGGTGATCTGCCTGCCTCCGCCTCCCAAAGTGCTGGGATTACAGGCGTGAGCCACTGCGCCCAGCCAAGATGCACCAGTATTCTTAAATTTACTCTCCAACTATCTAAGCATCCATCAACCATATATGTCAGGTGTCTTCTACGTGCCATACTTTGATGGAGAAAACAGGCGTTTACGGTCCATCTGGTTCTTCTAGGCGATTCCTCCATACATTTGACAGCTGTCTGGGCCCTTATGGAGCATACAGTGGAGTGGAAAGATGGATGCTCAGCAAACAAAAACAAATGAAGCCAGGTACAGTGGCTTGTGCCTGTAGTCCCAGCAACTCTAGAGGCTGAGGCGAGAGAAATGCTTGAACCCAGGAGTTCAAGACCAGTCTGGATAACATAGTAAGACCCTGTATCAAAAACAAAAACAAAAAACAAGGCAGTTGCTTGACATGCTCTGGAGGACATACTGACTACATAATAAGGGGTAATCTGCTTTAAATCAGGTAACAGGGAAGGCACATTAATCACTCTATTAGAATGTTCATTGGGTAATATACTTTAAAGCACTCCTGTAGAAGTTGATGTGAGGCTTTTCAGATGATAATTCAGTTTTCTTGGTAAAGCTTTTGCAGAAGTCACAGTAATAAGCCCTATGTCGAGATCTTAAATGCATCTAACTTAACTTAAATGCATCTAATATAATTTTTTTTTTTTTTGAGACGGAGTCTCGCTCTGTCGCCCAGGCTGGAGTGCAGTGGCGCAATCTCGGCTCACTTCAAGCTCCGCCTCCTGGGTTCACGCCATTCTTCTGCCTCAGCCTCCGAGTAGGTGGGACTACAGGCGCCTGCCACCACGCCCAGCTAATTTTTTGTATTTTTTAGTAGAGACAGGGTTTCACCATGTTAGTCACGATGGTCTCGATCTCCTGACCTCGTGATCCGCCTGCCTTGGCCTCCCAAAGTGTTGGGATTACAGGTGTGAGCCACTGCACCTGGCACATCTAACATAATTTAAGAATAAATGAAATAGGGCTGGGCACGGTGGCTCACACCTGTAATCCCAGCATTTTGGGAGGCCAAGTGAGCTGAGATCATGCCACTACACTCCAGCCTGGGTGACAGAGCAAGACTCTGTCTCAAAACAAAACAAAGAATAAATGAAATAGAAAACAGATGAGGGTTTAAATCCAAAGACGCTTTTTAAATGTTTGTTTGTTTGTTTTGAGACAGAGTGTCGCTCTTGTGCCCAGGCTGATAAGGGGCTGGAAGACCAAGTTTCTGTTTCTAATTTGACCCTCTCCCTCTTTTCCCCTAACCATTCAAGGCATCAACCTGAGTTCTAGATTACTGTATAATCACTATACTAATATCTGTTCCCGTCTTACCTGTATTCTGTGGTTATCATATCAGTCTATGCAAGGAAAGTTTAAAGATCACCATTCAAATAAGAAAGCTGTATTTTCATGAAAGTTTTAAAAACATCAAATTTGTGTCTGTTTTGTAGGTTGTGGGGTGATCATGGGCAAGAGGCTTTAGAATCTGCTCATGTTTGCCTAATAAATGCAACAGCCACAGGAACTGAAATTCTTAAAAACTTGGTACTACCAGGTAACGTAGGTTTGTGGTTGTGTTCTAAATATACTTCTTTAAGTTTATGACCTAGAACTATGTATTCCTGACTGACTCTGTTTTGGCTCTCAGGTATTGGTTCGTTTACAATTATTGATGGAAATCAGGTCAGCGGAGAAGATGCTGGAAACAAGTATGTTCTATTCTCTTCAAATATATTCACGTTAAGGAAGGCAAGGCCTGAGTCTTAGCTTCACCTCCTCAGTCAGGGTGACTCGACTCTCAGTGGAAATCATCCTTATGTTTGGGATTATGGTGAGGAAGTGAGATAATATAGGTAAAGTGCTAGTACAGCATCTGGCAAATAGGGCATTAATAAATGTTACCCATCATTACTGTCTTTATTGTTATTAATACAAAGGAGTAGTCGTTATTCCTTTATTCATGGAATATGGGCACTTCCTAAGCTCTTGTATTGATCCGTAGGTGTTAGCATATAATTAACAATAATGCCTGTTGTTTGTGATGTCTTTTAGGCTTAGTCTAGGGGTATCTCTCTTTACAGTGTCAACAAAAATGCTGTTTTAAAGATGGCCTGTATATTATTCTTTAAAGATTATATTTAGACTTTCAGAACATGCCCAAATTTGGATTTAAAGCTCACCTTTTCAGGGACTTGAAGTCTGGTATCTCTCATTGTGTTTGTCAGTAACAACAACAGTGAGTAAATATAAGGGAAACCAGCAATTAGTTCATATTTAGTTTTGATGCCTTTTCTTTGGATCGTAGTGCCAGTTTCTGCCAGGCACAGCACAGCTTTTTTATTGATATATACCAAGAAGTCTTGTTATCTTTGCTTACTTGGTGGGTTAGAGTAGAAAGTGATAAAAATAAGGTTTCTTCTTATGGAGCCAGTGAGCTTATACCGAAAAGTGGCATCCTGACTCTGATCAGCAGCCTCATATCTGGGCCTTGAGACATGTCAAGGGTATGTGTGGGAGGAAGCCTGAATAAATCTGTTACAGTTACGTGCAAAAACAAATGGTTCAATACACCGAGAGTGGTCTGTGGAACACCGGTTCTAGGGAACGATAAGAGCTGTTAAATGGGCCAATGGGTTCCATAGTGAAATTAGTTTGGGAAATGGATCAAATGAAGTAAAAATTTCTTTACCATAAGATTTTAGTATCACATGTATTATGTGTATTATGAATTTCCAAGAGGGAAATATAGTATATGGTGTTTCCCAAACTTTTTTTTTTTTTTTTTGAGACGGAGTCTTTCTCTGTCGCCCAGGCTGGAGTGCCGTGGTGCAATCTCGGCTCACTGCAAGCTCTGCCTCCCAGGTTCACGCCATTCTCCTACCTCAGCCTTCCGAGTAGCTGGGACTACAGGCGCCCGCCACCACGCCCGGCTAATTTTTTGTATTTTTAATAGAGACGGGGTTTCACTGTATTAGCCAGGATGGTCTCGATCTCCTGACTTCGTGATCCGCCCACCTCGGCCTCCCAAAGTGCTGGGATTACAGGCATGAGCCACCACACCCGCCGGTGTTTCCCAAACGTTTTTAGCCAAGGAACCCTTTTCTCTCAGAGGATCTTGTGAAATTCACATGCTGTGGTACACAATTTGGGAAAGAAACATTGATTTATTAGCCTATCTTTCTTTATAAGTTCCATCTGATTTTCTTCCTCCAGGAAGGCCATTACAGTCTGTAATCACAATATAGTTTGTTTTATACTGTGAATGAAATATGCATGCTATTACAAACAACTTTTCCTTTATAGTCAGTAAGCTTTACTTTTTTTTCCTTTATTCTGTTCACTTTAGTTTCTTCCTTCAAAGAAGCAGTATCGGCAAGGTAAACAATTAGAGAATATAGTTGGATGTGAGCATCTAATGATGCCCCTGTGTTTTGATTGCTTGAAAAGCTTTGACTTTAAAAACGTGTATTATTTCTCTGAGAAAAAAGTTAACTAATTTTTGTAATCTTGTAAATCTTCATATGTTTGGTAGTTTAAGAACTTAGAGGTGTACTGTCTGTGTTTATACATTGCATCCTGTATTAAAGCTAAATCTTGAGTAATGTTAATATTCATTCTGGTTAACAAATTTTTTTTTTTTGAGACGGAGTCTCGCTCTGTCCCCCAGGCTGGAGTGCAGTGGCGCGATCTCGACTCACTGCAAGCTCCACCTCCCAGGTTCACGCCGTTCTCCTCCCTCAGTCTTCCGAGTAGCTGAGACTACAGGCGCCCACCACCACGCCTGGCTAATTTTTTGTATTTTTAGTAGAGATGGGATTTCACCGTGTTAGCCAGGATGGTCTCGATCTCCTGACCTTGTGATCCACCCGCTTCAGCCTCCCAAAGTGCTGAGATTACAGGCATGAGCCACCACGCCCAGCCTAAAAAATCTTACAAAACCATGTTAGTCAACTTAGTGAAATGACTTTTAGCTTAGTGATTAACCACTCTTGTACAGGATTATAGATGTGGGTGGTTAGAGTGAGTCTGAACTTGATCCAGGATATCCCTGCCTGCTACCCAGAGTTTTTTGGTCATTTGCCTAATCAAAAAAGTAGAGTACAAGTAATGTCATTTGAGAACTCTGGATGATGATGGTTTTGCTCTGTTTTAAGTAATATTCTGTTGAGTCTTAAACACTAGGAGAAGCAGAATTGGCTGGGAGCAGTGGCTCACGCCTGTAATCTCAGCACTTTGGGAGGTCAAGGCAGGAGGATTGCTTGAGACCAGGAGTTCAAGACCAGCCTGGGCAACATGTCAAGACCCTGTCTCTACAAAATATTTTTTTAAAAAATTAGCTGGGCATGGTAGCACATGCCTGTAGTCCCACCTACTTGGGAGGCTGAGGCAGGAAGATTGCTTAAGCCTAGGAGTTCAAGGCTGCAGTGAGCTATGATCAGGCCACTATGCTACAAACTGGGCAACAGAGCAAAAGCCTGTCTCTAAAAAGAAAAAAGAAGGGAAACAGAGTTGTCATACTTATGCATGAAATTTGGATAGTTTTACAGTATGTTTGCCTGTTCCATAAATTGGGGGATTATATTGTGACCAAGTTTTTTCTAATTCAAGTTAAATGCTTTGTTTTTAAAAAGAACCGAGCTGAAGCTGCCATGGAATTCTTACAAGAATTAAATAGCGATGTCTCTGGAAGTTTTGTGGAAGAGGTATATATGTACACACATTATTATGTCTGTGCTGAAATACAATTTTTTAAATAATTCAAAGCCCCAGAAATTTAGAATTTTGAATCTTTGTGTCATTTATGATTAGTTGAATTGGAATTGTTGCCTCATTTGTTGTAAAATAGCTTAACTGTCTCTGCCATGTTTAATATGATTGTGAAATTGGTTTTTTTTGTTTGTTTTTTTCTTTGCTGTCCTGTTTAGAGTCCAGAAAACCTTCTAGACAATGATCCCTCATTTTTCTGTAGGTTTACTGTTGTAGTTGCAACTCAGCTTCCTGAAAGGTAAATTTTTATGTTAATATGTTTTTATTTTAATCTTATTAGATTTGCATTGTTTTATTTTCTTTGCACAGTCTATGATGATATGGTTTTAAAAATTGTTAAATTCTATAGAAACTTTAAATATGAAACTTTTTTTTTTTTTTTTTTTTTGAGCTTGAGCTCAAATTCCTGAGCTCAAGCAATGCACCCTCCTCGGCCTCCCAAAGTGTTGGGATTACAGGTGTGAGCCAACGTGCCTGGTCAAGAGTTTCAGATTTATGGCTGGGCACGGTGGCTCATGCCTGTAATCCCAGCACTTTGGGAGGCCGAGGCAGGTGGATCACGAGGTCAGGAGATTGAGACCATCCTGGCCAACATGGTGAAATCCCATCTCTACTAAAAATACAAAAATTAGCTGGGCGTGGTGGCTCACGCCTATAGTCCCAGCTACTCGGGAAGCTGAGACAAGAGAATCGCTTGAATCAGGGAGGTGGAGGTTGCAGTGAGCCAAAGATCGTGCCACTACACTCCAGCCCTTGTGACAGAGTTAGACTCTGTCTCAAAAAAAAAAAATAAATAAATAAATAAATAAATAAAAGAAATTCTTAGAAATCTTCCAGCATTGAAAAGATGAGGAAGAGAAAAATACTGAAACTTTTTTTTTTATTATTATTCTTTAGACAGAGTCTTGCTCTGTTGCTCAGGCTGGAGTGCAGTGGCACAATCTTAGCTCACTGCAACCTCTGCCTCCTGGGTTCAGGTAACTCTCGTGCCTCAGTCTCCCAAATAGCTGGGATTATAGGCATGTGCCACCGTGCCCGGCTAATTTTTGTATTTGTAGTAGAGACGGGGTTTCACCATGTTGGCCAGGCTGATCTCAAACTCCTGGCCCCAAGTCATCTGCCTGCCTCAGCCACCCAAAGTCCTGGGATTACAGTTGTGGAGCCACCAAGCCTAACCTTAGATGTGAAACTTTTGGAATATATTTAGAGCAGTTAAACCGAACATTGTTTTTTTGTTGTTGTTGTTTTTGTTCTTTGTTTGTTTTAGTGATTAAAAACTAGTTAGAATTGATTATTGAAGGCTGGGTGCAGTGACTCATGCCTGTAATTCCAGCAGAACCAGGCTGAGACAGGTTCAGATCACTTGAGCACAGGAGTTTAAGACCACCTGGGCAACATGGCAAAACCTTGTGTCTACAAAAACTACAAAATTTAGCCAGATGGTGTGCCTGCTTGTGGTCCCAGCTACTCAGGAGGCTGGGATGGGAGAATCACTTGAGCCTGGGAGGTCGAGGCTGCAGTGAGCCATGATCATGCCACTGCACTCCAGCCTGGGCAACAGAGAATTGGTTATTGGAATTGTTAGGGGTGTATTTGTGGGTTTTATATTTTTTCTCTATCATGGAAATGTTTAGAATTATCTTTCTTTAACGTTTCTCCTTAATATGACAGACTAAAGTTTCACATCCCTCTTGTCCAAAGATGTACTTTCTTTGAGACTGCAGCCTGTGGAAATGCTTGCTTTTCAGTGTGTTCTTGACCTGCTTATGTAAATGCAGTTATGTACCTTTGCATCTATTATTTAGTAAGAAAGTTGCTGTAAGACATTTTCATGTTTTGCATGTTTTCATGTTTGGCATATTTCCATTTGCTTATGTTCATATTTTGCTTTTTTTTTTTAAACAGCACTTCACTACGCTTAGCAGATGTCCTCTGGAATTCCCAGATTCCTCTTTTGATCTGTAGGACATATGGACTAGTTGGTTATATGAGGATCATTATAAAAGAACATCCAGGTAAAATTGTTGAGCATATGGGCTTACTATTGGTTGCTTTAGCTATAATTTTAGAAACTTGACAATTTAGAAAGTCAGTTTTAAATTACAAAGTAAATTTGTAGCAGCACATCTCTAGTTGCAGATTCAAAGTGGCAATCAGATTCAATAGGCTGCAATCTACTCTTTATGTAGCATTATAGAAGGATACAAAGCATGATATACCACAGGCACAGCTTCTTCATCTTATTAGGAGATCCAGCAACTATGCAAGTACCCAGCTTCTTTTGCCCCCTAACCCACATTGGGCATGTATGGCTGTGGAGAGCTAAGGAATGTGGATCACTCTGACCCATGAAGTTACACCACCTTTCCCCACTCCAGTCTTTTTTTTGTTTTTTAAGACAGAGTTTCGCTCTTGTTGCCCAGGCTGGAGTACAATGGCACAATCTTGGCTCACTGCAACCTCCACCTCCCGGGTTCAACTGATTCTCCTGCCTCAGCCTCCCAAGTATCTGGGATTACAGGCACCCGCCACCATGCCCAGCTAATTTTTTTTTTTTTTTTTTTGAGACGGAGTCTCTCTCTTTTGCTCAGGCTGGACTGCAGTGGCGCGATCTTGGCTCACTGCTACCTCCACCTCCCGGGTTCACGCCATTCTCCTGCCTCAGCCTCCCGAGTAGCTGGGACTACAGGCGCCCGCCACCGTGCCCGGCTAATTTTTTGTATTTTTAGTAGAGATGGGGTTTCACCATGTTAGCCAGGATGGTCTCAATCTCCTGACCTCGTGATCTGCCCGCCTTGGCCTCCCAAAGTGCTGGGATTACAGGCGTGAGCCACCGCACCCGGCCGCCCAGCTAATTTTTTGCATTTTTAGTAGAGACAGGATTTCACCATGTTGGCCAGGCTGGTCTCGAACTCCTGACCTCAGGTGATCCACCCGCCTTGGCCTCCCAAGGTGCTGGGATTACAGGTGTGAGCCACTGCACCAGGTCCGTCCAATCTTTTATTTCATTCTCATGCAGGCTTTAGGTTCTCTCAATTCAGGTGCAATTTCACACAACAAAGACATTTACATAACTACTGTTCCCAAGGAAACTGTTGTAAGAGACCAAAGTCGTTTATAGGCAGACCTCCATCAGCTGAGGGTTTATATAAGCCCTTTACTTATAAAATTTTAATCTTAGATGATCATAAAATTTTCATCCAGTATTCAAAACAGTGCTCTTTATTGACTCAAGAAAACATTTTTACTATGAGCCAAGCACTCTGCTAATGTGGTGATAGCCATTGGCATTGGTAGCATCACTGAGGAGTAATATCTGTGTGGGCAGTTAGGGAGTGCTTGTCAGGATAAGCTCTGGCTGCTGGTGGTGAGCCATTTAAGAGTTGAAAGTGGTGTCAACTGATGGGAGGGAACAAAAGAGTTGAAAGTGGGAGAGTGACCATGTAAACATTTTATTTTAAATGGGTCACTTTGAAGTTGAGTGGAAAGTAAATGGATTTAAAGGGGCAAAGATTGGAGGCAGTGATTGCTGTTAGAAATTTCCAGTGGCCTAAGTAAGAGAGAGTGTGTTCTTTTTCCTAATTTAGGGAAGAGAAGAAGAGAGGGTAGATAATAATGAAGGTTCAGCATTACTAGTTGTGTGCCTGCCTTTATAAGAATTATTTCATTTACTCTTTCCAAAACCTTTATAAGGTACAGATTGAGTATCCTTAATCCAAAAATCCAAAATCAGAAATGCTCCAAAATGCAAAACTTTTTGAGAACTGACATAATATTCAAAGGAAACACTCATTGGAACATTTCTTACTTCAGATTTTTGGGTTAGAGAGCTCATCTAATATGTATTTGCAAATATACCAAAAACTCAACAAAATCCAAAACACTTATGGTCCCAAGCATTTTGGATAAGAGAGATATACAATCTGTAGATACTTTAATATCTGCTTTTTATAGATGATGCTGAGGCAATGAGAGATTAAATTATTTGCCTAAGGTCACATAGTTAGCAAGTGACAGAACTGGGCCTACCTCTAAGCACTCACTGAAATTATACACTCTCCTGTCCTCTCTCATGTGGAGAGCAGTGTACAGAGTGAGATTAGGAAGTGGGGAGTTACTGATGTTGGGGCCAAGGAAGCAAGAAGTGAAGGATGCCCATCAGGTTTCTGGAGAAGAAGTCTAGGTAGATGGTGATGCTGTCTATTGAAGACCACAAGAGGAGGAAGGATAGGTTGTTAGTTGCTATCTGTACCTAGGGTTTGTCAATGTTGAGCTTTTCCAGTTAGAACAAATTGTGTTCTAAAGGAATCTTGGTTTTACTTTTACTAAAACTTTATAGTTGACTTAAGATTTCTGCATTTTACTATATGTAAATCGTACCTTAATAAAACAGTGAAAAAACCTGTGGGCCCTGTGTCCATTTAAAAATTAAAGATTTCCTAAGTTTCTATAATTCAATGTATTGTCATCAGTATTGCCAAAGAATTAAGTTTATCTTTTGAGCTGGGCACGGTGGCTCACACCTGTAATGCAAGGACTTTGGGAGGCCGAGGCAGGAGGAGCCCTTGAATCCAGGAGTTTGAGACTAGCCTGGGTGACATAGTGAGACCCTATCCCTACAAAAAAATTAGCTGGGCACAGTGACACGAGACTGTAGTCCCACCTTCTCAGGAGGCTGAGGTGGGAGGATCCCTTCAGCCCAGGAGTTTCAGCAGTGAGCTGTGATTGTGCCACTGTACTTCAGCCTGGGTAATACAGCAAGACCCCATCTCTCTCTTTTTTTTTTTTAAGTGTTAAATTTATCCTTTTGAATTCTTTGTTTCACAGTAATAGAATCTCATCCAGATAATGCATTAGAGGATCTACGACTAGATAAGCCATTTCCTGAACTGAGAGAACATTTTCAGTCCTATGATTTGGATCATATGGAAAAAAAGGTTGGTAGTGTGTGTGACCTTACATTTACAGATAGACTTAAAACATTTTTTTAACCTAAGGTTTTTGAATTACACTAAAGTGAGAAAATCCTATAAACTTCCATATTCCTGTCATCCCGATTACCCAATAACAGTATTTTACCTTGTTTTCAACATATTAATTTTTCTCCAAAATTAAAAAACTTTTTTACTGAAGAAAAGTACATATACTGAACATCTGTGTAATCACTACCCAGGTCAAGAAATTGGACATTAACCTATTCCAGGTGGGGAGATGGGGATGGTTAATGGGTACCAAAAAAAAATTAGAAAGAATAAATAAGATTTACTCCTTGAAAGCACAACAAGGTGACTATAGTTAGTAATAACAACTCAGTTATACATTTTAAAATAATTAAAAGAGTTTAATTGGATTATTTGTAACATAAAGGATAAACGCTTGAGGGGATAAATGCTATACAGATACCCCATTCTCCATGATGTGCTTATTTCACATTGCATGCCTGTATCAAAGCATGTACCCCATAAATATATACACCTAAGTACCCACAAAAATTGAAAGTAAAAAATTTTAAAACAAAAAACAGAAATAAAAAAATTCCAAGAAGTTCTCTTTATGGACTTTTTCTAAACAAATAGAAATAATGACATAACACTATAAGGCGTATATGTATTTTTTCCCACTTCCATATTAATTAACATGCAGTTGCTTATTTGGTTCATCAGAAAACAGAAAAGATCCTCCTTTCTTACTTAGGATTGGTGTCTGAAATTGAGATTTGAGCTGTGTTTTTGGGTGGCAGTCTCTGAGACTGTTTTGCTGGTATAATGGGGACAATCATAGTATATATGTGACATACTAGGTATCTGCCTCTAGAAAAATTTGTAAAGCAGTTTTTATTAACTCAGTTCATTTTCGTCTATTCACTACTCTGCATATATTAGGAGATCATAAATATTGTTGAATTTGTTGAAAACGAGATGGTACAGTGAAGAATTCATAATACTGATATTTTCTTTTATTTGTCTCTCATTTTTAGGACCACAGTCATACTCCATGGATTGTGATCATAGCTAAATATTTAGCACAGTGGTATAGTGAAGTATGTCCTTTTTTAAAAAAAATTTCATATGCAACTGTATTTTCAGTTTCTTACAAAGGATTTCCTTGATGGGGAATGGGAGATTAATTTTTTTTCCTTATGGAGTTGTATGGTAGGGCAAATGGATGCTTTTAAATTTAAATCTAGCAGTTCCTCTTTTGATCCTGATAATTTTAATTAAAATGAAATTCAATAAATGTCATTATGAAACTGGCAGGGGGAATGAATGTAGATAAATGGTCACAGTGTCTGTTTTCTATCAAGTGAGCCTCTGATTTCACAGAGAAATATATTTGTTGATGAAATCTTATGTAGAGAATGGGGGACACTTTAGACTTTCAATTTCTGTATTTTGAATTTTAATAACTAGATTTTTAAAATTTTTAACCAATTTAGACAAATGGACGAATACCTAAAACGTATAAAGAAAAAGAGGACTTCAGAGATTTGATTAGACAAGGTAATATGGGATATGATTAAATACTGTATAAAGCTTGAAAAGCAAATTGCTAGAGGCAGGTACTTATTGGATTTCTGTTAACACCTTTGTCAGATGATAGCATCATGAGCTTTTATTTTCCTTCTGGAGAAGTTAAGAAGCCACGCCTTGTATAGTTTTAAGGACTAATGATAAGCCGTATTTCTTCTTAAGATTTAATATTCTGCAGGATCTGACAAGGTTATTTTTATAATGGGGGAACAGAAGAGTGAAAAGAAAAGGGCTGTTTGCTAACAATTTCCCATTACAATAGGAATTCTAAAAAATGAAAATGGGGCTCCAGAAGATGAAGAGAATTTTGAAGAAGCTATTAAAAATGTGAACACAGCACTAAATACAACTCAGGTAATGAAAGAGTTGCTGAGGGATTCACATGAACAAGATGTTTTCTAGAGTCCTTGGCTATTAAATGGTTGACTATAATGATTTAAGTTAATATTTTCTAAATGTATAGTTAGAAATAAATACAGGGCCGGGCATGCTGGCTCATCCCAGCACTTTGGGAGGCTGAGGCGGGTGGATCACCTGAGGTCAGGAGTTCGAGACCAGCCTGGCCAACATAGTGAAACCGCGTCTCTACTAAAAATACAAAAATTAGCTGGGCATGGTGAACATACCTGTAATCCCAGCTATTCGGGAGGCTGAGGCAGGAGAATCACTTGAACCCAGGAGGCAGAGGTTATAGTGAGCCAAGATTACACCACTGCACTCCAGCCTGGGCAACAGAGTAAGACTCCGCCTCAGATGCCTTTGGTTTTGTTATGGCTTAGTTGTTGAGGTCTGACCATTGAAGTTTTTGGGGAGCTTTGGAATAACACCTGGTAGTTTAAGTTAGAATTTTCTTGTAACTTAAAACAGCAAATATGCTGCCTTTCAAGTTAGGAAGGCACGTAAGATATTATTACCAACTTTTTAGAGACAACAAGGCAGTGTTGCTGAGTGATTAAAAGTGTGCTGGCTGGGGCCAGGCGCGGTGGCTCACACCTGTAATCCCAACACTTTTGGGAGGCCGAGGAGGGCAGATCACATGAAGTCAGGAGTCCAAGACGAGCCTGGCCAACATGGTGAAACCCCATCTCTATTAAAAATACAAAAAATTAGCTGGGCATGGTGGTGGGCACCTGTAATCCCAGCTGCTTGGGAGGCTGAGGCAGGAGAACCGCTTGAACCTGGGAGGTGGAGATTGCAGTGAGCTGAGATCTCATCAGTGTACTCCAGCCTGGGCAACAAGAGCGAGACTCTGTCTCAAAAAAAAAAAAAAAAGTGTTTGCTGGCCAGGTGTGGTGGCTCACACCTGTAATCCCAACACTTTGGGAGGCCAGGGCAGAAAGATTGCTTGAGCCCAGTTCAAGACCAGCCTGGACAACGTAGGGAGATCTTGTCTCTACAAAAAATTTAAAAATTAGATGGGTGTGGTGGCATGCACCTGTAGTCTCAGCTACTCTGGAGCCTAAGGTAGTGGGAGGATCGCTTGAGCCTGGGAGGTTGAGGCTGCAGTGAGCCATGATTGTGCCACTGCACTGCAGCCTGGGCAATGATATGAGACCCTGTGTCCAAAAAATAAATGTGCTTTGTGAATCACTTTTCTGGGGTGATGAACATTTTCTGTTTTAATTGGGGTTATGGTTAAAAATATGTATATATAGTTATCAAAATGCATTGAATTGGACATTTGAAATCTCTGTATTTCACTGAATATAAAACCACAGTTGAAAAGAAAAGATTCTAATAGTTGGGGGGCAGTAAGCTAAATAAACAGATAAAAATGCACCAGGTGCTGTGAACAAAATTACAGCAGAACAAAGGGTCAGAGAGCATGCTGGGGACAAGGGAATCCGGGGTTGAGAGACAATTGTACATAGGGAGCCAGGGAGACTTTCCAAAAGACATTTAAGCAGAAGCCTGAGTGAAGTGACACGCAGAGGTCTGGTGGAAGAGCTTTTCAGTTGGAGGGAGCACATGTGCAAAGGCCCAGAAGTGGGATGAAGCTTGACTTTTGTTCAAGCATCAGTAAGCAAGTCAGTGTGATTGGAGTGAAGTGTAAAAGGGGGAAAAGTGGTAGGAAGGATTTGAGTTTGGAGAGGCAGAAAGGGCCAGATCATAAAGGCCTTGCAGGCTATTTAAGCATTTCAGTCAGGGAAGTGGATTGAGCTGCTTTGTATTCTAAAAGACCATTCTGGCTTTCATGAGGAGAACACAATTGAGGGGACTGGGAGTGGAAGCAGAGAGAGCAGTTAGGAGGTCCCACTGAGACATTTCTTTTTTCCACCCATCAGTAGAATCCAAGCCTATGATTTGTGTGTGTGTGTGTGTGTATTTTTTTTTTTTTTTTTGAGACAGGGTCTCACATTGGTGCCCAGGGTAGAATGCAGTGACACAATCACTGCTCACTGCAGCCTTGACCTCCTGGGCTCAAGTGATCCCCCCACCTCAGCCTCCCAAGTAGCTGGGACCACAGGCACGTGCCACCACGCGCAGCTAATTTACTTTTATGTTTTCTATAGACGGGGTCTTCCTGTTTTGTTCAGGTTGGTCTCAAACTCCTGGGCTCAAATGACCCTCTCACCTTGGCCTCCTGAATGCTGGGATTATAGATATGAGCCATTGTGCTCAGCTTTATACTCTTGATTAACGTATGAAGATCTTGCTAGCAATAAAATTACTTTATGGTTTTAGTTTTTTTCAGAGTGGTTGTCTCAACGGTCACTAATTAGGGTGCAAGGGTTTCAGATTTTTGACAAGATGGAAAATCATGATATACTGCGAGTCTATAATCTGTTTTGTCTTCAGATGTAACTATATAAAATAATTTACTGGGGCCCCTTCTTTACCCCATTTATGGTATAAGAGAATAGGTATTAAATGGTAGCAACAGTGGGCCGGAGAGGTCTTTCTTCCATTCTTTCCCCATCAAATCTTCATATGGTACTGATTCTAAATAAAATTATAAACCAATCAGAAGTTTGTATTTGATTACAATTTGAGAATTCAAAGAACATATCTGAAGAAATAGCACTGAAAATAAAGATGGGCGAATTCTTAATACTGTGTAAGTAAATGTTTCATGTTCCTTTGTTAGATCCCAAGCAGTATTGAAGATATATTTAATGATGATCGCTGCATAAATATCACCAAACAGGTAACAACAACAAAAGTAAAAACATTGCTGCTAAAACTTTGGGTCAAAGTAAAACGCCACTTAATGTTAATTTTTTCTTATTCTTTTAGACTCCATCATTTTGGATTTTAGCTCGTGCCTTAAAGGAATTTGTGGCCAAAGAGGGTCAAGGAAATTTACCTGTTCGAGGCACAATTCCTGATATGATTGCAGATTCAGGCAAATATATAAAACTGCAAAACGTGTATGTCACTGTTTTCAAACTATGTAATAGAAAAAGTCTGATTATATTAGAGATAAACATTTTATCATCCTGTCAGAAATCAAATGAAAGTTTATTACAACCTCATTGCTTATAAATAAACTAGGCCAGCTGCAGTGGCTCATGCCTGTAATCCCAACACTTTGGGAGGCCAAGGTGGGAGAATTGCTTGAGTCCAGGAGTTTGAGACCATCGTGGGCAACATAGTGAGACTTCCATCTCTACAAATTGAAAAATTAGGTGGGCATGGTAGTGTTCGCCTTTAATCTCAACTACTCAGGAGGCTGAGGCAGAAGGATCTCTTGAGCTCAGGAGTTTGAGGCTGCAGTGAGCCATGATCATGCCACTTCACTTCAGCCTGGGTGACAGAGCAAGACCCTGTTTCAAATAAATAAGTAAAAATAAGCTGAAGAACTTAGACCAGGCTGGGCGCAGTGGCTCACACCTGTAATCCCAGCGCTTTGGGAGGCCGAGGCAGGCGGATCACGAGGTCAGGAGATTGAGACCATCCTGACTAACACGGTGAAACCCTGTCTCTACTAAAAATACAAAAAAATTAGCCGGGCGTGGTGGCAGGCGCCTGTAGTCCCAGCTACCCGGGAGGCTGAGGCAGGAGAATAGCGTGAACCCGGGAGGCGGAGCTTGCAGTGAGCGGAGATCGCACCACTGCACTCCAGCCTGGGCGACAGAGTGAGACTCTGTCTCAAAAAAAAAAAAAAAGAACTTAGGCCGGGCGTGGTGGCTCACGCCTGTAATCCCACCACTTCGGGAGGCCGAGACGGGTGGATCACAAGGTCAGAAGATCAAGACCATCCTGGCCAACATGGTGAAACCCTGTCTCTACTAAAAAAATACAAAAAATTAGCCAGGTGTGGTGGTGCGCACCTGTAGTCCCAGCTATTCGGGAGGCTGAGGCAGGGGAATCGCTTGAACCCAGGAGACGGAGGTTGCAGTGAGCCAAGATCGTGCCACTGCACTCCAGCCTGGAGACAGAGCAAGAGTCCGTCTCAAAAAAAAAAAAAAAAAAAAAAAGAACTTAGGGGGCAATTCTTGTTAAGCTCAAAGCAAAATTGAATGGGAAATACAGAATTACCACATACGCCTAGGAGGCAGAGTTTTTTTTCATACTTCATGATAAACTTAATATTTGATCCCTTAACTCTGTGCTATGAACTATATGTATTAAGTAATTTAACACACACACAAGGTTCACAACGACCTTATGAGAGAGAGAGAGACTGTTACCGGCCCCATTTTACACATGAAGAAACTAAGGTATTGAAAAGGTTACTTATACAAGGTCAGATAGCTGGTAAATGGCAGAACCAAGATTTGAACCCCAGGAAACCCAGTACCAGAGCCTGTATGCTTAGCTATGGCCCTATACTACCTTGTATTTGTAACTTAAAACCATGAAGGTTTGATGAATTTTTTATCTTAATGTTTCATAAGTTATAGTCTATGACTATAGCTAGACATCTTGCTATCCAGGTATCACTAGCCTGAACCCAGATAGACTATCACAGGGATGGGTCTCAATGAATATGACCCTCGTATAGTTAGGGCATGGTGCAAAGAATCCAGGTCTGCTGGCTCGGTTTCTTTGGGGTCCAAGTAATGTCACACAGAGATGATCTCTCTTCCCCAGACAGATTTCACTCTTTATCATGTCACCATTGAACGAATCTTGGTTTGTTGTCCTAGCCTAAGAGTTCAACTACTTAAAACTTGGGGAAGGTCAATTGAGGATAGAAAGAAGTATGACCTTACATGGGAGGTAGTCAGCCTGAACACTGATGATTTTTAGAGGGTGAAAGGTAAATAGACGTAAAGAAAACTTTTATGGCCGGATGCAGTGGCTCACACCTGTATTCCCAGCACTTTGGGAGGCCAAAGCGGGTGGTGAAATGTGCCACAAGGGATGTTCACAGTTGTTTTAAATGGTTGAAATTTTACGTTTTCCATGGTCTGTCTCAGTGGTATAGATACAGATAATAATTGGGTAAGGGTTTTTTTTTCCTCTCATAATAAATACAGAGTATTTTAAAACAATCAGAGGTAGAGCATGTTTATCTATGGCAATGCTAAAAAGGTATGAAGGTCAGTTAATTGAAAATTGTCATTAATACAGTATTTTCAGTTTCTAAATCACTTGAACCCAGGAGTTCAAGACCAGCCTGGGCAACATGGTGAAACTCCGTCTCTACAAAAAAGACAAAAATTAGTCGGGCATGGTAGCGTGTGCCTGAATTCCCAGCTACTTGGGAAGCTGAGGTGGGAGGATCAGTTGAGCGTGGGAAGTTGAGGCTGCAGTGAGCCAGGACTGCGCCACTGTACTCCAGCCTGGGTGGCAGAGCGAGATCCTGTCTCAAAAAACAAAGAAGTTTTACATTGGAGATGAACAGTTTTAATGTATTTAACTTTCCTTGGACTTGACTTCCAGGAGATAAGTCATGTTCTTCAGTAATGTATTTTTTCAGGTCCTCTGTCACAGAAGCCGAAATCATAGATCCCTCTAGGGGAGCAGTTTTTAAGTTGGGTGCTGTTAGAGGGACCCTGGGTTTTAGTGGGCACTGAGAGTCCGTCACTAACACTGGAAAGATTCCCAGCTACTCATGGTGCTGTTGATAGCATTTCCCTGGCATTTTCACATTTCATACATTGTCAGACCTGTGTTTTTTCATGAAAAGGAAAGAAAATTTTTGTTCATGGTAACAATTTAAATTTTGCTAATTTAAAAATTTGTTAGTAATTGCTTTTTATTCTTTTTTAGTTACCGTGAAAAAGCAAAGAAAGATGCTGCCGCTGTGGGTAATCATGTTGCCAAATTGCTGCAGTCCATTGGCCAGGTAAGCTACTGGGCACACTGTGCCCATACAGGCCTCAGCACGTAACTCCAGCCAGAAAGGGTTTAGAGACAGAGGGTGTGGCACTGCCTCTGTGCTTCTTTAGAGGGAGCTGTCATTTCCCTGCCTAATGGGATAGCTTGTGATAAGGAAACAAGATATTTTTAAAGTGCTCTCCCAGCTCTTGGAGAAAGCCTTCCCATCTCACAGTGATTGGCTTTGTGCCGCACCCTTTGTTAATCTTCTCTTTTAAACTGGAACAGAATCTGTATTTATCTCTTTACAGGCACCAGAGTCCATTTCAGAGAAAGAATTAAAATTACTCTGTAAGTCCCCTTGAATTAATTTCCTTATTTTGCTTGATAGAAATGTGCCACAGGGAATGTTCCCAGGTATTTTGAATGGTTGAAATTTTAAGTTTTCCATGGCCTCAGTGATATAGATATAGATAATTATTGGGTAAGGTTTTTTTTTTCCTCTCATAATACAATACATGGCGAGTATTTTAAGACTGAATCAGAGGTAGAACATGTTTATCTGTGGCAATGCTAAAAAGGCTTGACGGTCAGTTAATTGAAAATTGCCATTAATACAGGATTTTCAGTTTTTAAATTTTAAGTAATTTAGGAAGTTTTTTTGTCTGAAGACTTTGGGTGTGAAGTCTTGAGTCACATGTACATTGACAATATTGGTTTAAATACTCATTTTGATCTGTGTTAAATGACTGTAATGGAGTTAAGAATTTTGCCATCTAGTTTCGGAGTGGTTAGGTTCGTAGGAGTCTTCTCAGTAACTCCTCAGTAGGCCAAAAGCATTTTCTTTTATTTAAGAGTCAGTTTCAAAATACCCAATCTGTTGTGCATGCCATCTGAAGATTTCTCCCTGTAGCTACTGCTCCTACGTCCTGTGGAAGTTTATATTTTGCATGCTCCCCATCCTTAAAATAGATTTATCCAAGCTTTCCATTTTATGACTTCTCCACAATGTCTGTTTAGGCTCGGTTTTAATGTTTTCTGCCACTACTAATCTTGCACCTTGTTTGTTCTATTAGACTAATCTTGAATTAGCGTTTGTTGTATTAGATTATATAATACTAGATCACAAGTTTGATGCTGGGTATTTGAACATTTATTATTCTGTTCTACTTTGGGGCGTTTTTGAAAATTTCAATAATACAAAGCTTAAAGTCATTACATATATCAAGAGTACAATTCATAAACCTCTCTCCTTTAGGACTACTTATCCATAATAATGATGAAAACTATTATTTTTAGAGCCATATCAGGCATTGTGCTAGAGATGCACTTTATACAGATGTCACATTTAATCTGTAGAACAATTCTCAAAGGTAAACAGTATCATCCCCATTTTACACTTGAAAACTGAGGTTCAGAGAGGCCATCACCTTACTTGCTTCTGAACTGGTTGTAGTGCCAGGGATATAAATTTAAGGTGATTCATGTTCTAGTGCTTTCTCTGCTATTAGAACCAAGGAGAAAACATTTCTTCACATTCTCATGTCTGAGAAGGGTATACACATAATTCTCTGTTCTTAAAGTCACCTGTGATTCATAATATTCACCAGTCACAGTCATTACTTCCAGAATATCTTTCCTCTGTTCAGGCAGCAATTCTGCATTTCTTCGAGTGGTAAGATGTCGATCCTTAGCTGAAGAATATGGTTTGGATACAATTAACAAGGATGAAATTAGTAAGTATAATAGCCTTCTGATTCTGGGTTAATTTTAATTAATTTAAAAGATATAAATATTTTGTGTATAATAGTGTTGAGTATATGGTGATGATATTAAAGATAACGTAAACATATTCTAATTTTATTCTAAGCTTATCTAGGTAATTATAATTTATATATTATATGAAACTTAATGTATGCATAAAGTCATATTTAGGTCACTGAGTCCATTGTGTGATATGTATGAGTTAAAGTCAGTATGTTACTACTTCAGTAGAGATTGTGTGACTCCAGTTAATAGTCCTGAAACTCAAGTATATAGTAAATTCAGCCCTTCATTGTTTGTTACATTGCAAATTAACCAAATTAAACTGAAATTTTTTTTCCTTTCAGTTTCTAGCATGGACAATCCAGATAATGAAATAGTGTTGTACTTAATGTTACGGGCTGTTGATAGATTTCATAAACAACAGGGTAGATATCCAGGTAAGAATAGCAATTGAATTACCAGATATAATAAGATCTTCAATAAAACATTTAAATTGAAAGTGTTCTCAGGGTATTTATAATAGTGTTGCTTGAATTTCACATTGTAAACAGATTACACCCCAAACGTTCCCCAGTGAAGAACCACCTTTTGTTTTTTAAGTTTAACTATTTGCAAAATAGTGTTCGATTCTAAACTATTACAGGGGGATGTTGGTTGAATATGTATAGAAGAAAACTTTTTTCTGTCATTTTCCATAGTTTGTTACTAAGACTCACACTGAGTTTAATTTAGTGGAATAGGAAAGCCACAAGAAATATGCTGGCCAGGCATAGTACGGTGGCTCACGTCTGTAATGCCAGCACTTTGGGAGACTGATTCAGGCAGATTGCTTGAGCCCAGGAGTTGGAGACCAGCGTGGGCAACATGGTGGAACCCCATCTCTACTGAAGATACAAAAAATTAGCCAGACATGGTGGTGTGCACTTGTAGACTCAGCTACTCGGGAGGATCACCTGAGCCTGGGAAGTTGGGGCTACAGTGAGTTGTGATTGTGCCACTAAACTCCAGCCTGGGTGACTGTGGTGAGACTGTCTCAAAAAAAAAAAAAAGTATGCTACTAATTTCTGAACTCAATAACTCTGAAGATGTAGGAATTTCTTTGTTTAGTTATCTACTTTTTATCTTCAGCAAATGTAGTCATTGGAGAATTGGCATAATCTCAAAGATCTGAGGTTGCTCAGAATATTTTTCTTTGGGATGATAATTTTAATTGTGCAGGATTATTGCATAGCAACACATTCTAGGGGTATCATAAAACCTGCTGCTCCATCTGATACAGTGTGTCTCCAGAGTTTATAGTCTTTTTTTTTTTTCTTTTGAGACGGAGTCTCGCTCTGTCGCCCAGGCTGGAGTGCAGTGGCGTGATCTCAGCTCACTGCAACCTCCGCCTCCTGGGTTTAAGCAGTTTTCCTGCCTCAGCCTCCCGAGTAGCTGGGACTATAGGCGCCCGCCACCTCGCCCAGCTAATTTTTGTATTTTTAGTAGAAACAGGGTTTCTCCGTGTTGGCCAGGCTGGTCTCGAACTCCTGACCTCAAGTGATCCTCCTGTGTTGGCCTCCCAAAGTGCAGGGATTACACGCATGAGCCACTGCGCTGCCCAGAGTTTATAGTCCTAACAAGCAAGCTTACTAGAAGAAAAAAAAAGAATAAACACCAAATATGTATTGCTTTATTTGTATTATTTGATTAGTATTTATTTCAGTTATCTGTTGCATAACAAACCACTTCAAAACTTAGTGGTTTAAAACAATAAATAGTGTCGTGATTTTGTGGGTTGCCTGGTCTCAGGCAGTTCTCCTTGGGGAGGCATGCAGTTGCTTGAGCCTGGGGGTGGAGTCATTCTGAAGGCTTGACTGACTGAGTTAGACATGCAAGAAGACATTTTTACTCATGTAACTAGCACCTTAGTCAGAACAGTGGGAATAGCTGGCGGCTGGTCAGGTATCTCTTCACGTGGCTAGCTTGGACTTCCTTTTGGCATGTCAGTTGGCTTCTGCAGTTAACATTCCAAAAAACCCAAGTGGAAGGTACAGGGCTTTTTATGACCTAGCTTTGGAAGTCATACAGCATCACTTATGAGCTAAGTAACTTAATCTCTCTGTGCTTTAGTTTTCTCTTCTATAAATGGAGATAACTATACATACTTCATAGGACTGTTTTGAGGATTCAATCAATTAATATAGATATAAGGTCCTTAGAACAGTGTCCAGCATCTATTAATGCTCAATAAATGTGACCTATTATTGGCCAGGCATGGTGGCTCACACCTGTAATCCCAGCACTTTGGGAGGCCAAGGCGGGTGGATCACTTGAGGCCAGGAGTTCGAGACCAGCCTAGCCAACACTGAAACTAAAAATAGAAAAAATTAGCTGTGTGTGGTGGCGCACTCCTGTAGTCTCAGTTTCTTGGGAGGCTGAGGCATGAGAATCATTTGAACCCGGCAGGCAGAGGTTGCGGTGAGCCGAGACTGCACCACTGCACTCCAGCCTAGGTAACAGCAAGACTCTCTCTCAAAAGAAAAAAAAAAAGTTACCTATTATTAATAGCTTTATGTCCTCAGTGTCATTTATCATTTAGTCTTTTAGAATTGGAGAATAACTTTTATAAAGGGTATAAGTAGGACATTACTTTCTCATTCATTAAGTTCTTCTATCAAATAATTATTAAGCACTATGTGCCAGATGCTTTTCTAGACAGTGAATATGATGCAATTAATAAAGATTTAATTAAATTCAAATTTTTACTAGGTTTTAGTTGGTCTCTGATTATAGGTTTGTGATATGTGCAAATATTGGTCTCATACTTTGTTATTTTTGTTCTTCAGTTTCATACATATTTTGACTAGAACATCTGAAACTAGATTAAATAAAGGAGTTGGCCATTAATTTTGAATCACATTTATTTTAATGAAAACTAACTTTTATTTTTAGGAGTATCTAACTATCAAGTTGAAGAAGATATAGGAAAGTTGAAGTCTTGTCTCACTGGCTTCCTTCAGGAATATGGTTTATCTGTAATGGTGAAAGATGATTATGTCCACGAATTGTGAGTATTTTTTAGGGTATCTAGGAGATGATTCCACACCTGTCATAAGGCTAATCAAAATTCATGTCTCTGTGGTCTCCTTTAGTTGCCGATATGGAGCTGCTGAGCCACATACCATTGCTGCATTCTTGGGGGGTGAGTTCCATATATGAGAAGACTCACCTGTTGTTACATAGTACAGTTACTATTTTAATACAAAGTTTTGTCGTCTAGCTATTTTAATTAGGGAGGTCAGTGAAGCAGGATGTTATATTTCTTTCTTTTTTTTTTTTTTGAGACGCAGTCTCACTGTTTTGCCCAGGTTGGAGTGTATTGATGCCATCATAGCTCGCTGCAACCTCAAACTCCTGGGCTCAAGTGATCTCTCGCCTCCGCCTCCTGAATAGCTGGGACTACAGGCATGTGCCAGTAAGCCTGGCTAATTTTTCAATTTTTTGTAGAGACAGGGTCCCACTATGTTGCTCAGGTTAGGATATTTATTCAGTTGCCCCTATACTGGTCTCCCTGCCTTCCATCTCTCCCACTGCCATCCAACTTAAACTCCTTAAGAGTCATTAATCCTTCTAAAGCATAGCTCTGATTGTGTCCTTTTACTAACCCTCTGCCCCACCAATATACATAACACTCTACAACAGTCCTCCAAGCAAGTCCAAGGACTTTGGCTTGACGTTAAAAAACCCTGTGTTTTGGTTCCACTCGGCCTTTCCAGCCTTGGTTTTATCATATTACTTGCTTTCCCCCCAGGATGCCCTTTGATTTCCTGCTCCTAGATCTTTGCTCCTCTGTGCCTATTTGCCTTAAAAATATGTTTTTCTGCATGTCCAAAACCTATATGTTCTTCAAGACCCAACTCAAAAATGACATGTCTTTCATAAAAGCTCCCTTTACTTCCCTCCCTCACTCTACTTCCCCCTTGTCTTAGTCAGTTTGGGCTGCTGTAACAGAATATCATAGACTTATAAACAATAAAAATTTGTCACAGAGTTCTGGAGGCTAGAAGTCTGGGATCAGGGTGCCAGCATGGTCAGGTCTGGTGAGCGCCCATTTCCTGGTTCATAGGCAGCTCTCTCTTCTGTGTTCTCACATGGTGAAAAAAAAAATGGCAAGAGAAGTCTCTGGGGTCTCTTCTTAGGGCACTAATCCTATTCATGAAGGTTCTACGCTCTTGACCTAATCACCTACCAAAGGCCCTATCCTCATACAATTACACTGGGGGTTAGGATTTCAACATATGAATTTGAGGGGGAAACGAACCATTCAGTCCATAACACCCCTCAAAAAAAATTACTGTCCTGTGATCTCCTGTAGACTGAGCTATTAGCTTGTGGCATTTTCCTTCTAGATGTTGAATGTTTTAAAGGCAGATTTAGGTCTAATTAATATTTGAAGTGTTCAAAATGTAAATGCATCATACAGACCTAAGAAAACTATTTTCTAAGCAAATCCAAATTAAAGCCTGATTCAGAATAATTTATTTTAAACTAAAACCAAGTAGTCTCTTGTGCCAAAGTAGCAAAATTTTCTGCCAATTCACAGAAAAGGGCAAATTATTATTTATTCAGATGCAGTCCAGAATCTAAGAAGAGGTACAGCCAGATGGATGGACTGGATGACTTAACTATAGCAGAAAAAAGTATAAATTGAAGGTTTTCTTTGTTTTTTTTTTTTTGTTTTTTACTTCTGTGCATTCTGTAATCATTTTGCACAGTGCCATTATATCCCTTCACTTCCTTCAGGTTTTATTCAAATGCTGTCTTCTCTGCGATGCCATCCCTGACTCTCCTATTTAAAATACAAACCCCTTCTCTTGTATTTATATCTCCCTTATTTGCTTTTTCTCCTTAGCACCTATGGTCAGTTGACATACTACACATTCTATTTATTTGTAAATAAATTCTCTCTCTCTTGCTGCTAAAAAGTAGCATGAGGGTAAGTGGATCTTCTTGTCTTTTTTCCTTACTGTATCCCTACTGCCTAGAACAGTATTTGGTGCACAGTAGTCTCAAATTCTATCCAGTCGGCTGAGCGCGGTGGCTAATGCTTGTAAGGCCTCCGCTTTGGGAGGCTGAGGTGGGCGGATCACTTGAGGTCAGGAGTTCAAAACCATCCTGGCCAACATGGTGAAACTCCATCTCTACTAAAAATACAAAAAAATTATCCAGGTGTGGTGGCAGGCATCTGTAATCCCAGCTACTTGGGAGGCTGAGGCAAGAGAATCACTTGAACTTGGGAGGAGGAGGTTGCAGTGAGCCGAGATCACGCCACTGCACTCCAGCCTGGGTGACAGAGTGAGACTCTAGTCTAAAAAAAAAAAAAAATTCTATCCAGTCCATGAATATTTGGGAAAGAGGAATCTTCAGGTTATAGAAGATGCACAAGTTTTTTTCTTAGTAGTTTTTTTGTTTTGAGTAAATATAGCGGTCTGGCGATATTTAATATAGATCCTTCCTAAATTACAAATGCATTCAGAACAAATATACCTTTCTCCTTTTTTATTATAAAACAGATACAAGGTAAAATTCAAATGCAGCAGTAGGGTGTCCTTTGAGAATCTTTTATGCCTGTGTGTATCCTTTAAAGTTTGGTCAACCACACTACTGTTTAGATTTCCTTTAATAACAAAAAGAATTATAGGCTTTTATGTTGATATGACTCAGTAAGCTAACTGCATCTGTTTTGGGTCACTTTAAAACACCTTTGCTTTTGAAAAGGAAAAGTTTCTTTACAGAATTGAGTATGTAACTCTTGAAGTTTACTCTTTCAAAGATTTGCTTTTCTCCTTTTTCCTTTCAGGAGCTGCTGCTCAAGAGGTCATCAAAATAATCACCAAACAATTTGTAATTTTTAATAATACTTACATTTACAGTGGCATGTCACAAACTTCAGCAACTTTCCAGTTGTAGAGTAAGCAAGCACCTTAAGTAGTGTGTTAATGATTGAAACTGTAATTGCCTTCGGGTTGTGCTTTAGTCTGTAAAATTCTAAAGGAGAGCTGCTAAATTGTTTTCTTAATAAACATTTTTCTCATTTGTAATAATGTAGTCTTGTTCTTTGTGGGGAGGGGAAAGGAGACAGTCATTTTCCTAGAAAATGAATCCTATCCATTTCTCACTGAGCATCAATATTGGCTTGCTATTTCAAAGTTACTTGTCATAGATTATCCTTGTGTTTTATTAGAGATAATTAAAAATTTTTTTTCTTACCATCTTCAATAATGAATTTAAGCCATGTGCAGATGTTAGCTATGGACATTTTAGGACCATCATCATTTGTTAAAATGAATAGAATTTAAAAAGATATTTCTGGATATGTAGTTTTCCCAGAAAACAAGACCATCCCCTTGTATGTAGTATTATCTTAATTAACTTGAGTTTTGGCTGCCTAACCTACTTCTTGAAATTTTATGGGGTCATTCTACTCATATTATATATACTCTTAAATTTAATCACATGGGACTAATAGCATTCACCAGCATATTAGAGGGCAAAAAAAAAAAGGAAGTAGTAGATGCAAACAGAGTGGAAATCCAGAATCCAGAAGTGGGGGCAGTTCCCGGTTTTGGGCTTGATGTATTAATACTTAGGGCTGAGGAACGTGGTCCGTGGTGCATGACTCTTAGTAGCTAAGGCCCCTAATCTGCTGCAACTGTCTCTGAGGCCAGCGTCTCTTAAGTGAGAACCTGTTAGATTTGCTAGGGTACCTCACAGGGACTTGGTTTTCCAGACGCTAATGTGTCAGCCATTCTTTGGCTGTTCTTCACTGTATCGGGGACCTTCCCCTCGCCTTCATCGCCTAGCAGTCCCATGGGCTGCATTTTACGGCAGAGGCGGCAAGGGACAGGCCTTGGCCCCACTCTGATCCTTTGGTCCAGGCGCGGAGAAGTCCTCCTGGACTGAACTCCGGAAGCCCCCTGGTGAGGTGGAGGCCTGGCTGCCCCTGTGGGGCTGTGGTGACGATTAGCGAGGTGCCCAACAAAAGGGAGAACACACAGCACAGATGCCAGGTGGAGGGGAGGTTGGGGCTTCGCCGTCCTGTGCTTCGCGGCCACCGTCCCATAGCCAGGCCTCGTCAACCGCGTGCACAGTCCCCTAATTTTGGGGCTAATGCTCGTCTGAGGTAAAAACCCTAAAAACCGGGGGCGGTGAGATTTCTCTTTCAAATTGTAGCTTTTTAAAAAATCTTGCGGCCGGGACACCGACCACCCCATTGCCCTTGGCAACCTAGGGCACCCGCGGAAGCGTAAGACACCTTGCAGGGGCGGCGGGGCTGCCGGCCGGAAGTCCCGCCCACGGACGTGAGCCTGGTCGGCTGGGCGGGAAACCCTGTCGTGCGTCGTGGCAGGTGAGCGGTGATGAAGAAAGGGCGGAAGCTCCCGCTTGAGGGTAGACGCCACGGCCTCCGCTCCCGCGCGTTGTTGTCCTGCCTTACCGCGCTTGGAAACTCTGTATGTTGGCGCCTGTGTAAGGCGGGTTGGGCCGGCCAGGATGTCTTACCGCCCCGTCAGGCCCTTAGCCCACGTGAGAAGGGTCGAGTTGGGGGGACGGGGCCTTTATGAGCAGGTGCCAGGCCCCGGCTGTAGTCCCCACAGCCCTTGGCGGGAAGAGACAGTCATCACGTGATGCACCATTTAGAGACGTGTAAAGCCTGGCAGTATTCCCCCCTATTTCACTTCTGACTCCCCAGGCGCCTCCCCAGGTGACTTTGATGTGTGGAGAGGGTGGGACCCACCGGTGAGGTCGTTTCCCAGGGCCAGGGCCGGGCCGCATGTCACACAGCACCTGAGCGGGGAGGGCCTGCTGAGGGTGCTGATGGCTCACGAGTGGCCCGCGCGGCTAACCAGTGTCCTGCTCCCACGCAGGACTTGCGAGCCCTGGTCAGAGAGGAGCCTGGAGGGGCCACCTAAGCTCTGCACAAGGAATTCATCCAACTCTGTAGGTGAGCGGGCCGCAGGCTGAATGGGCAGGAAGCCGGGCGGGGTGAGCGCCCCCGCCTTGGAAAGGTTACGTGTCTGTTACCTGTGGAACCTGGGAGGAGGCCCTGAGGATTTATGCTCTGGGCTGGAGTGGGGGGGTGTTCATATTGCAGAGCCAGCTGACTTCTGGTACCCACAGTGCGTTTTCTGGGACCTGAATGACTGTTATTTCTTGACCGTTTAAACGATCGAAAACAAATTTGCCCCTTCTCTCTTCTTGCGTCTTCTTTAGAGGGTATTTTCGCTATATATAATTACAAGCTGGATATCCGCTGACAAAAAACAATTTAGTGGTGGGATTATCAGCCCTGCCAGCCTTACACAAAAAGATGCCATTTATCTTTCTGATATACTGGGATAATATTTCGATTTCAAAAAGCTTTCTTGGCCTTGGTGTGGTGGGCGCCTGTAATCCCAGCTACTGGGGAGGCTGAGGCAGGAGAGTCGCTTGAACCCGGGAGGCGGAGGTTGCAGTGAGCCAAGATGGCGCCACTGCACTCCAGCCTGGGCGACAGAGCCAGACTGTCTCAAAAAAAAAAAAAAAAAACTTTCTTTATTTTTATTTATTTATTTTGAGACAGGGTCTCCCTCCATCATCCAGGTTGGCGTGCAGTGGCGCGGTCTTGGCTCACTGCAACCTCCATCTCCTGGGCTCAAGGGATCTTCCCACCTCAGCCTCCCAAGTAACTGGGATTACAGGTGCGTGACCACGCCCAGCTAATTTTTGTACTTTTCTTTGGTAGAGACGGGGTTTCACCATGTTGGCCAGGCTGGTCTCCAACTCCTGGCCTGAAGTCTTCCGCCCACCTCGGCCTCCCAAAGTGCTGGGATTACAGGCGCGAGCTACCACGCCCGGCCCCCCAAAAGCTTTTGTATACATTTTCTAAATCAGGTAAACAAGTAATATTCAGCTACTTTTCTTGCTGAAATTTGAATTTGAGTTAACACTACTGTTTTGGGGAGTGGGTTGAGTGAAACGTGTAAGTGGGAGAGGTTCTCTCTGTCATCCAGAAAAAAATCCTTTTTTCCTGTGAGAATACAGTAAAGAATTTTGAAATCTCCTTGTTTGTGGCAGTACATATATTCACTAAATTACTAAAAGCACTTCATAATCTGCTTTATATGGCAGATGCTTTTGTTCTTGAGAATATACTTGTTTTATAATTTTAAATATAATTTTCTGATTATCAATCCCTTGAAAGTTATAACTTATCCTTTGCTATGGGTGTTTGTAAGCACTTCTCAAGTAAATAGATGACTTGTGTTAATGCTACCAAGTACTTGGCAAACTCTTTTTGTGCAAAGTAACCATTTATAAGAAAAAAGTATAAAAACAAAGGGAGAAAAGAGTGTGGGTGACCAGTTTTAATTTTAAAGCATTTAGGTTTAAAAGTTATACATTACCCCTCTTAGGCCAGGCACGGTGGCTCACACCTGTAACCCCAGCAATTTCGGAGGCCGAGGCGGGTGGATCACCTGAGATCAGGAGTTCGAGACCAGCGTGGCCAACATCGTGAAAGCCTGTCTCTACTAAAAATACAAAAATTAGCCAGGCATGGTGGTGCGTGCCTGTAATTCCAGCCACTCAGGAGGCGGAGACAGGAGAATTGCTTGAACCCGGGAGGTGGAGGTTACAGTGAGCTGAGATCACACCACTGCACTCCAGCCTGGGCAACAGAGTGAGACTCCATCCAAAGAAAAAAGAAAAAGTTATACATTACACCTCTTAAAAATTACATTAAAAGCAGAATAGATTGGATAATTAAAATTAAGGAAATAGTCCTTAAGGTTGTCCATGAAACAAAAACATCCATATATGATAACAATTTTCCATTTTCTAAAGAGTTCATCTTTTTAAATCTAGTAATATTTTCCAAATCTTAACCCATTTGTTCAAAAGCAATATGTATTTATATATGGGAGACAGTATAAGAGAGGATAAGAGTGTAGGCCCTAGCCTGAAATTTTCTTGGCTCCCATTTTAACTCTAGCACTTACTAGCACTTTGAAGTTAGTCAAATTATTTGCCCTCTCCTCATGTATCTTCGTCCTTATAATTCCCTCATAAGGTTATTGTGAAGACTAAAAAGAATATTCATAAGGTGTAAAGAACAAAGTCTAGCCTCAATAGGTATTTACTGAATGTTAGAAGCTGTTATTATAAAAATTGTGAAAAATAGAAAATAGTGGGATAAAACCCATAGAACCACCAACTAAAGACAAGTGTTAATATGTCGTCTTTCTAGCCAGTCTTATTTTATGTTTACCTCTATCTACTTTGGATCATACTATAGATTAAATTGAGTCTTATACTCTTTTTGGTTAACTTTGTAACATAGCATTTTTCTTTGCTATTGAACATTTCTAGTAAATGTGAATATTCTTGTAATAATATCCAATCCTGTGGACTTATAACATACCTACTTCTATTGTAATGTAATATTTAGGTTAAAAAATGGGCCAGGCATGGTGACTCATGCCTCTAATCTCAGCCCTTTGGGAGGCCAAGACGGGAGGATCACTTGAAGCCAGGAATTCAAGACCAGTCTGGGCAACATAGCAAAATCCCTGTCTCTACAAAAATATTAAAAAATTAGCCCAGTGTGGTGATGTGTGCCTGTAGACTCAGCTACTCGGAATGCTGAGGCAGGAGGATCACTTGAGCCCAGGAGTTTGAAGCTGCAGTGAGCCAAGATCATGCCACTGCACTACAGCCTGGGTGACAGATTGAGACCCTATCTCTTAAAAAAAAAAAAAGGCAAAAATAATATACTTGTACATTTGTATACTACTTTATAAAAGATTTTTACATTTGTTATTTCTTTAAACATTTCTTTGTGCTTAGGTATTTTCTTTTTTTTTTTTTCTTTTTGAGACAAGGCCTTGCTCTATAAATGGATAATTGGATATCTCTCTTTAACAACATAGTGTTGGAATAAATAAGAATTTTAGAGTTTTGTGAATCCTGATTTGTTGCTCTAAGAAGTTAACTGGACTCTGAGGCATTTTTTCTAACTAATCAGTTTAGCATTTTAAAGTAGGGTATGTGAGAGGCCATATCAGAGTTGCCAGTTATTTTAAAAATGGTTCTAGGCTGGGCATGGTGGCTCAAGTGTGTAATCCCAGCACTTTGAGAGGCTGAGGTGGGTGGATTGCTTGAGCTCAGGAGACCAGTCTGGACATCATAGTGAGATCCCATCTCACTATACCATGTTGAAAATAACCATGGGTTGTTAATTTAGTATTTAGCTTGTGAAGAGAAAGGCCAATCTAAAGAGTGTGTGTGTGTGTGTGTGTGTGTGTGTGTGTGTGTGTGGTGTGTTTTTAAACCTCTCTTAGGTAGAGGGGTCCCTAATCTGAAACTATGAGATGAAGATTTCCATGAAGAAAATAAGAAAATGGGGGCTGGGTGTGGGAGCTCACACCTGTAATCTCAGCACTTTGGGAGGCTGAGGTGTGTGGATTGCTTGAGACCGGGAGTTTGTGACCAGCCTGGGCAATATGGCGAAACCCCGTCTCTACAAAAAATACAAAAAATTAGCCAAGTATGGTGGCATGTGCCTGTAGTTTCAGCTACTCTGGAAGCTGAGGTGGGAGGATCACCTTATCCTGGGAGGTCAAGGCTGCAGGGAGTCGTGATCAAGCCACTGCGCTCCAGCCTGGGTGTCAGAGTGAGACCCTGCTGTCCAAAAAAAAAAAAAAAAAGGAAGGAAATGGGACCAGCTAAGAGGTCCAGTTAGATCCAGTCACCCAATCATTCATTTGCTTAATAAAATTTGTTGAATGCATATAGTGCTTAGAAATGCCAGATATGTTTATGTTTTTCAATGTAATTATGGTAACATCTCTGTGAAATAGGAATATCATTTCTATTTTACAGATGAGGATACAGAGCCTCAAAGAATTTAATCAACCTGCTTGATATCACGCATCTAATAAGTTGCAGATTCAACTTATTAACTAAGTTAATTAAGTTTAATTATTATTTTAAAAGTTGTAGTTCCTCGGTCTTTTGGCTTCAGGAAAACAATTTTTCCCGCCCATTTGTACTTATATCTTTGCCATTCTCAAACATTGATTTAAATTGAGAAAATACCTTTATCTTATAGACAAAATATAAGGAAAAAGAATATAGACAAGCATGGAAAGTGAAGACACAAAGAAAACACAAGGTGAGAAATTGATGGATCATATATCTGCAATGAGTTTTGTATTGGTAGGATGTACTGTAGATTATCTGACAGGATCCAGGAAATGAAAGAATCATTCAGCCATTTACATAACTATTGAGCACTACTCTGTGCCTGTCACATAATTTCTGGCTTCAGGAAACTGACATTCTAATGGGAAAAGACATACTGACAATTAGAATATCATGTGATAGTTGATTTAATGTCAGTGTATACAAGAATAATGGGAACCTGAGAGGACTACCATCAAAGGATGCCTGCAGGTACAGATTTCAGAATTGTTCCCAGAAAGATGGAAACTGAATCCATGGGCATGGAGGAGGTTAACCAGAGAGAAAAGTGTTCAATAATATACACCATCACATAAGGTTTTAGCTGAGGAAGACAGCCCTTAAAAAAAGTCTGAGAAAAACATTTCAAAAAGGTGAAAAGAGAGGAATGTGGTATCTTGGAAATCAGAACCTTACGAGAATGCTTCATGAGAAAGAGGTTGCTTAAGAGCCTAAAATGTCAAATGCCACAGCTGAGGACTGAATTTTCCACTGCGTTTTGCATTTAGGATGTAATTTGTTATGTTAATGGTAAACTTAATAGATTTTAGCCCGATTGCAGTCTGTTTAGATTTGAGTGGAAAATTAAGATCTGAAGACACACAGTATGAATTGCTTACTCTTTAAGAGCTTGACTAAAGATATATGATCAGCCGGGTGTGGTGGCTCACTCCTATCATTCCAGCACTTTGGGAGGCCAAAGTGGGGGATCACTTGAGCCCAGGAGTTTGAGTCTAAACTGGGCAACACATTGAGACCTCGTCTCTACAAAAACAATTAAAAATTAACTGGGCGTGGTGGTACACACCTGTAGTACCAGCTACTTGGGAGGCTGAGGTGGGAGGATCACTTGAGCCTGGGAGGTCAAGGCTACAGTGAACCACTGCACTTAAGCGTTGATGACAGAGCGAGACCCTGTCATTCATTCATAAATAAATAAATAGTAAGATATATGGCAGTAGCTAGAGGAAAGTTGTAATGTCAAGAAAGTGTTATAAAAGACAGAATTTCTGAAGAGGGAATGGAGATTGTGGAGAGGGAGAAGTTGAAAACTGGAGAGATAGGGGATAACTGTTGGTGATTCCCCTCTCAAACCATTTACGAAACCTCCAACCTCAGTCCCACACCTCACTCTCTTCCATTTTAAGTCTTTAGATTGCTCCCAGAAGTAGACTGTGAGATAAGGATTTGAGTGCAAGTACCTTTTTTCAGAAAGTGATCCCAGGAAACACTAGCTGGAAAGTGGGAAAATGAGATAGGAAAAAGAAGACAGAGAGTATGTTATCAAATAAGTAGTTATTATGGGTAACTGGAGCTTAAGCCCACTGGGAAACTGGGAGCCAGTTTAGAGTCATGTCCCTGAGAGTCATCCCAGCCAAAGGGTGAAGAGTATTTATCCATCAGCTCCCATCAGTCAATTGTTTAGCAACAGGGTGAAGTGGTATCTAATTGTGGTTTTGATTTGCATTTGCCTAATGACCAGTGATGTTGAGCATCTTTTCATATACTTATTGGCAATCTGTCATCTTTGGACAGATGTCTATTTAAATCCATTCCACACTTTAGATTGTGATTTTAGAATTGCACTTTAAGAATTCTTTATGTGTTCTGAACACAAGCCCCCTATTTATTTGGATAACTGATTTGCAGATATTTTCTGCTAGACTGGGCTGTTGTTCTGCATTCTTGATAGTGTCTTTTGAGGTATAAAGGTTTAAAATGTTAAGTCCAATTTATCAAATTTTATTTGATTGTGTGTGTGTGTGTGTGTGTGTGTTTTTTTTTTTTTTGAGACGGAGTCTCACTCTGTCGCCCAGGCTGGAGTGCAGTGGCCGGATCTTGGCTCACTGCAAGCTCGGCCTCCCAGGTTCACGCCATTCTCCTGCTTCAGCCTCCCAAGTAGCTGGGACTGCAGGCGCCCACCACCACGCCCAGCTAATTTTTTGTATTTTTAGTAGAGACGGGGTTTCACCATGTTAGCCAGGATGGTCTCCATCTCCTGACCTTGTGATCCACCCACCTCGGCCTCCCAAAGTGCTGGGATTACAGGCGTGAGCCACTGTGCCCAGCCTGATTGTGTTTTTTGTATTCACTTCAGTGTTTGCTGGTTTATTTTATTCAGGAGGTATTGAAGGAACTAGGTTACTTTGCCTAGAGAAGATAAAAACCAAGGTGAAACATGATAGTTGTTATGTCAGGAGATGCTTTGGCTGGGAAGGGAAGGATTATGATAGGAGATACCAAAGTATGAGAAAGGCATACAGAAGGGAATGGAGGAATACGTAAAGAAGTTTCTTGCAGACCAGGCTTGGTGGCTCACACTTATAATCCCAGCACTTTGGGAGGCCGAGGTGGGAGGATGGCTTGAGCTCAGGAGTTTGAAACCAGCCTGGGCAACATGGCAAAATCCCGTTTATACAAAAAATATAAAAATTAGCCAGGCGTGGTGGCATGTGCGTGTATTCCCGGCTACTTGGGAGGCTGAGGTGGGAGGATCCCTTGAGCCCAGGAGGTTGAGGCTACAGTGCCCTGTGATTGCACCACTGCACTCCAGCCTGGGCAATATAGTGAGACCCTGTCTCAAAAGAAAAGAAAAGAAAAGAGAAGAAAAGTCTCTTGTATCCTGCCTGCATTGTGCCTAGAACTGAAAATCATTATGCTCCATCAAAAATTTTCTTTGGCACGTTGATGTGGCTTATTGGTATCCATAGTCAAACTTACCTTCTTATAGTGTCTGTTAGTGTACAAAATGATAGATAAATATTTGCTGTTGCTAAAAGCATCTTAGTGATAACCTTTGTACTATGGTTTTTCACTAACAAATTTTGTCATGAATTATTTCATTGAAACAAATTGACAGTTGAATTTCTTTCAACAGTGAGACTATGGCCGGGCGTGGTGGCTCAGGTCTGTAATCCCAACACTTTGGGAGCCCAAGGCAGATGGATTGCCTGAGCTCAGGAGTTCGAAACCACCCTGGGCAATATGGTGAAACCCTGTCTCTACTAAAATAAAAAAAATTTAGCTGGGCGTGGTGGTGCACACCTGTAATCCCAGCTCCTTGGGAGGCTGAGGTGGGAGAATTGCTTGAGCCCGGGAGGCAGAGGTTGCAGTGAGCCAAGATTGTGCCACTGCGCTCCAGCTTGGGTGACAGAGTGAGACTCCATTTCAAAAAAAAACCAGTCCGGGTGCAGTGGCTCATGCTTGTAATCCCAGCATTTTGGGAGGCCGAAGCAGGTGGATCACCTGAGGTCAGGAGTTTGAGACCAGCCTGGCCAACATGGTGAAATCCCATCTCTCGTAAAAATACAGAAAATTAGCCGGGCATGGCGGTGGGCACTTGTAATCCCAGCTATTCGGGAGGCTGAGGCAGGAGAATCACTTGAACCTAGGAGGCAGAGGTTGCAGTGAGTGAGATAGCACCACTGCGCTCCTGCCTGGGTGAGAAAGCGAGACTCCATCTCAAAAAAAAAAAAAAAAAAAAAAAACCAAACCACAAAACAAAGAGTGAGACTAAGTACTGTATTGATTGATGATACATCTTAATTTCTCTTAGTATGCTCCTCTATATTATATCCACCCTTCATCCTATATCTTTCAGAACTCTAAATTTTTTTTGTTTTGTTTTTTTGAGACAGAGTCTTGCTCTTATTGTCCAGGTTGGAGTGCAAAATAAAATAAAATAAAATTTTATAAAATAAAATAAAATTTTAAAAATAAATTGAGTAGTATAAAGTCTACAGTAGTGTACAATAATGTCTTAGGCCTTCACATTCATTCACCACTCACTCGCTGATGCACCCATATCAGCTTCTGGATATATCTTCTAAAAAAAAATCTGTATTATAGCTTTTCTATGTTTAGATGTGTTTAGATATACAAAAATTTGCCATTGTATTACAATTGACTATATTATTCAATACAGTAACATGCTGTGTAGGTTTATAGCCTAGGAGCAATAGCTGTCCATACAACCTAGATGTGTAATAAACTCTACCATCTAGGTTTGTGTAAGTAAAGTCTATGATGTTGATACAATGATAAAATCAACTAATGATGCTTTTCTCAGAATGTATCCCCATCATTAAGCAACACTTGGCTGTACAATCTATTTTTATGTATTAAAGAGTTATCTGGAAAACTTAGTTCACTGATTCTAGTAGCTTTCTGTAGATTCCATCCAGTTATATAGAAGATCATGTTGTATGCAAATTCAAATACTTCCTTGCCAATTTGGGTGCCTTTTATTTCTTTTTTCTTACCTGACGGCACTGGCTAGACTCTTCGGGACAATGTTATATAGGAGTGGTGATACGAACAAACATCTCTGTCTTATACCTGGTTTTAGAGAGAAGATATTCAGTCTCTCCCTGTTAAGTATGATGTTTGCTGTAGGGTTTTCAACTGTAAATGCACTTTGCCAGGTTGAGGAAGTTCCTTTCTATTCCAAATTTGCGGAATATTTTTCTTTAATCAGGGATGCACGTTGGATTTTATCAGATGCTGTTTTTACATCTATTGAGATGACCAAAAGGTTTTCCTGTTTAAGTTTTGTTACATTGATTTTTTTTAAATCATAAATCAACCTTGTATTTCTGGGATAAACCCACTTAGTCGTGATGTATTTTTATTTTAATATATTGTTGGATTCAATTTGCTAAAATTGTTTAGACTTTTTGCATGTATGTTCATGAGGGAAACTGGTCTGTAGTTTTGTTGCTAATGGCTTCCGTTTTGGTATAAAGGTAATACCAGCCTCATAGAATAAGTTGGGAAGTATTCCTTCTCTTAAACTTTTGAAAAAAATTGAGTAGAATTTATATTATTCCCTCCTTAAATGTTTGGTAGAATTTACAGATGAAACCATCTGAACCTAGAGTTTTCTTTGAGGAAAAGTTTTTAACTCTTAATTCAACTTCTTTCATAGATATAGGACTATTCAAGTTGTCTTTTTCTTCTTGGGTGAGTTTTGGTGATGTCATTTCACCTAAGTTGTTCAATCTGTAGGTATGAAATTGTATGTAGTACTCCCTTAATATCTTCCGAATATCTGTGGAATGTGGTAATGCCATCTCTCTCATTTCTGATATTGGTAATTTGTGTCTTTACTCCTTTTTTCCTAATTCATCTGGCTAGAAGTTTATCAGTTTTGTTGCTCTTCTCAAAGAACTTCCTCTGTATTTGTTTTCTGTTTCACTGGTTTCAGCTTAGATCTTTATAATTTCCTTTATTGTACCTATATTGGGTTTAATTTGTTCTTTTTCTAATTTCCTAGGTGGGAGCCGATGTCATTGATCTGAGACCTTTCATCTTAAATACTGTTTTTGTAGCATCCCACAAATTCTCATATGTTGTTATTTTCATTTTTATCCACTTTTTTTTTCTAAATGACAGATATTTAAACCAGTGTGGCTTTACTTAAAGAGAATAATATTTGGACTTTCTATTCCTATATTTATAAAAAGGGAAACTCAAAGAACTATAAGATGTTCATTTTAAGTTATTTTATTTAAAGAACATTTTTAAAAAAAATACATGGTTGTTGGATTATAAAAGTAATACCTGCCTATTACTTTAAAAGTTGACCATTCCAAAGATATGTATTTAGTAAGTGAAATTTGAATGGTTAGTTTATGAAATAAACCTTTTGGTTTAAAATAATGACATTTTTGTTCTTTAGAAATGAAGACTGACCTGAACTTATTATTGGAGTGTCTAAAGTATCAAATGGACAATGCTTTTTCACAAAAGGAAGCTTTGGTCACTATTCATTCAATTTGTCAACAAAACAGTAAGATATAATAGTGAATTTTTATCTGTGATTCTAGTTCTTTAGTACTCTGATATATCAAATAAGCATAGTTCTTTATCTTCCATTCAGTTATTCTACATATCATGTTACGTCTTCATGTGATTTATTTTATCCCTGAAAATAAATATCATTTCTATTTTGTTTTTTTTCTGCACATCCTACAGGTAATGCAAGTGTTTATTTTCGGGAAATTGGTGGTTTGATGTTTGTAAAAAATCTTGCAAAGTCAAGTGAACATAGCATGGTAAAAGAAGCAGCCTTATATACATTAGGAGCTATTGCAGAGAAAAATGGTAAAATATAAAACTTTATTTCATTATACTTTAAGCATTGTGTTATATTTTAACAGTATACTCAAAACTAATTTTATAGTTAATTTCCTTTCCTTTTTTTTACATGTTTGAATAATTTTATCTAGCCTCCTTCCCCCCTCCCTTCCTTTCTCTCTTTCTCTCTCTTTCCTTCCTTTCCTTTCCTTTCGTTTCCTTTCCTTTCCGTTCCTTTCCTTGCCTTTCCTTTCTTCTTTCTCTCTCTCTCTCTTTCTTTCTTTTCTCTTCCCTTCCCCTCCCTCCTTTCCCTTCTCCTCCCCTCCTCTCCCCTTTCTCCTTTGCCCCCCTCCCCTTTTTCCTTCCCTTCCCTTTTTCCTTCCCTTCCCTTTTCCCTGTCTTTTCCTTTCTCTTTCATCTTCTTTCCAGATCAAAGGATGAAGATAACCCACAACCATGTCATGTGTGGGTAAATATGCTTTGGGTATAGAAATTCACATTGGCAAGAACACTTTTCTGCAGTGTGTCTAAAATGAGGATGAATATAAACCATTGTTTTGTCAGACCAACTTTATATTCTTATATTTTTATTTATTAAATATTTCTTCATCAGCCAGGCGTGGTGGCTCACGCCTATAATCCCAGCACTTTGGGAGGCTGAGGCAGGTGGATCACTTGACCTCAGGAGTTTGAGACCAGCCTGGACAACATGGTGATACCCCATCTCTACCAAAAATACAAATAATCAGCCAGGCATGGTAGTGTGCACCTGTGGTCCCAGCTACTTGGGAGGCCGAGGTGGGAGATTGCTTGAGCCTGGGAGGTGGAGGTGGCAGTGGGCCGAGATTATGCCACTGCACTCTAACCTGGGTGACAGACCACAGAGTAAGACCCTGTCTCAAAAAAAAAAAAAAAAAATCACCTTTTAGGAACCAATCTTTGTGCAAGGCATTGGGGATACAGGGATAAGTAAGATATAGTCCCTGAATTTTTTTTTTTTTTTTTTTTTTTTTTTTTTTTTTTTTTTTTTTTTTTTTTGAGACGGAGTCTCGCTCTGTCGCCCAGGCTGGAGTGCAGTGGCGCGATCTCGGCTCACTGCAAGCTCCGCCTCCCAGGTTCACGCCATTCTCCTGCCTCAGCCTCCCGAGTAGCTGGGACTACAGGCGCCCGCTACCACGCCCGGCTAATTTTTTGTATTTTTAGTAGAGACGGGGTTTCACCGTGTTAGCCAGGATGGTCTCGATCTCCTGACCTCGTGATCCGCCCGCCTCGGCCTCCCAAAGTGCTGGGATTACAGGCGTGAGCCACCGCGCCCGGCCGAATTTTTTTTTAATTTATTTTTAATTTTTGTGGCTATATAATAGGTGTATATATTTATAGGGTACATGAGATGTTTTGATACAGACATGCAGTGCATAATCACGGCATGGAGAATGGGGTTTCCATCCACTGAAGGATTTATTCATTATGTTACACAAACAATCCAATTATACTCTTTAGTTATTTTAAAGTGTACAATTAAATTATTATTGATTATGGTTATTTTGTTATGCTATCAAATAGTAAGTCTTAGTCATTCTTTCTTTTTTTTTTTTTTTTTTTTTGGTACCATACCCACCACTTTCCACTACCCTTCCCAGCCTCTGGTAATCATCTATCTCCATGAGTTCAATTGTTTTGATTTCTAGATCCCACAAATAAGTGAGAACATGATGTTTGTCTTTCTGTGCCTGGCTTAGTCCTTGCCTTTGAGATAGGGTCTAATGGCTGGTTCTAGGAACTGGATGAAACGTTGATTGTATCTTTATGTCTATATTATTTTTGTAAAATTCTGCTTGTTGCGTTATCACACACACACAAAAACTATCAGGTAGTATGATTTTTGAAAAGAGTTTTATTTCTAGGAAAGTCTCAGAACATAGCACAAATATTGTTTGTCCCTCTGTTTTCTAAAGTAGGTTTCTGAATTTTCTTGAATTGTTTTTCTTGCTATGTTTTGTTACTCATCCTTTAAAGTGTTTTTTTTTTTTGCTAAATTTTATTTAATTTTTTATTCAGGTAAGTTTTTTATTGTAAATTCTAGGGGATTTCAGTATGTGTTTTGGAGCCTAGATTAAGTACTTTTGATTAATATTCTGCTTCTTTGCTAATTGAGTAAGCGCATATCAGTTTGTCAGAAATTTTGTTGTATGACTAATAAATATCAATTAAATGAGATTTGGTTAAGAACCATCGCCAGTTAGGCAATTTTTTATTTTGTTCAGCATATTTTAAAGCATGTTTGTGACAATGCATTGAAATTAAAATTATATTTTATATTTCAGTTTACTGTCAGCAGACTTTGTGTACTTCAGAGTTGTTTGAAGACTTAACTTGGTTCTTATCTAATGATTCAAACATAAATTTGAAAAGAATGTCTGTTTATGTTATTTTGGTTCTGGTTTCAAATAATAGTAAGTACATTCTCTTATGACTATTTGAAAACACTTTAATCAATTGGAACAGCCATTATTAATTTTTTATTTGAGTTCTTATATCAGTTTTGTTTTTTTGTGTTTTTGGAGACAGAGTCTTGCTCTGACACCCAAGGTGGAGTGCAGTGGCATGATCTTGGCTTACTGCAACCTCTGCCACCTGGTTCAAGTGATTCTCCTGCCTCAGCCTACTGAGTAGCTGGGATTACAGGCACATGCTATCATGCCCAACTAATTTTTGGATTTTTAGTAGAGACAGGGGTTGCACCATGTTGGCCAGGCTGGTCTCAAATAGTGCTGGGATTACAGGCGTGAGCCACTGCTCCCGGCCCAGTGTCTTTTTTTAACCTCACCTCTGAGGAATACTAATTTAAAGAAAAGTGGGTTATTAGCATGTATTTAATCATTCAATACTTATTAATTTTAAGAAATAAAGTAATTTGTAGTACTTAGCATTGAAAGGTAACAGGTTTAAAGAGAAAAAGAGAGGCATTTAATGAATTAGTTTATTTGATTTTCTGCTGAATTGACCATTTAGTTACAGTGTTTACGGTGTAAGCCAGCAATGGTTTTTGTTTTGGAATAATTTTAGATTTACAGAAAAGTGGCAAAGAGAATATAGAATGTTCCCATATACTTACTGCTCAGTTATTTTTTAACTCTTTAAAATTTTAATTCTTCAAACTGTTAGAAATTCTGTAAGCATTTAAAATGTTTCTAGGCCAGGGTGGTGGATCATCCCTGTAATCCCAGCATTTTGGGAGGCCAAGGTGGGAGGATCCCTTAAGCCCAGGAGTTTGAAACCAGCCTAGGTAACATACTGAGACCTTGTCTCTCTACAAAGAAATAAAAAAAAAAAAAAAAGAAAAAGAAAAAGAAAAATTAACTGGGTGTGGTGGCACACACCTGTACTACCAGCTACTTGGGAGGCTGAGGTGGGAGAATTGAGTGAGCTCTGGAGGTTGAGGCTGCAATGAGCTGTGATCAAGCCACTGTACTCCAGCCTGAGTGACAGAGCGAGACTCTGCCTCAAAAAAAAGAAATGCTTCTAGGTAGGCACAGCAGGTCACATCTGTAACCCCAGCACTTGGGGAGGCCAAGGCTGTGTAACCCCTTCCCCATGTCACCCAGGTCCCAGCACGACCATATTCAGTACCAGCAGACTCTCTCATGCCACCCTTCCTGCTAGAGGGGAAATGTGGGCATCAATAGAGGGGGAAGTCTGGGTGGTTGTAGGGCTCAAGGCCCAAACCCCCAGGGTGTTGGGTGGGGGTAGGGCAGCCTCAGGGAAGCGAGGCATCAGGTTGTATCCTTTGAAGGGGAGAAGTCAAGCCTCACCTTCTTCTGCTAGCAGTGGCTGGTCTCTCACCCTCTAGTCCTCTGCTATTATTGTTTCCATGGGGAGGATCACAGACCCAGGCACAATGGTAGTCTGAGCAGGCTCAGGTAATTCAGCTAAGCCTCTTGCCAGAGAGGCCTGAGGAGGCGCCTTCTTGCCAGGCGTGCACTTAAAAAAAATGTTTCTAGATTTTGTTTTATTTTGGAAAAACTAGAAAAGGTTGAATTTATTTATTTTTCCATTTTGGAACTTATCTTGATACTGCAACACAGAACCATGATGCAAAGTAAGAGTTTTGTAATTTTTAGAGGAAATTTGAATACAATTAGTCTCTAAGCAGTAGTGACATATTTTTCATAATAATCTTGATTGCAGATTTTTATCCACCGTAATTCTATGTTATACTTTGTAATACTTTAAAGTTGTTTAAAAGTTATTTATTAAAATAAAACTTAACTGTTCTTCATTTCTGCAAGACTATTTGTAAATAAAACTCATATTTTTATATGGCTATTTTTTTAAGGGACCGGACAAACACTTGTGAGAGAAACAGGTTGTATTACAGTTCTGTCACGGTTATTCAGGTAAACAAATACAAATTTCTTTTTGTTAATTATTCATTACTTAGGACCTTAACACATTTGTATTAATTTACTTTCTTTTCTTTTTAACCTAATAGGACAGTTATTTCAAAACATGAGTTGGATTTGTCAGATAAAAATGTTTTCCAGAGTTATCAGTTGTGGTCTTCAGTGTGTAGTACTCTGTGTGTCTGTGTCAACAATCCTCAAAATGGTAATTATCTGTCATGTTTAAATATAAAAATAAAGATAAAAACAAATGAAAACTGATATTTTCCAATTGTCATATTAAATCATGATTGACTTTGTCTTCTTTCAGATGAGAATCAAATGTTTTGCTGTTCCCTTTTTCCACATGCTAATGAATGGCTAAAAAATTGCACGACACCTGAGATAATTCGCCCTATTTGCTCATTTATTGGACTCACTCTTGCAAATAACAGTAAGTGTTCGTTATTTTCTAGGTCATAGTTGAAGAAACATATTTCAAAGCATAATAAAAACGATTGAATTTATTATTGAATCAATTGAATTCTTGTAATTTGGGTTATTTTGGATGTATTTAGACTCTTAAAGATAAGAAAATCTTAAAAGTAGATATTTTTAGAAGGATATTGGGAAGATGGTGGTAGCAGCATCATTTTTTTAATCTCCCCAGATACTCTCATAAAACGGAGAAACCAGATAGCAAGACTAAAAACCCATAGAGTGTGTTCTCTGATCACAAGGTAATTAAATTAGAAATGAATAAAAACAAAACATCTAGAAAAGCCCCAAATATCTGGTAATTAAACAACTTAGTACTAAAATCTGTGAGTCAATGCATAAATCATAAGGAAAATTATAAAATGTTTCTAACTGAATGATAATGAAAATACAACATTAGGCCAGGCATGGTGGCTCACGCCTATAATCCCAGCACTTTGGAAGACTGAGGCAGGCGGATCACTTGAGGTCAGGAGTTCAAGACCAGCCTGACCAACATGGTAAAACCCCATCTCTACTAAAAATACAGAAATTAGCTGGGCATGTTGGCAACAATTAGCTGGGCATGGTGGCAGACACCTATAATCCGAGCTACTTGGGAGGCTGAGGCAGGAGAATCGCGTGAGCCCAGGAGACGGAAGTTGCAGTGAGCCAAGATCACACCATTGCACTCCATCCTGGGCAACAGAAAGAGACTGTCTCAAAAAAAAAAAAAAAAAAGCCAGACGCAGTGGGTCACACCTGTAATCCCAGCACTTTGGGAGGCTGAGGCAGGTGGATCGCTTGAGGTCAGGAGTTTGAGACCAGCCTGACCAACATGTGAAACCTTGTCTCTACTGAAAATACAAAAATTAGCCGGGCACCTGTAATCCTAGCTACTCAGGAGGCGGAGGCAGGAGAATCTCTTGAACCTGCAGAGGCTGAGATCACACCACTGCACTCCAGCCTGGGTGACAGAATGAGACTCCGTTTCAAAAAAAAAAAAAAAAAAAATTAAAAATTAAAAGAAATCTGTGGGATGCTGCGAAACAGTGTTTAGAGGGAAATTTATAGTATTAAGGCTTGTATAAGAAAAGAAGAAAGGTCTCAAGTCAATTATACTAGCTTCTGGCTGGGTGTGGTAGCTCACACCTGTAATCCCAGCACTTTGGGAGTCCGAGGTGGAGGATCACTTGAGGTGAGGAGTTCCAGACCAGCCTGGCCAATGTGACGAAACCTTGTCTCTACTAAAAATACAAAAAAATTAGCCTGGTGTGGTGGTGTGCACATGTAATCCCGGCTACTCGGGTGGCTGAGGCAGGAGAATCACTTGAACCTGGGAGGCAGGGCTTGCAGTGAGCCAAGATCATACCACTGCACTCCAGCTTGAGCAACAGAGACAGATTCTGTCTCAAAAAAAAAACACAAAAAACCCAAAAAAACCATATTAGCTTCTACCTAAGAAATTAGCCAACCAAGTAAGTTAAAATAAGCATAACAAAGGAAATAATGAAGAGATTAGAAATCGTGAAATAGAGAAAAATAATTGAAACATGAGCTAATTCTTTGAAAAAATCAATAAAAGTGATCCTCTAGCCAGACTGATCACAAAGTAATGAGAGAAAGCTCAGATTACCTGTGCCAGGAATGAAAGGTGACATCACTATAGATCTTAACAGATATTAAAAGAGTAATAAAAGAATAGTAGAAACAGCTTTATGTCATGACATTTAACAACTTAGATGAGTTGGACAGATTCTTTGAAAGATACAAACTACCAAACAAAGCTCACCCAAGAAGAAATAGTAACCTGAATATTCCTATATCTGTTAAAGAAGTCAAATTTGTAGTTTAAAACCTTAACACAAGCTGGGCACGGTGGCGCATGCCTGTAGTCCCAGCTATTGGGAGACTAAGGTGGGAGGATCACTTGAGTCTAGAAGTTCAAGGGTATAGTGTGCTATTATCATACCTGAGAATAGCCACTGCAGCCTGGGCAACATAGCAAGAACCCACTTCTAAACAACAACAACAACAACAACAAAACGCAAAACAAAACCTTAGCTTAGGAAATTCCAGGCCTTAATGGTTACATTGGCGAATTCTGCTAAACATTTCAGGAAACAAACAAATAACTTCACATACATTATTCCAGGAAATAGAAGTGAGAGAAACACTTCCCAACATATAAGGCCAGCATTACACCGATATCAGAACCCAGAAACAACATTACGAGAAACTGTTGGCTAATAGCTCTATGAACATAGATGTAAAAATCCTTAACAAAATATTAACAAATCTAATTTAGCAATATATAGAAAAGATAATATGTTATGACCAAGTGGCGTGTATCCCAGGAATGCAAGACTGGTTTAACATTAGAAAATTCATCATATTAACAGTCTAGAAAAGAAGAACAATATGATAATTTCAATAGATGCAGGAAAAGCATTTGACATAATTCAACCTACATCTGTAAACTCATGGTAAACTAGGAACAGAAGGAAACTTCCTTAATGTGATAAACGACCTCTACAAAATACTACAAGTAACACACTTAACGGTGAAAGACTTAATGTTTTCCCCTTGAGACTGGGAAAAAGACAAGAGACTAGGTGTAGTGCCTTATGCCTATAATCCCAGCACTTTGGGAGGCTGAGGCAGGAGGACCACTTGAATCTAGGAGTTCAAGACCAGCCTGGGCAACATAGAAAGACCCTGTATCTACAGAAAAATTTAAAAACTAGCCAGGTGTAATGGTTCACACCTGTAGTCTGAGCTACTTGGGAGGATTGCTTGAGCCTGGGAGGTCAAGGCTGCAGTGAGTTATGATTGTGCTATGGCACTCCAGCCTGGGCAACAGGGAGATCCTGTAACACCGCCCCAGCCACACACACACAGAGTAACAAAAATAAAAAAGATATATAATACTCTGGATTATAAGACTCAACACTGTAAGAACGTCACTTTCAAATTCATCTCTAGACTCATGGAATTCCCAAGCAAAATCCTAGCAGATTTTTCTCTAGAAATTAACAAGCTGCTTCTAAAACTTACATGGAATGCAAAGGGGCTAGGATAATTGAAACTTTTGGGGAAAAAAGTATAAAACCGTAGGACTGTGTTGCCTGATTTTAATACTTATACAGAAATCAAGAAAGCGTGGCTTTGGTGTAGGTATAGACTTACAGATTCTTTTTTTTTTTTTTTTTTGAGACAGAATTTCACTCTAGTTGCCCAGGCTGGCGTGCATGGTACAGTCTCGACTCACTACAACCTCCACCTCCCAGGCTCAAGTGATTCTCCTGTCTCAGCCTCCTGAGTAGCTGGGATTACGGGTGCCCGCCACCAAGCCTGGCTAATTTTTGTATTTTTAGTAGAGATGGGGTTTCACCATGTTGGCCAGGCTGGTCTTGAACTCCTAATCTCAAGTGATCCTCCCGCCTTGGCCTCCCAAAGTGCTGGGATTACAGGCATGAGCCACCGCACCTGGCCTTGTAGACTTACAGATTAAGGAAACAAAAGTGAGAGCCCAGAAATAGACTCATACATATATTGTTGTTGATTGTCTACAAAAATGCCATTGCAATTCTGTGGAGGAAAAGATATTTTCAACAAATAATGCTAGAAAAAGTGGGTATCTATATGCAAAATATGAATCTGAACCCTTATACAGTATACAAAAACTAACTTGAAATGGTTCATAGACTTAAATAAGTATAAGAGTGAAAAATATAAAACGTTAACAAAAGCAGAAGATTCTCACACCTTGGGGGTAGGCAAAGGTTTCTAAGGACACAAAAAGCATAAATAACTAAAGAAAAAATGATAAATTGGACTCCATTGAAATAATTTTGCTCTTCGGAAGAGCTTGCTATGAGGATGAAAGGTAAGCTAGACTGAGAGAAAATATTTAAGAAACATTTATCTGATTAAGAATTTGGGCCCAGCACGGTGGCTCACCCCTGTAATGCCAGCACTTTGGGAGGCCGAGACAGGCGGATCACGAGGTCAGGAGATTGAGACTATCCTGGCTAACACGGTGAAACCCCGTCTCTCCTAAAAATACAAAAAAATTAGCCGGGCGTGGTGGTGGGCGCCTGTAGTCCCAGCTACTCAAGAGGCTGAGGCAGGAGAATGGCATGAACCCAGGAGGTGGAGCTTGCAGTGAGCCAAGATTGCGCCACTGCACTCCAGCCTGGGCTACAGAGAGAGACTCTGTCTCAAAAAAAAAAAAAAAAAAGAATTTGTACCCAGAAACTTGTAAACAGCTCTTATAAATCAGTAAGAAGACAAAAGCAACCTGATGATTAAAAGATTAAAAAAAATGGGCAAAAGATTTGAACAGATACTTCGCCAAAGAAGATATGAATATTAAATAAGCACTTGAAAAGATGTTTAAGATTGGCTGGGCATGGTGGCTTATGCCTGTAATCCCAGTGCTTTGGAAGGCCAAGGAGGGAGAATCGCTTGAGCCCAGGAGTTTGAGACCAGACTGGGCAACGTAGTGAGACCTTGTCTCTACAAGAAAATTCTAAAAATTAGCCAAATATGGTGGCATGCACCTGTTTTAGTCCTAGTTACTCAGGAAACTGAGGCAAGAGAATCACTTGAGTCCAGGAGTTCAAGCTTACAGTAAGCCACGATCACGCTACTGCACTCCAGCCTGGGTGACAGAGCCAGAACAAGACTTTGTCTCAGGAAAAAAATGCTCAAGAAATAATTAGTTATCAGAGAAATCCAAATTAAAATCCCATGGAGATACTACTACACACCACTAGCATGTTAAAAAGTGGTCATGTTAAATATTGGCAAGGATGTGGAACAACTAGAACTTTCACACATTGCTGATGTATATCTATATTCAAGTGTTTGAAACGAATACTCATATGTCACATGCAAAGGATGTATCTCTAGAATTCAAAAAAAATTGGAATCTATTTCCGTGATACCCTAACAGTCCCTTTATCTCTAAAAGCCAACTTTAATGAGTGATAGTTATAGGACGTCATTACCCTCAGTAAACTACAGATCAGAGGAAATCTGAAATATTCAGTGTACAATAAATGTGGTCTAGGATGTTCTTCTGCTTATATGCCTGAGTTTTTGTCACTTAGGCTATAACTAAGAATCTGTGGTAACACACTGCCATTTTCATCAATGCATTAACAAGTGCTTTTTTTTTTTTTGAGCTAGAGTCTCACTCACTCTGTCACCCCAGCTAGAGTACAGTGGCACAATCATGGGTCACTGCAGCCTCAAACTTCTAGGCCTAAGTGATCCCCCTGCCTTAGCCTCCTGAGGTGCTGGGACTACAGGCACACACCACTGAGCCTGGCTAATTTTCAATTTTTTTTTTTTATTTTGTAGAGATGGGGTCTCACTATGTTGCCCAGGCTGATATTGAACTTCTGAATTCAAGCAATCCTCCTGCCTCAGCCTCTCAAAAATGCTAGGATTACAGACATGAGCTACTACCACACCCAGCCTCTTTTTTGAAGATTTTTAAAAAATGAAAATACTTTCTAGGAAAGAAGTCTATTTTGGAGCCACCATAATATTGAAAATGTTTGCCTGCCCTTAAATAATGTTTCTGGGCTGGGCGCCATGGCTCACGCCTGTAATCCCAACACCTTGGGAGGCCGAGGCAGGCAGGTTGCTTTAGTTCAGGAGTTTGAGACCAGCCTGGGGAACATGGTCAAACCCTGTCTCTACCAAAAATACAAAAATTTCTAGCTAGGCATGGTGGTGCACGCCTGTAGTCATTAAAGGCATGAGCCATGGTGCCCGGCCCAGAATTATTTTCCACTAGGGAACAAAAGACTTCAGACTTAAAGAAATAGATACCGGTCATTGAATCTTTGCTTGGAATAGTTACGACTCTCAGGGATCTGTTATAATTTTATGCTCCAAGAAGTAAAATAATTAGGTGTAAATATGATGGATGAGATGTATGCTCTTTTAGAACGGTTAAATTACTTTGCATCTTGAGGAGTCAATCTGAGGAATTAGTTATGTTGGATTGCAGAAAATAGGCAGCTTGCTAATTACCAAGATAAATGAATGAATATATTCTTTATAACTCTATTGAAAGACTTGTTTAATAATGTTGAGGGTTAGGTGTTTTTTTTGTTTTTTTCTTTTGTTTTTGTTTGTTTGTTTTTTGAGACAGAGTCTTACTCTGTCACCCAGGCTGGAGTACAGTAGTGTGAGCTCAGCTCATTGCAACCTCTGCCTCCCAGGTTCAAGTGGTCCTCCTGCCTCAGCCACCTGAGTAACTGAGATTATAGGCATGCACCACCACACCCAGCTTATTATTTTTATTTTTAGTAGAGATGGGGTTTCAGCATGTTGGCCAGGCTGGTCTTGAACTCCTGACTCAAGCAATCTGCCTATCTCAGCCTCCCAAAGTGCTGGGATTACAGGCATGAGCCACCATGCTCGGCCTAAAGGACAGCTTAATAATGCCATTCTTACAAAATAGAGCAGTTCTTACTAAATGAAACAAAAAAGATTTCTAGTACACAAGAAATACTGTAGTTTTACTGTGTCAAAGTAAGATACATAATAAGTAATCTATTTTATGATTATATGCACAGGTAAAGATTGGATTTTTAGTTCTTTAATTTTGGGATTTTTAGAAAGTATTTGAAAAGGTCAATGTTATATTTAATGCAGATTTATTGAATAAAACCATTCAGCTGTCTTGTTTGAAATATTAATAGTTTTGCTACTTTATTCTTTAAGCATATGTTCAGAAATACTTCGTATCTGTGGGCGGACTGGATGTATTGTCTCAAGTTCTCATGCAGCTGGAATCTGATTCACATGAGACTCTTTCCAGTGCTAAACTTGCAGTGGTTGTGACGAAGACTGTGGATGCATGCATTGCTGATAATCGTGAGTGACAGTGCTTACTAGTTTTTTTGAAATTGAATTTTGTTTGAATATAGCATGAAGAGTGTTGAAATAGTAGATTGAATAGTAACATGGTTTAGACTAAGTTTCTCACAGGTGGAAGGAAGTATTAGAAAGTATCCAACATGGCTGGACACAGTAGCTCATGCCTGTAATCCCAGCACTTTGGGAGGCCAAGGCGGGCAGATCACCTGAGGTCAGGAGTTCAAGACCAGCCTGGCCAACATGGTGAAACCTAATCTCTACTAAAAATACAAAAATTAGCCAAACGTGGTGGCGGGTGCCTGTAATTCCAGCTACTCAGGAGGCCAAGACAAGAGAATCGCTTGAACCTGGGAGGTGGAGGTTGCAGTGAGGGAGCTGAGATCATGCCACTGCACTCCAGCCTGGGTGACAAGTACAAAACTCCATCTGGAAAAAAAGGCAGCATTAAATTAAAAATTTCAGGCTGTGTGTGGTGGCTCACACCTGTAATCCCAGCACTTTGGAAGGCCAAGATGGGAGGATTGCTTGAGGCCAGGAGTTTGAGACCAGCTTGGTCAACATATCGAGACTCCATCTCTCAAAAAAAAAAAAATTTAAAATTTTCAGATGAGAAACCAAGGGATATTTTTGAGATTAAGAATGGAAAACCCAATTTATGTAAAGAATACATCTCTTTCTGCTAAGTATGAGGTCAGATTTACCCAACACAGCATTACTAGTGAGTGGCAGAACCAGACTTGAACTCATGGCTGCTGCTTCTCACATGCGCAAACACTGAAGAGTAAGAAACTCTATTATTATTCACAAACAACTAGGGAGCAAAAAATAGATGGTTTTTTAAAAAGTGGTTATTGAGGACCTGCTATGTGTGGAGCTTTACAAGTACAAAAATGATTAAGATGTAGTCCCTTCAGGAATTCACAACTTTTTTGTTGATATTAGTATTGTTAGACTCTGGGTGAACTCTGTTAAAAGCCACATTTGGAGAAGTATAGCTTAAAATGGTGGTCTTTTTGACTTTTGTCACATCTCAGCATAGCTTTGCATATGCTTCATTGCATCAGTAAGTCAGTAGAACTGTGGTCAGTTAATAGTGTATTTTAAATGACAGCAGGAACTGATTATGTAGGAAAGTCTTTACTATCCAATCTAGATAAGAAGAGGTATGTAAGGGGAGAGTAAGCATACTCAGCTTTTAGGAAGTTAGTGTTACTTCATCTTCACAGCATTCTGCAGAACAATTAAGAAAAAAATTCTTCAAAAAATTTGCTTTAGTAATATGTCTTTAGTATGGGAAGAAAGAGTAATGAGGGTTATAGTAATAGGCCGCCATCTTATTACAATGAATTTATATTTTATTTATATTCACACATACACATATTTATTAGATGTTATGATATGTGTATATTTAATTTTATATAGATATATAACATTCTGCCTGAATAAACTCTGAAAAATACATAGTATATATACATTTATAAGTTTTAAATTTGTACTATCTTTTTTTCCTATTTTATACTAATAGCTACTTTTGGGATAGTACTCTCCAAGTACCACATTGTTTCTAAACTTCTGGCATTACTGCTTCATGAAAGTCTGGATTCAGGAGAAAAATTTAGCATCATGCTTACTCTTGGTCATTGCACAGAGGATTGTGGTAAGTATTGGATTTATTGAGTGTGGTTATTAAAATAGTAAAGCGGAAATATACTTCTGTTTTTTTTTTTCTTCCAGTTATGTGAAGGTCTTAAAAGTATTGCTTTTCTCCTAGTCATTCAGACCTCAAACTAGTCATTTCAGCTCCTAATTCTCCTTCACTCATTGTATTAAGTCAGTCATTAAGACCTGTAGTTCTACTTCTGTTTACCCCTCTTGATCCCTTTCTGTCCAGTTCCAATGTTGCTCTTCCAAAGTAGGCCCTTAAACCCACAACATCTTTCACCAATATTATTGCAGTGGTTTTCTCACTGCAGCACAGGGAGAAAGCTCCTTCCCTTCTACCTTCATTTTTCAGCCCACTCTGCACATTGCTGCACAAATCTGATTCTGTTCTCCTTGTTAAAACTTTCAAAGATTCTTTCTTTTTCTACCTATTACTGTCTCCTCTCTCTTTTCTCTTTCTTCTCCCCCTTTTATTTTCCTCCTCCTCTCTACTTTCCTCCCATTCTCCCTCTGTTCAATCTACTCCTTCTTACCAATTCTCTCCACTTTCCTCTCTACCCCTCTCTCTTCTAATCTCTCTCTGCTCTTTCCACTCTCACTTTTCCACTCTCCTCCCTTTGCTCTCTCTTGCTTCTTCCACTCTTTCTTCCTTCCCTTACTTTCTACTCCCTCCATTAGTTTATTTACCTATTCTTTCCCTTAACCTCTGTGTAATTTAGGATTGATTATACCCTTTTTCAAACCAAGTGAGTTTGTTGACTCTTATGAGTTATGATACTACTCTGTGGCTGCGTTTCTGAGATCACTTATGAGACAGGTATTTTGTGTAAGTGAATTATTTTCTTTTTCTTTCTTTTTTTTTTTTTTTGAGACGGAGTTTTGCTCTTGTTGCCCAGGCTGGAGTGCAGCGGTGCAATCTTGGCTCACTGCAACCTCCGCCTCCCAGGTTCAAGCAATTCTCCTGTCTCAGCCTCCCGAGTAGCTGGGATTACAGGCATGCGCCACCAGGGCCAGCTAATTATGCATTTTTAGTAGAGACGGGGTTTCTCCTTGTTGGTCAGGCTGGTCTCGAACTCCCAACCTCAGGTGATCCGCCTGCCTCGGCCTCCCAAAGTGCTGGGACTACAGGTGTGAGCCACCGAGCCCGGCCTTAAGTGAATTATTTTCTATGTTAAAAATCCTTTTGGGGGCTGGACATGGTGGCTCACACCTGTAATTCCAGCACTTTGAGAGGCTGAGGTGGGCAGATCACGAGGTCAGGAGTTCAAGACCAGCTTGGTGAGCATGTTGAAACCCTGTCTCTACTAAAAATACAAAAAAATAGCTGGGCATGGTGGCGTGTGCCTGTAGTCCCAGCTACTCGGGAGGCTGAGGCAAGAGAATTGCTTGAACCCGGGAGGCGGAGACTGCAGTGAGCCAAGATTGTGCCACTGCACTCCAGTCAGGGTGACAGAGCGAGATTCCCTCTCAAAAAAAAAAAAAAAAAAATCCTTTTGAAACTATGTGTTTCTCTATTTTAAAAATTTGTTGTTGTTGTTTTGTTTTGTTTTTGTTTTTGTTTTTTGAGACAAAGTCTCACTCTGTTGCCCAAACTGGAGTACAATGGTGCGACCTCGGCTCACTGCAGCCTCCACCTCCCAGGTTCAAGCAGTTATTGTGCCTCAATTTCCTGAGAAGTTGGGATTACAAGTGCCTGCCACCATGCCTGGCTAATTTTTGTATTTTTTATAGAGACTGGGTTTCACCATGTTGACTAGGCTGGTCTTGAACTCCTGACCTCAAGTGATCCACCCATCTCAGCCTCCCAAAGTGCTGGGATTACAAGAGTGAGCCACCGTTCCTGGCCTATTTTTAAAATTTTGAACTATGTTCATAATTATCACAAGGAAGAATTATGACCTCATATAGATAGTTTATGATAAAAAACATTGTCCTCTTTGTTTATGTTTTCCAGAGGAAAATCAGTATGACCTTTTTAAAAACAATGGGCTTCCACTCATGATTCAAGCCTTAACTGAATCGCAGAATGAGGAACTGAACAAAGCTGCCACATTTGTGCTTCACAACTGCAAAAAAATTAGTAAGTGTACTATTACTTTAAGAACATACCAACCAAAGTTTATAAAGGAGAATTTATTTCTGCTTTCATGAGCCAAGGCCCTATAGCTCTCAGATTCTTCTTACATTTGAAAAGCAGACTAGGCCCTGCACAGTGGCTCATGCCTGTAATCCCAGCACTTTGGGAGGCCAAGGCAGTCAGATCGCTTGAGTCCAGGAGTTCAAGACCAGCCTGGGCAACATAGAGAAACTCTGTCTCTATAAAAAAATATATATATAGAAAAAATTATCTGGGCATGGTGGCACATGCCTGCCAGCTACTTGGGAAGCTGAGGTAGAAGGATCATCTGAGCTCAGGAGTTGCTCAGGTCGAGGCTGCAGTGAGCTGTGTTTGCACCACTGGCCCTCCAGCCTGGGTCATAGAGTGAGACCCTGTCTCAAAAAAAAAAAAAAAAAGAAAATCAGAGTATAAAATTTGGACATGACAACTAGGGTATATTCAGCATATACAAACCCATGTGGAAGAGAGCAGCAGTATAGATAATTCACTATTTTATGCCGTGTGCACAAATTTAGTTTGCAGGAATTAAATTTGTGGACTAAGGGTTACTTATTGTTAAATCATAAGTACATTCATTTATTTAAAAATGTTTGGGGCCGGGCGCGGTGGCTCACGCCTGTAATCCCAGCACTTTGGGAGGCCGAGGCAGGCGGATCACGAGGTCAGGAGATTGAGACCATCCTGACTAACACAGTGAAACCCCGTCTCTACTAAAAATACAAAAAATTAGCCGGGCGTGTTGGCAGACGCCTGTAGTCCCAGCTACTCGGGAGGCTGAGGCAGGAGAATGGCGTGAACCCGGGAGGCAGAGCTTGCAGTGAGCCGAGATTGCGCCACTGCACTCCAGCCTGGGCGACGGAGCAAGACTCTGTCTCAAAAAAAAAAAAAAAAACGTTTGGGCTGGGCATGGTGGCTCACGCCTGTAATCCCAGCACTTTCGGAGGCCTAGGCGGGTGGATCACGAGGTCAGGAGTTCAAGACCAGCCTGGCGAACATGGTGAAACCCTGTCTGTACTAAAAATACAAAAAAAATTAGCCAGGCCTGGTGGCGCACGCCTGTAGCCCCAGCTACTCGGGAGGCTGAGGCAGAAGAATTACTTGAACCAGGGAGGCAGAGGTTGCAGTGAGCCAAGATCGTGCCACTGCACTGCAGCCTGGGTGACAGAGCAAGACTCTGTCTCAAAAAAAAAAAAAGTTTGAGTTTCTGTTATGTGCCAAGGCAGAGTGCTAGACATCAGGGACATCAGGGATACAGTGATGAAAAACAGTCTGTGTATTCACAGAGCTTAGTTTTAACTACAGAAATAGACAGTAACTCAAAAAATGAGATTATGTGTTATTATAAATTGACATAACAAATATATAGGGATAGACCACAGGTCTTTAAGAGCCTATAACAAAGGAATCTGGTCTAGACGTGGAGCAGAAAAGGCATTGGGAGGAAGTGATTCTTGAGCTGAGAACTGAATGTCTAGAGTTAATTAGGTGAAAAGAAAGGAATTTGTTATCAGTGAGTGTCTCAAGCATAAGCAACAGTGAGGCACAAAGGCCCTGTGATAGGAGGGAACCTGGTGCACTTAAGGAATTGATGGCCAGTGTAGCTTGAGCTCAGAGGGCAGTGTCCATGATGAGAATTTTGATCTTTGTGGAAGAAAAACTGCAGACACAGTATGTTTAAAAAAAAAGGATTATAGGAAGGAATCAATTTTTGAACATTATTTTTTTAAAAAAACTACTTTATTTTTGAGACGAAGTCTCACTCTGTCGCCAGGGCTGGAGTGCAGTGGCTCAGTCTCTGTTCACTGCAGCTTGTGCCTCCTGGGTTTGAGGGATTCTTGTGCCTTAACTTCCAGATTATCTGGGAATACAGGTGCGTGCCACAATGCCTGGCTAATTTTTTTTTTTTTTTTTTAGTAGAGGTGGAGTTTCACCATATTGGCCACGCTGGCCTTGAGCTCCTGACCTCAAGTGATCCTCCCGCCTCGGCATCCCAAAATGCAAGGATTACAAGTGTGAGCCACTGTGCCGGGCCTAAAAAACTAACTACTTTAAAACCAGTATCCATGTACCTGAGGGTGTTTATGTGTCTGGCATAACATATTTGCATGTTTTTTCTCCTGTAACTCTGAAGAGTAAAGTCTGATTTATGACTGTTTGAGTCCTGGGCCTCTGCTAGATAATCTTCCACTTACTTTTCAGTACCAATTAAGCTGTTAAGATAGTCTGGATGGAAAAATTTAGAGAAAGGAGAGGGTGGGCTGTGAAGTTGTCCTTATATATAAAGTGTTTAAATAACTTTTCATTCATTGTTTTTTCCCATACTACAAAGCTGAGAAATTATCTCTAAGTCTAGGAGAATATCCTTTTGATGAAAATGAAACACAGCAATTAAAGGACATAAGTGTGAAGGAGAATAATCTTGAAGAGCACTGGAGGAAAGCAAAGGAAATTCTACACAGAATAGAACAGCTTGAAAGAGAAGGAAATGAGGTTGGATTCTTTGTTTTAAAGAATATAGAACTTTTTTCAAATTTTTAAAATTTCTTTCTTTTTTCTCCATACTACACTGACATATAAATTTTTTGTTAATTTTTTTTGAGACAGAGTCTTGCTCTGTTGCCCAGGTTGGAGTGCAGTGGCACGATCTCGGCTCACTGCAACCTCCGCCTCCCAAGTTCAAGTGATTCTTATGCCTCAGCCTTTCAAGTAGCTGGGATTACAGATGTGCGCCACCACACCCGGCTAATTTCTTTGTATTTTTAGTAGAGACAGGGTTTCCTCATGTTGGCCAGGCTGGTCTTGAATGCCTGACCTCAAGTGATCTCCCTGCCTTAGCCTCCCGAAATGCTGGGATTACAGGCATGAGCCACCATGCCCAGCCAATATTTTTTAACAGTAGAGGTTGGAGGGTAAAAAATTTTTTCTTCCCAAGTTATTTTTTAAAGTTTTAAATAGTTTTAAATGGAAAACTCCATAGTAATACTGGAAGAATCATGCTTTGACATAAAACAACAATAAAAGATTTTTAAAAAGTAGAAATGATGACTGAAAAGACAGGAAATGTGGAATATTGAGCCAAGAGATCTAACATCTGAATAATTGGGGTTCAAGAAAGAGAAAAGTAGTAATAATCTAATAACTTCTTTCCTCTTTATATAAATATATTTTTCTATGTATGCATGCTTTGTGTTTTTGTATATGCATATGTGTTAAAAAATCAAAACATAGTGTCCAAGTTAGTATAATATAGTGATTTTATTATTTTAATTGTCTGAGTAGTATTCACTATTGCAGATGTGCCATAATTGATTTAACCAGTCCTTTATTGATGGACATGTAAGTTATATTTAAATTTTTACCATTGCAAACAACTCTAAATACCTGCTACACATGTACCCGTGTGTGTGTGTGTGTGTGTGTGTGTGTGTGTGTGTGTGTGTATTCTGTAACAGCTTTAATGAGATATAATTCACATACCGTACAGTTCACCCATTTAAAGTACAGTCAACCCTTGGTATCTATGGGGGATTGGTTCCAGGACCTCCCACAGATACCCAAATTCATGGATGCTGTGAACTTTAGGGAAAGTTTAGGCAAGTTATTTAATCTCTTTGTGCTTTAGTTTCATCATCGATAAATGGAGAAAATAATAGTACCTCTCAAATACCTAGATAGACATAGTTTTTGTTATGAAAGATACTGTCAAATTGTTTCACCACAGAAGATGTATCAACTTACACTCCCACTAGCAATGTTTAAGAGTACATGTTTCCCCACAGCGTTTTGATCTTTGTGAGTGTAATAGATGAAGAAAAATATCTCAGTGTAGCTTTAATATTTATTTATCTTAAGTGGGATGAAACATTTTTTCTTGTGTTTAAGAGCTATTAATATTTCCTTTCCTATAAACTATCTGTTCATCTTCTGTGCCTGCTTTTCCATGCTATCGTTGATCTTTTTTCATATTTCATTATAGTAGCTTTTTATAAATGTTATTTTTAAAAGTTATCCTTCAGCTTGGGCAACATGGCAAAACCCTGTGTCTACAAAAAAATACACAATTAGCCAGGTGTGGTGTTGTATGCCTGTGGTCCCAGCTACTCAGGAGGGTGAGGTGGGAGGATTGCTTCAGCCCAGGAAGTCGAGGCTGCAGTGAGCTGTGATCATGCCACTGCACTCCAGTGTGGGTAACAGAGCAAGACCCTGTCTCAAAAAATATATATATATGTATATCCTGTTGCTTAAGATATATGCTTTATACATATTATTTCTGGGTGTTTTGATTGTCATTTGGTTTTGCTTCTGGTTCTTTATTCCTGAGATCCCTGCCCAGAATAACGTTTTTGGTCTCTAGAAGAATTAAAAAAAATTTTTTTTATGTGGTCGAGTATATTAGTTTTGTTTTATTATTTAATTTTGGGTAATACTTAGAAAGGTCTTATACCCCTTAAGAATATTAAAATATAATGGTTTCTTTTAGAACATATATGACTTTGTTTTTATATTTAAAAATTTGGTTCATTTTGACTTTATCTTTGTATAAGCTGTGAGGTATTCAACTTATTTTTTCACCAGATGGCTACCCAATTGTCCCAATATTGTTTAATGAATAAACTCCCTTTTCTTCCTAATGTAAACTGCCTTTTATCATATATGTTCTATTGGCAATCATAAACTTTTTCTTCATTCTTCATTATTTAAATGAAGTATAAATTGGATTATAAAGGGAATGGATTATATTGAAATTATTTGTCATTTTTACACTATAGGAAGAAATACAAAGAGAAAACTATCAGGATAATATTTCATCTATGAACATAAGTATTCAGAATACATGGAAACATCTCCATGCAGATCGGATTGGTCGAGGTAGCAAAGCAGAAGATGAGGATAAAAGCCATTCTAGACAGTTACAGAGTTATAAGTCCCATGGAGTCATGTCTAAAGCATGTACAAATGATGACCAAATGAAGACACCGTTAAAGAGCGCAAATCCAGTCCATGCTTGTTACAGGGAGAGTGAGCAAAATAAGACTTTATATAAAGCCAAGTCAAGCTGCAATCAAAACTTACATGAAGAAACTACTTTTGAAAAGAATTTTGTTTCTCAATCAAGGTATAGTTTAATAATTGTGTGTAACTTTTATTTATTCAGCAAGCATTTATTGTGTACTACAGTATGCCACACTGTTAAATATTGGGCATGTAGAAGTGACATGATGAAACATGGTCTTGGGAAGAGCCTAAAGTAGGAAGTGTTGGGAAAGGAGTTTGGACAGGGAGGTATGGGCCAGTTAATCTAGGGCCCTGCAATGTCATACTGTGGATTTTGGGTTTTAACTCACAGGGTATAGGGAGTGATTGAGGATTTTAAATTGAGTGGCGTAACAGATTTGAATTTTAGAAAGGATACTCAGAAAATAAAACCTAAACGGAAACCCTTTACTTGAAGTAACAATGCGTGCATTGATAATCAGCAGTATAGCAAAAACTGTTTTTAAATTTAATGTGATAAAGGGAATAGGATGTGAAGAAAATTTGGTTTGGGTTTGCCCTTTTGTTTGTTCCCTGCACTTTGTCTCTAGAACATAGTCTTTTTCCCTTGCAGTTAGTTTGTGGGGCTAGACCTGGGATTGTAGCTTTTCTTAAACCCTTTATTGGGTTGTGCTCTTCTGTTGGTTACTGTACTTGGGAAAAATGAAGAGGATGCTGCTACATTTCGGGCAGGTTGAAGGGTAAACTAAGTACCAGGAAGAAGGGTTACACCAATACCACCCCTTTTATCTGTTTCAAGACCATTCTTGATGTTAATTTTAACTTGATTGCTCAGGTATGGGAATTGGGAAGCAGTAAGATATGGTCCTGGGCCAGCCTTCTTGACCTCCATCCCAAGCTTTCCACCCATACCCTTCTTTCTCCTATAGAGTTAGCCATATTTCTTTTTCTTTTTTCTTTTTCTTTTTCTTTTTTTTTTTGAGAAAGTTTCGCTCTTGTTGCCCAGGCTGGAGTGCAATGGCATGATCTCGGCTCACCGCAACCTCCACTTCCCGGGTTCAAGTGATTCTCCTACCTCAGCCTCCCGAGTAGCTGGGATTACACGCATGTGCCACCACGCCCGGCTAATTTTTTGTATTTTTAGTAGAGATGGAGTTTCTCCATGTTGGTCAGGCTGGCCTTGAACTCGCGACCTCAGGTGATCTGCCCGCCTCAGCCTCCTAAAATGCTGGGATTACAGGCGTGAACCACCGCACCCGGCTAGGGTTAGCCATATTTCTACCTCAGCCAACTTATTAATATTTTCATCTCTTTGAAATGCTTTTTTTCTCCTATGTAGTAGCTCCTACAAATATACGTACATGGACAGATAGCTATAACTATAAAGCTACTGCTATGCCTGCTATCTGATCTACAGTTCTTGCCTTTTTCTGTACTGCCTGTTAATCATTGTGACAGTATAATCAAAACTTGTATTTATTCATCAAGGACTACAGGGTTCAAACATACAAATGTTTTGGGGGTTAGGAAGGATTTTTAAATTCAGGTCTTTAAATGATTGTTGTTAGCACTTTGCCATCCTGCACCCATGTTCATTTTTGCTCCCACTGATTTTGTTCTCTCCTTTTTGCCTTCATCTCTCCTACTTCCTTCTTTTTATAATCTTTTTCTTCCATGTTTCTTCTGGCATCAATACTATTGCCCTCTGGAGTCTTGTTTGACTCGAGCTCTAGAAACACGGCTGTAATTGTTGCAGGCCCTACGTTGGCAGAATTTGGTAGATTGTGGTAGATCGTGATTCCAGGTTGCTTTTGCCCACCAAACACCGAAAATCACAACACTGCTTACAGAAACATTGGTCCGCACACCAAACAGTATGTTTACTTTTAGTAATCTGGTGTCTATTTTCTTTTAGTGACCATGTTTTTAAACACCCAGTTCACATTGCCAAAAATATAAAGCAGCAGTTACCAGTAACAGGTATGATTAAAAATGTTTCTTTGGTTTTTTAATAAAACAGATATTTAGGTAACCAATATAGCTAAAAATGCACATTGACTGGGTGCGGTGGCTCACGCCTGTAATCCCAGCACTTTGGGAGGCCTAGGTGGGCAGATCAGCTGAGGTCAGGAGTTCAAGACCAGTCTGGCCAACATGGTGAAACCCTGTCTCTACTAAAAATACAAAAATTAGCCAGGTGCGGTGGTGGGCACCTGTAATCCCAGCTACTCTGGAGGCTGACGCAGGAGAACTGCTTCAACCCAGGAGGCGGAGGTTGCAGTGAGCCGAGATCATGCCACTGCACTCCAGCCTGGACGACAGAGTGAGACTCCATCTCAAAAAAAAAAAAAGTCCATTGCTATATTGGCCCTCTAAAGCATAAGCCACACCTTTGACTCTTTCTGTTGTAAATGCCTTCCATTAAGATCCAGAATCTTTCTGTTTATTCACCAGCATGACTGGAGGCATAGTACTAGGCTAAGGTTTATGAAAAGCTTGATATTTAATAAATCCTGAAAATATCTGATTCTTTTCATTAATCCAAAAATCCTTCATTTTGCAATTTTTTTCAGATCCATTTACATTATGTTCAGATATAATAAATAAAGAAGTAGTCAGTTTTCTAGCAACTCCCAGTTGTTCCGAAATGTTGACGTATAGGTGCTCAGGTAAGTATTTTTTTAATTGCAGTTGTTTCACAGTCAAAGCCTTTTATGATATTAACTAGAATTTTTTTTTTTTTTTGATACAGAGTCTTACTCTGTCACCCAGGCTGGAGTGCAGTGGCGCGATCTTGGCTCACTGCACTCTCCACCTCCCAGGTTCAAGTAATTCTTGTGCCTCAGCCTCCCAAGTAGCTGGGATTACAGGTGCCCACTACCACACCTGGCTAATTTTTTTTTTTTTTTTGTATTTTTTCGTAGAGCAGGTTTTACCATGTTGGCCAAACTGATCTTGAACTCCTGACCTCAAATGATCTGCCTGCCTCAGCCTCTCAAAGTGCTGGTGTTACAGACATGAGCCACCACGCTTATTGTAATTAACTAGAATTTATAATAGTTCTACATGTATGATTTACTTTGTTCCCTTTGGAGAAATAATACTGTGGAATATCAAAGCATTCAAATTAATATCTTCTATCTGGGCCAGGTGAGGCAGCTGTAATCTCAACACTTTGGAAGGCCAAGGCTGGAGGATTTCTTGAGGCCAGGAGTTCAAAACCAGCATGGTCAACATAGCGAGACCTTGTCTCTATAATTAAAAACAAAGCAAAACAAAAAAAACACCTTTTATCAGCATCAGGCTGAGCTTCCAATATTTGTATGTATGAATAAACACAGTTAGTACCTTTTTATTACTTTATTATCTTTTTGTCTTAATACCATCTATGAATTTAACCTTACTGAGTAAAATAAACATTTTTTAATGTTTTCAGAGAGCCGTTATTACTAGGTATGCATTCTGGATTATCCTGTAAACATAGGCATTAAGTTTTAAAAATACCTATTTTTATATTTATAATATGTAAATGTTTCTACTGTTTCATGTTCATTATTTGTTTTTTCTGCAGGGCTCTTGTAAATGTTCCACAATACTTATTCCATCCCTTCTCCTCCTCCTTCACACCCCGGTATTTCCTCTTTTTTCATCTTGCTGTTGTACTCTGCTCTATGGACAAAATTGAGGTTCTCTATATTCGGCTCAGAACATCATTGTTCTTCCCTCTTGGATGAAGAGGTTATCTCTATTCTTCTAAAACTGATGTCCAGCCATAAGCTGAATCTCATATCTTTTTTTTCTCCACATTTTAATACTAATTGCAAAATCTTTCTCTTCACTTCCATTCTATTCATTAACTCCTTTTGTTCCACCTTGAACTATGCTCATTTTTCCTCATCTTAAAAAAATACCCGGCCGGGCGCGGTGGCTCACGCCTGTAATCCCAGCACTTTGGGAGGCCGAGGCGGGTGGATCATGAGGTCAGGAGATCGAGACCATCCTGGCTAACAAGGTGAAACCCCGTCTCTACTAAAAATACAAAAAATTAGCCGGGCGCGGTGGCGGGCGCCTGTAGTCCCAGCTACTCGGGAGGCTGAGGCAGGAGAATGGCGTGAACCCGGGAAGCGGAGCTTGCAGTGAGCCGAGATTGCGCCACTGCAGTCCGCAGTCCGGCCTGGGCGACAGAGCGAGACTCCGTCTCAAAAAAAAAAAAAAAAAAAAAAAAAAAAAAAAATACCCAATAGTTTGTTTGATTTGCTATCCTTTCAATTATTCATCCACTCCTCCCAGCAGATGCACATATACCATTAGAAAGTAAATGTATTAGGCCGGGTGTGGTGGCTCATGTCTGTAATCCTAGCACTTTGGGAGGCCGAGGCGGGTGGATTACCTGAGCTCAGGAGTTCAAGACCAGCCTGGTCAACACGGTGAAACCCCGTCTCTACTAAAATACAAAAAATTAGCTGGGCATGGCAGCATGAGCCAGTAATCCCAGCTACTCGGGAGGCTGAGACAGGAGAATTGCTTGAACCTGGGAGGCAGAGGTTGCAGTGAGCTGAGATCATGCCATTGCACTCCAGCCTTGGTGACAGAGCGAGATTCTGTCTCCAAAAAAAAAAAAAGAAAGAAAGAAAGTAAATGTATTTAATAAGAATAAAAAAGTACAAATATTTCTTTCAGTTTAATTGTATTATTTTTTCAAATGGCTACTAAGTTGTTAGAACATAAATACTTATTAAGTTGTCTTGGATCTGACAGAATCATTAGGCATTTCTTTTGGCTTAGAGGTGCCATGAACCTAGAAAGTTTGGGAATCTCTGGTCAAAAGTATTCTAGGTGGCAAAGTGGATGTTCTGTAATTGCTTAGTTTGTATGAGATGGTTATTTCCTTGTTCCTTTCTCCCCTAGTTACCATTCATTCATTCCACAAACATTATGGAGTGCTTAGTCCTTGGCTGGCACTGGAATCGAAGATGAATAGAACTCAGTCTTCACCTTTATCTCTCTCTTCCTGCCAGATTGCCACAAGTATTCTCCTCAAGACCTAGTCTATAGCACCTACGCAGTTCTTTCACTACATTTACTTTTGTAGCATCATCTATCATTTTATTGATGGTTTTCAAATATGTATCTTGACTTTTGGCTTCTAACGTGGGCTATAGCCTTATTCTTTCATTTCCAGTAGTTCTCAGCACATACCCACTTCAATATCTTCTTGTTACTTTAAGCTTAATGTATCCTAAACACAACATCCACAGCATCTTTCTTCCTTTTAAATTGGCCTCCCAACTCACTGCATTTCTGTCAGTGTTGCCACTATTTGTCTGGTCTCCCAGACTTTAAGCCTTGAATCATCCATGACTGTTCTCTCTCGTTCCGTCCCTTATTTCTAGTCTATCAAATTTTGTTCTTTTTTGCCACATAGGCCCTTTTTGTTTCATGCCTAAATTATCGCAGCAATTTTCTAGCAGTCTTTGTCTCAAGCCTCTCCAACTCCCAAGTATAATATGCATATCACTGTTAACTTATCTTCTTAATATGTGCTTTATCGTGTCATCATGCTAAAGAACCCTCAGTGCTTCTCTGTAACCCACTGAATCAACCTCTCTGCCTGGCTTTCAAAGTTTTGTGGAATTTTGTCCTGCTTCCACTTGTTAAATTTTACTGTGCATTTACTCTGAATCTGCTAGAAATGTGCTATGGTTATTTCAAACTTTGCCATTTGATCAAGTACTGAATTTCTTGAGAATTATCCTAAACGTTTCCCTTATCCCAACAGCTCATTATTCATCAAACCCTGCTAATTTTACCTCAGAAATCTCCCCATTCTCCCCGCAAATGCCTTGTTTCAAAATCCCTTCATTTATTTTGCGGACTACTAAAGTAACCTCTCAACTGATCCTCTTGCCTTCAGGTGCCCTTTCTACAAGACAAATGAAATCGTGTCATCTTCCTGCTTTTAATAAGTATCTCTATGTTCCTCCCTGTTGCCTTGAAGAGTTAAAATTCCTTAGCATGGCTTTCAAGACTTTTCTTGGTCTCGTTCCCTGCAACCCTTCCCATCCCCAGCTTTTCTCCCATACTTCTCTGTACTCTAGCCATATTAGAGTGTCCATGATGCTCTGAATACTATGCTTTTTCACACTTCAGTGGTTTTGCACATCTTTATTGTACTGAAATGTCTTCATCTCAGCCAACTATCTGCGTGGCCAACTTCTAGTCCTTTAGGAATGGGCCACTAATACAATTAGGTGACAAACTGATGGAGAACTTTATACTGGATGGACATGGCTGACATTACCTGAACCTACCAATCTATCTTTTTTTAAAAAATGTTTTTCCAACTTTTATTTTAAGTTCAGGGATACGTGTGCAGGATGTGCAGGTTTGTTACGTGGGTAAACATGTGCCATGGTGGTTTGCTGCTGATCTATCTTAATATTTAAAAAAAGAGGGAGTTTTTCTAACCCTATTGGCTCAAGAGGCTGCCCAATTACAATTTCTTTTTTAAAAAAGAGAGAGACGGACAATATGTACCTCTTAATATGATACAGTAAGAAACATACAATACTACCTTCATGGAATTCTAGTAAAAACACTTGAACCTGAATCTGACCAATCATTTAGATTTAATTACTAGTTTATAGGACACACAACAACATTTTAAAGGACACAACTAGGATGCAATCAGCAAAACTTAGCCTTTGAGAAACTATAGTACAAATGACCTAGTATCTTCAGTAAGTAAATGACAAGGAAGAGAGGGGAACTGGTAGATTAAAAGCACCTTGACATATGTTAACCGAATGTAAGTCAGACACAGTGGTGCGTGTGTCTGTAGTTCCAGCTACGTGGGAGGCTGAGGTGGGAGGATTGCTTGAGCCCAGGAGTGCAAGTCCAGCCTGAGCAACATAGTGAGACCCTGTCTCTTAAAAAAAAAAAAGTAATGATGAACCTTATTTGGATCATGATTCCAACAACCAACTTTCAAAAGAAATTTTTGAATTGATAGGGAAAATTGAACACTAGATGTTAGATTATATTAAGCATGAATTTTTAGGTGTCATAATAGTTTTATCTGTTTACAAAAAGGAGTCCTGGCCGGGTGTGGTGGTAGCTCATGCCTATAGCTCAGCACTTTGGGAGGCTGAGGCAGGTGGATCACTTGAGCCCAGGAATTCGAGAACAGCTTGGGCTACATAGTGAAACCTGTCTCTAAAAAAAATACAAAAATTAGCTGAGTGTGGTGTTGCATGCCTATAGTCCCAGCTACTTGGGAGGCTGAGGTGGGAGGATTGCTTAAGCCCAGGAGGTTAAGGTTGTAGTGAGCTGAGATCATGCCACTGCACTCCAGTCTGGGTGACAGAGTGAGACACTATCTCAGAAAAAAAAAAAGTCCCGGCTGGGTGCAGTGGTTCACACCTGTAATCCCAGCACTTTGGGAGGCTGAGGGGAGAGGATTACTTAAGCCCAGGAGTTTGAGACCAGCCCTGGGAATGTAAGGAGACCCTGTGTCTACAAAAAATAAAAAATTAGCCAGGTGTGGTGGAGCATGCCTGTAGTTGTAGCTACTTAGGAGACTGAGGCTGGAGGATCACTTGAGCCCAGGAGGTCAGGGCTAAAAGTGAGCTGTGATCATACCACTGCACTCCAGTCTGGGTGACAGGGAGACCCTGTCACAGGAAAAAAAACAAACAAACAAAAAACAATTCCTTATCTGTTAAGGATGCATGTGAAGTATTTACAGATGAAATGATACTTTAATGTAAATTCCAGGTGTCATAATCCAGTGCATACGTGGGGACAGAGCTGAGTAGGTAGAGGTATAAATAAAACATGATTAGCCATGAGTTAATAATTATTGAAGCTGGGTGATAGATATATGGGAGTTCAGTGTTTGAAATTTTACATAATAAAATGTTAAAAACAAAAAAGATGACTGAGCTTAAGGATCACTTCTTTTGGATATCTTCCCTTAACAGGGACTCTTGCTCAAAACCAGACAAACTAGATATTCCTTTTTCTTTTTTTTGAGATAGAGTCTCACTCTGTCGCCAGGCTGGCGTGCAGCGGTGTGATCTCGGCTCACTGCAGTCTCTGCCTCCCGGGTTCAAGCGATTCTCCTGCCGCAGCCTCCCGAGTAGCTGGGATTACAGGGGCGCGCCAATACACTTAGCTAATTTTTGTGTTTTTAGTAGAGACGGGGTTTCACCATGTTGGCCAGGGTGGTCTCCATCTCCTGACCTTGTGATCTGCCCGCCTAGGCCTCCCAAAGTGCTGGGATTACAGGCGTGAGCTGTCTTTTCTTTTTGAGACAGGGTCTTATTCTGTGTAATGGTGTGATCATGGCTCACTGCAGCCTTGAACTCCTGGTCTCAAGGGATTCTCCTGCCTCAGCCTCTTAAGTAACTAGGACTACAGATGTGTGCCACCACACCCGGCTAATATTTTTTTTGGTAGGGACAGGGTCTCACTATGTTGCCCAGGATGGTCTTGAATTCTTGAGCCCAAGTGATCCTCCCACCTTGGCCTCCCAAAGTGCTGGGATTACAGGCATGAGCCACCACTCTCAACCCTTCAACCCTAGATGCTCTTTTCTTTTCTTTCTTTCTTTCTTTTTTTTTTTTTTTTTGAGACAGAGTCTTGTTCTGTCACCCAGGCTTGAGTGCAATGGTACAGTCTCAGCTCACTGCAACCTCTGCCTTCCAGGTTCAAGCAATTCTTCCACCTCAGCCTCCCAAGTAGCTGGGATTACAGGCACCTGCCGTCATGCACGGCTACTTTTTGTATTTTGAGTAGAGACGGGGTTTTGTCATGTTGGCCAGGCTGGTCTTGAACTCCTGACCTCAAGTGATCTGCCCACCTTGGCCTCCCAAAGTGCTGCGGTTACAGGCATGAGCCACTGCACCCAGCCTAGATGCTCTTTTTATTTTCTTTTTTCTTTTTCTTTTCTTTTCTTTTTTTTTTTTTTTTTGAGGTGGAGTCTCGCTCTGTCGCCCAGGTTGGAGTGCAGTCGCGATCTCAGCTCACTGCAACCTCCACCTGGCGGGTTCAAGCGATTCTCCTGCCTCAGCCTCCCAAGTAGCTGGGACTACAGGCACCCACCACCATGCCTGGCTAATTTTTGTATTTTTAGTAGAGACGGGGTTTCGCCATATTGGCCAGGCTGGTCTCGAACTCCTGACCTTGTGATCAGCCCGCCTCAGCCTCCCAAAGTGCTGGGGTTACAGGCATGAGCCATTGCACCCAACCTAGATGCTCTTTTTCTTTTCTTTTCTTTTCTTTTTTTTTTTTTTTTTTGAGATGGAGTCTCGCTCTGTCACCCAGGTTGGAGTGCAGTCGTGATCTCAGCTCACTGCAACCTCCGCCTGGCGGGTTCAAGCGATTCTCCTGCCTCAGCCTCCCAAGTAGCTGGGACTACAGGCACCCACCACCATGCCTGGCTAATTTTTGTATTTTTAGTAGAGATGGGGTTTCACCATATTGGCCAGGCTGGTCTCGAACTCCTGACCTTGTGATCAGCCCGCCTCAGCCTCCCAAAGTGCTGGGGTTACAGGCATGAGCCATTGCACCCAACCTAGATGCTCTTTTTCTTTTCTTTTCTTTTCTTTTCTTTTTTTTTTTTTTGAGATGGAGTCTCGCTCTGTCACCCAGGTTGGAGTGCAGTCGTGATCTCAGCTCACTGCAGCCTCCGCCTGGCGGGTTCAAGTGATTCTCCTGCCTCAGCCTCCCAAGTAGCTGGGACTACAGGCACCCGCCACCATGCCTGGCTAATTTTTGTATTTTTAGTAGAGATGGGGTTTCGCCATATTGGCCAGGCTGGTCTCGAACTCCTGACCTTGTGATCAGCCCGCCTCAGCCTCCCAAAGTGCTGGGGTTACAGGCATGAGCCATTGCACCCAACCTAGATGCTCTTTTTCTTTTCTTTTCTTTTCTTTTTTTTTTTTTTTTTTGAGATGGAGTCTCGCTCTGTCACCCAGGTTGGAGTGCAGTCGTGATCTCAGCTCACTGCAACCTCCGCCTGGCGGGTTCAAGCGATTCTCCTGCCTCAGCCTCCCAAGTAGCTGGGACTACAGGCACCCACCACCATGCCTGGCTAATTTTTGTATTTTTAGTAGAGATGGGGTTTCACCATATTGGCCAGGCTGGTCTCAAACTCCTGACCTTGTGATCAGCCCACCTCAGCCTCCCAAAGTGCTGGAATTACAGCGTGAGCCACTGCGCCCGCTCTAGATGCTCTTTTTCTTTTCTTTTCTTTCTTTCCTTTTTTTTTTTTTTTTTTTTTTGAGACAGAGTCTTGCTCTGTCGCCCAGGCTGGAGTACAGTGGCACAATCTCAGCTCACTGAAACCTCCACCTCCTGGATTCAAGTGATTCTTCTGCCCCAGCCTCCCAAGCAGTTGGGACTACAGGTGCATGCCACCACACCCTGCTAATTTTTGTATTTTTAGTAGAGACGAGGTTTCACCATATTGGCCAGGCTGGTCTCGAACTCCTGACCTCATGATCCACCCACCTTGGCCTCCCAAAGTGCTGGGATTACAGGCATGAGCCACCGTGGCCGGCCTAGATGCTCTTTTTCTAAAGCACCGTAACTGTTCATACCTCCCTCCCAGCACTTATTTCACTCTGTTGTATTTGTTGTCTTTACTCCCTCATATGATTTTGAGCTTCTTGAGGTGTTTATAGTTCCTGATTTTACTTCAGTTACCATCATATAGATATTTGCTATCATAGATTTGTTACTAGATATTTTGTGACATCTACACATAACTTTAATTTGTTTTCTTTTAGGTTGCATAGCAGTAGAAAAATCCCTGAATAGCCGAAACTTTAGCAAGCTCTTGCACTCTTGCCCATACCAATGTGATCGTCACAAAGTCATTGTGGAAGCTGAAGACAGATATAAAAGTGAACTAAGGAAATCACTTATCTGTAACAAAAGTAATTAATTCAGCAGCTTTAAAATTGTAATTATGGCTATACCTTCTGAACTATTATCTAAAGCATTAAATATATTAAAAACTAGAGGATAAAATAATCTTAAAAAGAAAATCTGTCTCTAAGCAACAAGTAATTGAAGATGTACCCAGGGAGTAGTCTTAGACTGTTGGTTTAAAAATTCTTCCTAATCTATCTAAGTATTCCCACTAGACGGGGGAATAAAGGAAATATACTAATGGAATTGATATGCTATTACTCAGATTGATACGCTAAATGTGCTAAATGTTTTCCATATTTTTCAGAAATTCTGCTGACCCCACGTAGAAGACAACGACTCAGTAATGAATCTACTACCCCTGGAGGAATAAGTGAATATATTTAATTTAATTTTTTTTTTCTTGAGACAGGGTCTGGCTCTGTTACCCAGGATGGAGTGCAGTGGAGCAATCTCGGCTCACTGCAGCCTCCGCCTCCCAGGTTCAAGTGATTCTCCTGCCTCAGCCTCCTAAGTAGCTGGGATTACAGACATGTGCCACCACACCCTGCTGGTTTTTGTATTTTTAGTAGAGATGGGGTTTCACCATGTTGGCCAGGCTGGTCTCAAACTCCTGACCTCAAGTGATCCACCCACCTTGGCCTCCCAAAGTGCTGGGATTTCAGGCATGAGCCATTGCACCTGGCTGAATATATTTAATTTTTAAATGAACTTAAATTTCATATATTTCTGAGAAAGAACAGCTGAGTGGTTGTTCTCAGTCTTATTATTAATGGATCTTAAATGATAAACCTTGCCTCTGATGAGGGTCAGACCTTCTAATAAAAGAGACTTTCCTCTTCCCTTCATGTTGCTTGCTCACTCACTGCCTGCCAGCAGGGGAAGGAGCAGGAGGAAACTAACATTTATTAAGCACCTGCTAGGTGTTAGGTGTTGTATAGATATTATTTCCTTTAATTCCTATAGCAATATTGTAAGTTAGATATTAATTTGCTCCTATTGTAAGGCATAATTATTAATACTTGGTAAGTGGCAGAACTTAGATTCAAAAAGCCATTCTCCAGAAGCCCTTGTTCTATCCTCACATTTCTATTTTAAGAACAAAATTATTATGCACAAGTGCTTCAGAGAGACTTTGCAGGTTTTTGTTCATAACTATAGTGCTTGAAACAATAAAAATTGAAGAGACAAATAGTATAAACTTTAAAACTCTGCTTAAGAAATAAAAATGCCTCTTAAACAATTAGTTAATTTATGGGAATTTTTATTTAACTATAGGGTTAACATTTCACATTGATCACCATTTCCGATGTATCAGAAACTTAAATAACATCATCATTTTCTTTTATTCGTACGGAGTTAATACCTGCAGACTAAAATAGGTTGGATATATTAATTAGTAACACCTATAGAGCCACTCTGTTATTTAGACATTTGGACGTGATACATTCAGGAAGCATTTTGCCACATATATTTATTTGGCTATTTTCACTGCCAAAACTTTCAAGGAAATTTCAAATTTGATTTTTATATCTGAGTCTTTTTCTAGATTAAAAGTTCTGCATGCAAATTATAATTAAGTATAGTACCACTACAGATGAGCCCACTTTCTGAAGTAATGTTTTCTATAGTAATTGTTAGAAAATGGGTGTTTTTTCATAGAAACATCATGCACTTGGAGATCTTGTTCTTGACAAGGGCTTGGCATCAAATTAATAATAGGTGTTTTTCAGCAACATGTCTTCAAAGCAAGTACGTAACAATGAAAAATATGCTGTAATCTATTTGCATATTAAAATAATTTGCAGAACTTCATGAAATGTGCATAATAATGGTTATACAATGATTATATACAGCAGTCCTATATACTGTTAAGTGACATTGAGCTCAGAAAAACATGCCTTTTTTTTGTAGGTAAGACTTGCTTTAGCTAAAACCAAATAATCTGGCCTACTTTTTAGAATTTAGAAAGGAACCTTGAGAAAGTAGTGATTCTTACATCTCTTTCACAAGCCGGCCAGGAATATTTGGTATGTTGCCATTTTTTCCCCCTTGATAAACTTAACCTTTTTTTAGGATACTCACCACCGTTCATTTAATTATACTTTATACTCAAATGTGAGCCCATTCTTCTGAGAAGGAACCACTGTCCTAAGCATTTACAGATTTCCCCAAGTCTCTATTTCAGGATGGATTGGTGTTTTGAGAGGGCTTGAAAAATAAAAGAGTCCTTAGAATTAAGCCCTCTTGCCCATTTTCCCTTGCTCTTCCCTAATACCTAATATTACAAGGAGCACTAAAGAAGTCACAGAGCGGGGAGCTTGGGGTGTAGAGAGCTGCTTCCTTCTTCCAGGCTGCTCAGTACTCTGCTGTAGGAATCTTTGAAGATTTGGGCACAGATATTAAGTATAAAAGTCAGGGAGATGGCAGCCACAATGGAAAAGTGGGGCTTTACATGATCAACTCCAGGGCTCAATATCCTGAAAGTTATAGTAACCAATCTAGTCCTGATTATTATGGGTTCAAATCATTTAGCAAGGGAAGTTGAAACCTATTTCTTGGATAGCCACAGTTTTCCAGTACACCCAAAATGAAAGAATAATTTCATTGATAAGCTTTGAGATAGTTTTACCAATAAATTTTTTCTCTCAACAAGTATTTATTGACTACCTACTGTGTGTCAGATACTATTCTAAGCACTGGGGATACAATGGTGAATAAAATAGATCAAAATTGCTGCCCTCATGGAGCTTACATTCTAAATAATACTATTAAGTAATAATCAGACATTTACACTGATAACCTTCTGCTGGGAAGATTTTTTCATCTGTTTTAAAAGGTCTGAACTGTGGCTCTTAGAAAAGGTAAACAAATGGCTGTCTTGGCCTGCAAGGGCAAGGTTTTCTAAGGGTGACCCAGGACAACTGCACCCAGTACTACGAAAGTAAATAACAGCCTCAACTGGAAATACAGAAAACTTCTCCTCACCAGCATCTACCCACATTGATAAGATGAGATAATAATGAATGAAAAAGCTTAAAGAAAACTATTTCCTAGTAATCATCACCAGAAAATATTTGTTTACAGATACCAGCTGTATATTCTTTCTTTATAGAAAGTATCCCTTAAAAACCAAATAGTTAAAAACTTCCTTCCTCATTGTGCAGCCTATATTTTGAGTTTTGATCTAGCTGACCATGTGTTTTTAAAAGCAAATTTCAAAAGACCCTTATTCTTAAAAATATTATCAAACCTAATATTTAACAAGTGTTGATATTCTTTTCTATTCTATCAAGTTATGGAGCCCTTTGGGAAGACTGTATCTCTAAGATACGTAAGCTGTTTTTTATTTTTATTTATTTATATATTTTGAGACAGAGTCTTGCTCTGTCGCCCAGGCTGGAGTGCAGTGGTGTGCTGTCAGCTCACTGCAACCTCTGCCTCCCGAGTTTAAGCAATTCTTGTGCCTCAGCCTCCCGAGAAGCTGGGACTACAGTCACGTGCCACCATGCCTGGCTACTTTTTGTATTTTTGGTGGAGAGAGATTATTGCCACGTTGACCAGGCTGGTCTCGAACTTCTGACCTCAAGTAATCCACCTTCCTCAGCCTCCCAAAGTGCTGGGATTATAGGCATAAGTCACCGTGCCTGGCCGGTAAGATGTTTGTTAACTGTCCTCACAGGAATGTTGAATTAACAATCAAATGTTTATAAACTTTTGTTTCTTGACTGAAAGATGTTGTATTACTACTGTCAATTAAGTTATAATTACTGAAGAAGTCACAGTGATAGCAACTAGCTTAATATTAGGCACTCAGGTTTTTAAAATTGAAGTGGGTTTCCACATGATGAGAAGCCCTGGCATTTCTCACTCTGTAGTTTATATCCTTAGGTATAAGTTAAGCATATCCAAATAAGCACTTATTTGCATCTCAGGACCTTTGTTCAGCAAATACTAATATATTCTACAATTCTAATTATAGAAAAAAGAAGAATTCGCAAAAACTTTACTGAAGAAGAAGTAAATTACCTTTTCAATGGAGTTAAGAAAATGGGAAATCACTGGAATTCAATTTTGTGGTCTTTCCCCTTTCAGCAAGGACGGAAGGCTGTGGACCTTGCTCACAAATACCACAAGCTGACCAAACACCCCACGTGTGCAGCTTCTTGATTGAAAGAAGACTGTCAGTTTTTAGTTTGGATTCTTAAAATACAGTGCCTTGAAAGATACATTTAAAGTATTTTTCTAAACTCTCATGAGAAGGAATGTGGAAATGAGGATACAGTTTTCATTAAACAGTTTTTGTGATGCTGAAACTCATCAAATTACAATGATTTATAAAGCAAATATATCATCAGTGTACAGATTAGTAAGAAAATTCCTTCATAAGATCAAACATTTGTTTAGGAATATGCTTTTATTTTTCCTTAAGCTTAAAGGACACAGAGAAAAGAATTAGCCTTTAAATGTTATTTGACATTATATTGCAATAAATACTATGTGGGACATTTGGATTTTAGTATTTTTATATGGTACAAAAGTCCCTCCCCAGAATTCAGAAAGAATAGTTCCCCAAGCTATTTAACTAAGGTTCCCATACACTAAATCAATATTTGACATTTTGTTAATTAAAATGTTTCCTTGGCTGTGGTGGTGGCCCATATTTGTAATCCTAGCACTTTGGGAGGCCAATGTGGGAGGATCACTTGAGGCAAGGAGTTTGAGACCAGCCTGGGCAACATAGTGAGACCCCTATCTTTACAAAAAAATTTAAAAATTAGCTGGATGTGGTGGCATGCCCCTGTGGTCCTAACTACTTGAGAGGCTGAAGTGGGAGGATCGCTTGAGCCCAGGAGTTCGAGGTTGTAGTTAGTTATGAGTGTTTCACTGTACTCTGGCCTGGACAAGAGCAAGACCCTATCTCTTAAAAAAGTTTCCTCTTCTATTGTTTATTGTAGTATCCTAGAGGAAAAAAAAAAAGTTTCTTCTTCTAAAGACTAATTATGCAGTTGCTTTGAATACTCCCACATCATATAGTCAGGTTCACTTCTTTTTGGTGTATGTTTATTTGCTTTAGCTTTTCAGAAATGTCTACACTTTCCCTTCTTCTCCCTCTGTATCTTTATCCTTCATACTGATGAGCCCTAGTTACTTCATGTTGCAGCAGAACGATGTCTTGTCCCCTTATGAGTTTAGTCACTGACCACTGGATACCTCTGTCTTTGCAAAATGTGTCCAGAAATGTCACCCTAAGAAATCCAGCCTGACTGGCATGGGGGGCTAGCTTCTTTGTTAGCATCAGTGAGGTTTTATGGGTTCTACCCTAAGATGTTTCTTGGCATTCTACATGACCAACTCTTAGATTATAGTTAATACAGTAATGACGTTTAGATTATCATTTTTATTTCAAATAATTTCCTATCCTATTCCTATGCATTTTTAAATTAAATTTTACTTTATTTGACAGTCTTACTCTGTCGCCCAGGCTAGAGTGCAGTGGTGTGATCTCAACTCCCTGCAGCCTCTGTCTCCTGGGTTCAAGCAATTATCGTGCTTCAGCCTCCCAGGCAGCTGGGATTACAGGCGGATGCCACCATTCCTGGCTAATTTTTTTTTTTTTTTTTTGTATTTTTAGTAGAGACGGGGTTTGGCCATGTTGGACAGGCTGGTCTGGAACTCCTGACCTCAAGTGATCCGCCAGCCTCGGCCTCCCAAAGTGCCGGGATTACAGGTGTGAGCCACCGTACCTGGCCTTCCTATGCTTTTTTGTTAAACTCTTCCACAGGACTTTAATAGTTCCTGCTAAATTTCAACTTGTTAGATTTAGTCTCTGCTCAGTTTGTCATGCAGTAGATAAGGCAACCCTTCCTGCTTCAGGTCATCCACAACTTCCATGACTGCTGCTGTATTCTTATCCAAGTCACTGATGGCACCCTGAATTGGCTGGCCAGGGCAGGAGGTTTGGGCAGGCCCCTAGCAGCCTCATCTGCTGGTCCCTCCTCTTCATCAGCCACCTCTGGGCTAGTCTTTAATAAGCCTCAGTGCTATCATCCAGCATTGATTTCACTTTCGCATCTAAGATGTGAATTGTCAAATGCCCTGTTGAAATCTGCATTTGCTGTATCTGCAGCATCCGCCTACCTGGTACTCCTGCAAAAAAGAAAGATACTGTGTAAATCTGGTATTCTCTTTTCCTTTAGTGTTTAATCACAAAATTTCACTTAGTGCTGATTAAGCTCACTGGCCTGTAATTTTCATCTCCATCTTCTGTCCTGTGAAAATTCAGCACTGCTTGCCCTTTTAGGACTTCTGGCACTTTGCCTGATTTTCCCAGATTTCCAAGGGAGGAACTCAGTGGGTTTTCACTCTCGTCTTGTTTAAACCTTACATCCAGTTTGGCAGATGATATGCCCATTTGTTTTATCCCGTAATTCATGCCGCCAGATTTTTTGGCATCAGGATCACAATCCTACTCATCTGAAACCTACTTAGGTGGTGCTTTTCTGCCACATTCCACTTCCTTGTGATATTTAGAAATGTCTTGTTAGCCTGTTTCCATAGAGAATGGCAAGAGCCCTCAAGTAGAGGCCACACCTAAAATTAAGCTTGATAATGGAATGTATGTTTTTCCTTCGGTTACTCTCCGCTCTTTCCCTTTTCCATCCCCTTTCCTTTTATTTTTCTCCCCGCTCTGCACCTGCCAGCTGGCCCCCAAGGAAATTAAGGGCTCCTCTTCTGGTGTGAAATGCTGGCTCCCTGAAAACATCATTTTAAAAAGCATGTTAATAAAGCAAAGCCAAGTGTATTATGCACTGCGGTCAAGAGCACTACTTCACAGTCTTTAGTCTTCGGAGGAGGAGGGGGAAATGCAGGATATTTATGAGGATTCTGGGGTCTTCCTTAAGGCTAGTCTTTCAATGCAGGGCTTGAGTAGGGTTAGGCCAAGTTCATGATATAATGGTCCAAGGTTGGGGAATAAATTAGAAGTACCGAATGTTATCTTCTAGCCTTGGGTCCTTGGGTGGGTTTCTTAAATTTTTTGAGCTTCAGGTTCCTCATCTGTGAAAGGGTTAGATAAGATTCAGTGAGATAATGTGTGACTCTGGCACATGGTGAGCTCTAGATAAATGGCGCTTTTGTGTCCATCAGTCTCATTCCCAAAGCCTAGGCTTTCGGGTCGGTCATCCGGCTGCCCGACCCGCGACGGCGCAGGGGAATCGGCGAGCGTGGCGGGGTGCTGCGCTGCGCCCCTCAGCCGGCAGAGGCCGCCAGCGCGCCCTCGGTCCGGACGGTGCCCGCCCCTGCCACCGCCTCCCCGCGCATGGCTGCCCCGGCGGCTGCCTGACCGCCGCCCGCCACCTCGGCGGCCTCGCAACCCGTGGGAGCCCGTGGCCATCGCAGACCTAGAGGACACGTTGGGCGGCGCAGTCGCCGCGGCAAGGTCGGCGGGCGGCGCGGCGCGAGGGACGGCGAGCGGGGGGCGGCCCGGCCCGGGTCCTCGCGGGTCCTCGGCGGGCCCGGGGGAGGGCCCTCTTTGTGGCTGCAGTTGGCAAGATGGCGCCGGTGGGGGTGGAGAAGAAGCTGCTGCTAGGTCCCAACGGGCCCGCGGTGGCGGCCGCCGGCGACCTGACCAGTGAGGAGGAGGAAGGCCAGAGCCTATGGTGAGGCCGCGGGCGGTCGGGCCGGGCCGTGGGGGGCGCGGCCTCTGGGCCGGACCGTCGGACACACTGAGGGGCCGACGCGAGCCGGGCCATCCCAGCCCGGCCCGGGGCTGACCACTCTTGCCATTGTCGCCACAGGTCCTCCATTCTGAGCGAAGTGTCCACCCGCGCCAGGTCCAAGCTGCCGTCCGGCAAGAACATCCTGGTCTTCGGTGAGCGCCGGCGGCGGGGCGTTGCCCCAGGTCGCTGGGGTGGGCGAGGCGGGCGCCCCTCCCTCAGGTCCCCGCCTTCCCCGTTCCAGCCGCCTGCCCGCAGCCTGGCGGGAAAGGGACCGTCGGCCCTGGCCGGTCAGCTGGAGAGTGGTCAAGCCTCCAGCGCCTGAGGGTGGGATGCTGCCCTCTTTGGAGAGCGTAGTGGTGCTTTGGGGTTGTCGGCATATTGTTTCAGTCACTTGGCCCTCTATGCCTTCATTGCCTCGACGGTTACCAAATTGAGGTCGTGGAGAGGGGAAGCTAGTAGATGAGATTAGGTGGAGAAGGTGGGAGAACGAGGTGACCTGGGCTCGGAGCTGTGGGGAAATGACCACGGGAGCCTTCTTTGAGCCTCATCAGTAGTGCATAGTCCGAGGTTTTAGGGACTTTGCAGAGGACAGAGAGTCAGCACTGGGGACGTTTCCTCCATTATGCTAGCCCTCACTGCTAGGTTACCTGAGTCAGGTCCCTTACTCCCTCTGGCCTCACTCTCCTCAAGTGAGGGAGTTTGGGTACATTCACACAGCAAGTCCATTTGTTGCTTGGGACCTGTGGGCTGGGCACAGGCTCAGCATAGGCGACTCTTAAACACTATAGAAGAATCTCAGTCTGGTGGAAGACAGATGTATTGGTGATTGCATTGCACCATGCCGATTATTGTGGAAGCATTACACTGCTTAGAGCTGGTGAAGGAGGATGATTCGGGGGTTGAGTATTTTGCAGAAAAGTGTCAGTATGCAGGGACACAGATGACAAGAGGGTGTGGGGTTTGGAAACTGCTAGAAGCGCCTTGTGGTTGGTGGCTGCTAAGGTAAGTTGGGGGCAGATTGTGGGAAGGCTGAAGAGTTAGTGCTGTTTCCTGAAGTTCTCTGATTTTTCAAATGGCTTTTATCTCACCTCCATCCCCCAATTCCCATGGGAATCACTGCCTTGGTAGTTTTCCTACTGTTAGAATGTGTGACCTTTCTCAGGAATTGACTGTGGTAGGTAATACCGGACCCTTAGAGATCTTCAAGAAGTGGGGGATCAAGATCACCAGATCTGAGTTTTAGAAAGAACGCTGCCTGCAGAGGGACAGTAGCTCAAAATGAGCAGGTACTGAAGTCAGGCTGACAGGTCCTCACCTTGGTCTGGATGCAGAGGGCCTGAATAAGGTAGAGGCATTGGAGATGGAGAGGAGGTCTTTGATCTGTGGACTGACTGCCTTTCAATTCTCATGTTCTGTAATTCCATATTATTAAATGGCAGAAGTGCCTAGTAATGTTTGGCGATGGTTCTCCTTGATGTTTAAGGATCCGGGGAAGGGGGGTGTTGTTTGGGTGGAGGGAGATGAAGAAGTGCTTAATAATTAACTGAGATTGTACTGAAGAGTTTTGCTAGGTCTATAATTATTTTCGTCAGTTTCTTAGCCTTCAGAATGTTTGTGAAGGAGATGTACTAAAATCAAAAGTGAATAACTTCCATTCTTCACCATTGTGAAGCAGGATCAGACTTTTTTTAGTTCACAGTACCTGGACTTTTAGGTTAATTGTATCATATTTTGAAGATTTCTTGTTTTTCTTGTGGTGAAACTTTTTCTTGTGAGAAACTAACCCTACCTTTTACTTTCACTTCTCCGAATGCATGTCTTATAAATTATAGATAGGGCCTGTGGACCTGCCTCATTATTTCCCTTTTGAAGTAAGGATAACTGCAGTAGAATGTCATTTTAGATCTTGGAATTTGCTGCCTTTACCACCCTCTCCTCCCCACCCTCCCAACCACTCTTCCAGCAAAGTCCTTTGTTTATGAAAGCAGGTGAGACTTCAACAGCAGACTTTGCATGAAATTCTTAGTTTCTCCGTGTCATGTGAGTGTCATGCCTCCCCATCCTTGCCCGGAATAAACAGTACACCTTTGTCTTGCAAACATCCTTTGTAGGTGAAGATGGTTCTGGTAAAACAACCCTCATGACTAAACTACAAGGAGCTGAGCATGGCAAAAAAGGAAGAGGCCTAGAATATCTCTACCTCAGTGTCCATGATGAGGACCGAGATGGTGAGTGAAGCATTGGTCCCATGGTAAGGGGGTGTATGCAGGACTCTGACTGCTTCCTTGGGTGCAGTTCCTGCAGCATGGCCAGGCATTCTCAGTTTTCTGTTTGGTTCTCAGAGAGTTAATCACAGAATAGATGAAGTACGTATCTTTTGCAGGACTTAACCCCCTTTATAGAGTATGTTAGCAAAATTGGGGAATGGGACACTTAGCTGTTGCTCTGGCTAGCCTGCCTTTAAAAAGAGATACTGAAGATAAATTTTTACTTAACCCATAAAGGTGGTAAGAAAGATTTTTTAAAGCTTTGGAGTTTTATATGAGAGAAATGCTTGGCTGTCCTGGGGACCATTGTTACTCTGCCTGGTTCTAGTAGAGAATCCGAAGTTGGTGTGGTTTAGAGTGTAACAATTTAACATATGTTAATAGGAGAGTTTCCTGAATCTCTTTGTGACAGTTTAGAAATGGTAGTTTCTGCCGGATTTGGTGACTCCTGTCATAATCGCAGCTACTCAGGAGGCTGAGGTGGGAGGATCACTTGAGGCCAGGAGTTGGGGACTGCAGTGAGCTGTGTTATACACTCAAGCCTGGGTGACAGAGCGAGACCGTCTCTGTTTTTTAAAAAAGAAAGAATGAAAGAAATGCCCATTTTCTGTGTTTCTTCTGGTAGAGGAGTAGATGCTCAGAGGTGGTAATATTCTTTAATTCCTCATCTTTAAAACGTGAGTAGTAATAGTTACTGCTTAGGATGATTGAAAGCACATGATAAACACTCTTATAAGGATTACATATAATTTTAAAATGTTTTCTTACAAGTGTAATTGTGATTTGGAGTAATGGTTTTGGGTTACAACTGCTCAGTAATGCCTCCTTTATAATCTTTTGGTTTTATGTTAGTTTTTTTTTTTTTTTTTTTTTTTTTTTTGAGACAGGGTTTTACTCTGTCACCCAGGCTGGGGTGCAGTGGCTCAATCTTGGCTCATTGCAACCTCTGCCTCCCAGCCTCGGGTCATCCTTCCACCTCATCCTCCTAAGCAGCTGGGACTATAGATGTGTGCCACCACACCTGGCTAATTTTTGTACAGATGGGGTTTCACTATGTTGCTCAGGTTGGTCTCGAACTCCTGAGCTCAAGCAGTCTGCTCGCCTCAGCCTCTCAAAGTGCTGGGATTACAGGCATGAACCACTGCACCCAGCCTATGTTAGATCTTTTCAATGATTCAAAAATAAATAACCATTGGTACCTAGGTTGGTTGGTTGGTTGGTTTTTTTGGTAGAAAAGTTATCTGTATAACCTAAAGATGAAGTGTATTCACTAAATTACTTTCTTTAGGGCAGGCGTGGTGGCTGACGTCTGTAATTCTAGCACTTTGGGTGGCTGAGGCGGGTGGATCACTTGGGATCAGGAGTTCAAGACCAGCCTGGTCAACTTGGTGAAACCCCATCTCTACTAACAATACAAAACATTAGCCAGGCGTGGTGGTGCATGCCTGTAGCCCCAGCTACTCTGGAGGCTGAGGCATGAAAATCACTTGAACCCAGGAGGTGGAGGTTGCAGTGAGCCGAGATTGCACCACTGCACTCCAGCCTAGGCGATAAAACGAGACTCCTTCTTAAAAAAAAAAAAAAAAAATTACTTTCTTTATATTTGCCTTTACTCATTTAAACAGTAAAGATTACGATGTATGGGCGATTATATAATGAGGGCTGATCCTACCACCTCTAGTCCCCCATTTCCTTATTGCTAAAATGACAAAGTTGAACCAAGGTCCTTTCCAGCACCGTAATTCTACCATCTCCAAGAGCTGTTTAGTAGAGGGCATGGGTGGCTGGGCGCGGTGGCTCACGCCTGTAATCCCAGCATTTTGGGAGTCTGAGGCAGGCAGATCACCTGAGGTCCATTTGAGACCAGCCTGGCCAACATGGTGAAACTCTGTCTCTAGTAAAAATACAAAAATTAGCCAGGCATGGTGGCGCACGCCTGTAATCCCAGCTACCCAGGAGGCTGAGGCAGGAGAATCGCTTCAACCTGGGAGGCAGAGGTTGCGGTGACCGAGATTGTGCCACTGCACTCCAGCCTGGGCAACAGAGTGAGACTCTGTCTCAAAAAAAAAAAAAAATGTTGAGGGCATGGGTAAGAGTCTCTTGTGTAAGAAGGACAGAGGCATTTGGGTACTCATCTAGGCCCACTGGAGTCTGTACATACAGGGCTGCTGAGCCTGGCCAGAGGATCTCACATGTATTGAGTCTTTTGCTTCCTTTTTTGGACAGTGTGGTTACTGTGGAAAGAGCTGTGGCTTTGGAGCCAGGCAGAACTCGTTCAGAATGCCATGCCTGTAGTCAGTAGTTGTGTGGCTTTGGGTAACTGACTTAACCACTCTGTACTTGAGTTTCCTCATTTGTAGAATGGGGTAATGGTGCCTATACAAAATGATACAGGGTGTATCAGGTGTAACAGTGCTTGAGACATGGTGATAGCTCTAGTACCCTTTTGTTTCTTTTGAAAGTGTAAAACATGATGTAGGTAATCTGTGAATCTCTATAGCCTCTTCTGTTTCAAGATACCATAAGCATATTTCATGCCAGAGCATCGTGTTGACCACATTTATTTGCCTTTAAGTATATTTTAACTTATATACAGATTTTTTTAAAGTTACCTTAAAAACTTCTTGGTCTCTGCATTTATTGGATTTTTTTAGGCCACCCGCTTGCAAGTTCCTGTTTGATGGAAGAATTGCCCTTATCTGTTGTTAATGGTACATTTTCCAGCCCTAGTCTTTCTTACTGTGTGATGTGATTGAGTTATAAATATACACTTTGCAAGCAGTTACCCAGGTAGAGAAAACAGTCTCTGGCTTGTACCTAGTTTGTGGTAGGATGTGACATGTCAAAGGACCTCTGCCTCCAGGTTTGGGGGCATCTGTTTAATGCTACACGTGGTGTGATCTCCAAGCACATGGGTGAGTTACGTGTAGTGGGCAGTGGGGAGAGAGGCTGAAAAAAGGAACCATGCCTGTGGATGGGTAGGCATTAAAACCCACAGACTTTGGGTACAGAGTAGTATTTTTGAGGACATTCACAGAACCCAAACTAAAGCCGCTAAAATAGAATTTGAAAGTATTGCTAGATTTAGATACTTTATACTGTTGACACAAAGCCATGAATATAAATTTTTTTATAGCATGTTAATTGCTTATACAAAAAAGTTAATAAAAGATAGGTTTTTTTTTAAGTATATTTTTCTAAAAGAGGAAGATTGGGTTTTTTTGTTTGTTTTGTTTTATTTTTTTTCTTTTTTTGAGACAGGGTCTGGCTCTGTCATCCAGGCTGGAGTGCAGTGGCATTATCTCAGCTCCCTGCAACCTCCACCTCCCGAGCTCGAGCAGTCCTCCCTCCTCAGTCTCCCGAGTAGCTGGGACTACAGGTACATGCCACCAAGCCTGGCTAATTTTTGTATCTTTTGTAGAGATGGGGTTTTGCCATGTTGTCCAGGCTGGTCCTGAACTCTTGAGCTCAAGTGATCCACCCGCCTCAGACTCCCAAAGTGCTGGGATTACAGGCGTGAGCCACCAGGCCCTGCTGGTTTTAAAGTATATGTTGGAATTTATTGAAAAAGAAGCTAATAGGCCGGGCGCGGTGGCTCACGCCTGTAATCCCAGCACTTTGTGAGGCTGAGGTGGGCGGACCCCTTGAGCCCAGGAGTTCGGGACCAGCCTGGACAACGTGGTGAAACCCCATTTCTACTAAAAATACAAAAATCAGCCAGTATGGTGGCACACAACTGTAATCCCAGCCACTCAAGAGCCTGAGGCATGAGGATCGCCTGAACCTGGGAGGCGTGGGCTGCAGTGAGCTACGCCAGTCTAGGCACACCCCTACACCACACCACTACACTCCAGTCTAGGCAACAAAGTAAAACTCATCACAAAAAGAAAAAGTATTAATAGTTAATAAAATATTTTTGATGATAGTTCTCAAGGTACTTTTATAAAACATAGTTCTGCCGGGCACGGTGGCTCATGCCTGTAATCCCAACAAGGCTGAGGCGGGCAGATCACCACAGGTCAGGAGTTCGAGACTAGCCCAGCCAACATGGTGAAACCCGGTCTCTACTAAAAATGCAAAAATTAGCTGGGCGTAGTGGTGCACTCCTGTAATCCCAGCTACTCAGAAGCTGAGGCAGGAGAATCGAAGCCTTAGAGTAGGAGATTGCAATGAGTTGAGCTTGCACCACTGCATTCCAACCTGGGTGACAGAGGGAGACTCCATCTCAAAAAATAAAAATAAATAAAAAATAGTTCTCAAAAGATAACTGAAAATTTCTAAAAATACATTATAAATTTGGCCGGGCATGGTGATTCATGCCTATAATCCCAGCACTTTGGGAGGCTGAGGCGGGCAGATCACTTGAGGTCAGGAGTTCGAGACCAGCCTGGCCAACGTGGTGAAACCCCATCTGTACTAAAAATACAAAAATTAGCCAGGCGTAGTGGCACGTGCCTGTAGTCCCAGCTACTTGGGAGGCTGAGGCAGGAAAATCGCTTGAACCTGGGCAGCAGGGAGGGGTGGCGGCGGTTGCGGCGGCAGTTGCAGTGAGCCAATATCGTGCCACTACACTCCAGCCTGGGTGATAGAGTGAGACTCCATCTCAAATAAATGAATAAATTTGGAGAATTGTCTTCGGCAGTTAGATCATCCTGGTATTCATTTGGAACCACGTTTCATTACATCTTAGCACTTGCACATTTGTGTGAATCTATTTTAGTAGAAAACAAAAAATATATACAAAGTAGAGAGTGGTATCATGAACCACAGTGTACTTGTCACCTTGCTTCAACAATTACCAGTTCTGGCTGGGCGCACTGGCTCAGGCCTGTAATCCCAGCACTTTAGAAGGCCGAGGCAGGAGCATTGCTTGAGCCTAGGAGTTTGAGACCAGCTTGGGCAATATCAGGAGACCCTATCTCTACAAAAAACTAAAAAATTAGCTGGGCATGGTGGCTTGTGCCTGTAGTCCCAGCTACTTGGAAGGCTGAAGTGGGTGGATCACTATCCCAGGAAATCGAGACTGCAGTTGCCACTGCACTCCAGCCTGGGTGTCTCAGACGCTGTCTCAAAAATAAATATACAAACATACATAACCAGTTCTTGATCAATTTTATTTCAACTGTACTTTTACTCTTTGCTCTGTTTACTCCCCACTAGATGATTTTGAAGCAGATTTCAGACATTAAATTTTATCTATGTATACTGCCATAAGGACATCTAAGATAAGAATTTTTTAAAAACATAACCATATTATTATCATAACAAAAAATTACTAATTCCCCAATATAATTAGGCGTCTGGTAATTCATATCTCAGTTTATGTAAGTGATGATTTTATCTTCACATTTAAATACAAAGGTTCTGTCTCTTTGGCATCCTTTATAGTATGTGAATGCATTGTTTAGTGTGACCAACACAAGAAGGGCTTGTTTAAACATAGGCTCTTCAGCACAGCTCACTGCTTCACTGATTGCTGTTACCTTAGGATGATGGATTATTTAGGTTGTGGCACAGTTGACCAGTGAACATTAGTATCTTTTGGTTTTTATTGAAAGCTAAGAGACTCTCACCCTTTTTTTTTTTTTTTTTTTTTTGAGATGGAGTCTCACTCTGTCATCCAGGCTGGAGTGCAGTGGCACGATCTCGACTCACTGCAACATCTGCCTCCCGGGTTCAAGTGATTCTCCTACCTCAGCCTCCCAAGTAGCTGGGATTACAGGCGCCTGCCACCATGCCCAGCTAAATTTTGTATTTTTAATAGAGACAGGTTTTACCATGCTGGCCAGGCCGGTCTTGAACTCCCGACCTCGTGATCAGTTCGCCTCAGCCTCCCAAAGTGCAGGGATTATAGGTGTGAGCCACCGCACTGGGTCCGATACCCTCAATCTTTACTTCATAGACATTTTGGAAACCTTTTTAGGTGTGAACACCTCCTATATTACTGTAGTTTTTTTTGTTTGTTTTGTTTTTGTTTTTGTTTTTGTTTTTGTTTTGAGATGGACTCTCATTCTGTTGCCCAGGCTGGAGTGCATTGGCACAATCTCAGCTCATCGCAACCTCTACTTCCTGGGTTCAAGCAATTCTCCTGCCTCAGCCTCCTAAGTAGCCGGGATTACAGGCGAGTGTCACGATGCCCGGCTAATTTGTTTTGTACTTTTAGTAGAGATGGGGTTTTGCCATGTTGGCCAGGCTGGTCTTGAACCCCTGACCTCAAGTGATCCACCTGCCTCAGCCTCTCAAAGTGTTGAGATTACAGGTGTGAGCCACCATGCCTGGACCCTATATTACTGTAGTTTTAAAGGCACCAGGACCAAGGATTGCTGTCTCCTGAGCACTTGGGCACTTTTTGGTTTGGATTTCCAAATTTTGCATTCTATTTAGAATTCATAGCTGTCACCTTCAAGATCTTCCTGATGTGTCTGTTTCTGCAGCTATGCTGATGGTCACTGTCAGGTGGTAACTAGCTTCATTCACTTGTTTTCTCAGATCACACGCGCTGCAACGTGTGGATTCTGGATGGAGACTTGTACCACAAAGGCCTGCTGAAATTTGCAGTTTCTGCTGAATCCTTGCCAGAGACCCTCGTCATTTTTGTTGCAGACATGTCTAGACCTTGGACTGTGATGGAATCTCTGCAGAAATGGGCTAGTGTTTTACGTGAGCACATTGATAAAATGAAAATTCCACCAGAAAAAATGAGGGAGCTGGAACGGAAGTGTGAGTAAAATATAATTTTCTTAATTGGGAAGTTCACGAGTCTCTTTAGATGGTTTGAATCACTTTCCTTTTCCCAATCCTAGAGGCTTCCCTTGCTTCGTGGTTTTGTTTTGTTTGCACCATTTATTTCAGAGTTCCTCTTGTAAACTCAGTAGTCAAAAGTATTCAAAGCAGTCTTTAACTCAAGTGTCACAAGTTGAAGAAAACAAATCAATATTTATTATCTTCATTGGTTTCCGTTTCAAATAAGAGTTCTTCCCTCACTCCCTAAAATGTGTTAAGTTCTGTGGATCTCTGTGCTTTTCTGTTACTCTCTGTCTGCTGAGTTAACATCAGAGGATGTGAGGGTTTGCTGTGGTCTCTGCAGCTTGAGTTTACTGCCCTGGAATTCCATTAAGGCCCTATGGACCCTCGTGTTGGCAGGCTTAGAGGAAGTCCTAAGAAAGACAAAGCTTTCAGCTCCTTAGTTCATTTTGGAATCCAGCAAAATACGATTTTAGTTAGAAATAGGAGGGTCTTTTTTTTTTTTTTTTTTTTTTTGTAATTAACATGAAAGGTTATTTTAAGACTAAGGACATCCAAGCCCTTTTGACAACAAAGAACTTTCAAATTAAAGGAAGTTTGTTTGGGTTTTTTTTTCCTTAATGTGGTTCAGAAGCTTGTTTTTCCTTTCCCTTGCTTCTGTGCAGTTACATCATCTTCTGTCCACTTGCCAGGGAAATGGGAGGGGCAGGGGCTGGAGCCATGGCAGCAGCAGCAGCCGTCCTGGCCGGGGCAAGCTTGACCCAGCCTGGCGTATTTTCACAGGATGACATCACCCCCTCTGGTGAATTAATGAGGGCTTCTCGGGCATGGCACACGGGATCTTCACACTTACTGGCAGAATGGTTCAGAAATTTTGATGCGCTTTTTAAATCAAGTTTCTCGCAGTGTGTTTTCTGTCCAGTACTTCATCTTGCTTCTGTCCCACGTTGTCTAAAACAATGAGTTTAACATTGTATTCTTCGGTTTGTTGTGCATGTGTATATTTCCCTGGTCACCCGCATGTGTGCTACTGTGATTGTTATGCAGCTCAGCTCATGTGTCTTCAACCACTGACCTTTCTAGATAATGCCTCTTTTTTCCTGAAATAGAGCCCTTAAGGACAACTTCTCTGAATAGTTCTGAGTCTGAAGACCTGCTTTCATCCACTGCACAGACAGCTTTGTACCCAGATGAGTGGGCTAATGTACTGGTGACTTCAGTTCTCTGAAGCTGTTTTCTTAGAGTGATAACCTTGTAGAGATCTGTTAAGACAGAAAAGAGAGAGATTGAGCCAATATTGTTTTTTCCCAGATAGGGAAAGTGTCTGCCCTATACTGTACCAGGTACCAGGTTCTAGGTGCTGGAGACACAGTAAATAAAAGGCCTGCTTCTGGGGGGCTTAAATTTCCATGAAACACTGAATTTATTTTGTGATTTAGTCATTGATGGCTGTTATTTAGGATTAGATTCAGCTGCATGTGACATAAAACCTGAGATAACATAATGGCTTAAACAAGACTGAGGGTTATTTCTCTCCTGTAAATGAAATCTGGAGGTGTAGGTAGTTGAGGACTGGAAATTAGAGCCCTGGGAAGACAGCTGGAGGACCTTGCTCCTTTGTGCTTACTGCTTTGTCATTTCTAGGGTGTGGTTCTCTTCCTCCTGACTGAGAGCTCTAGCCTTCACATCCGTGTTCCAGTCAGCAGGATGGAGGAAGAGAAATGCAGGGCTGCAGGGGCTGCTGTCTCTTAAGGAGGCTGGGAAATGTAATCTTTACTTTGGGTTGCCATGTGTTCTAAATATCAAAGTTCAGTTTGGTTATAAGGAGGAAGAGGAGAGAGGACACCGTAGGGCAGCTAGCAATTGCTGGAACCATGTCCCACGACTCTGGTTGGTTTTCCATTGGCCTCTCTGCTGTCACCACCCCTTCTCAGATGTTTGGAATGGTAGCCACGTCTTTGTGTTGTATGTTGGAGGAGCCTTTGTTAGTACTGGGTTTAGGCTACATTTTAATAAAGCAGTTGGCTATCCTCTTGCCCAGAGGACTCTTGCTTTCCAGATTAATTGGACTCTAGATGTTATATGGAAGGAGTGAAGGGCTGTTATTCAACCTGGTTTCCAGTCCAACACCAGTCTCCATTCTTATGATTTTGGAAAGCTGCTCCATGGCCGGCCAGTCTCTTTTAGGGTTAGGTTCCCAGTGGTTTTGTGTCTGTGGCAGCTGTTTGGCTGCAGGGATCATCTGAGTGAAAGGGAAAGCATCCCCTATAGCCACCAGAAGGTGGCGCTTTTTTGTACTTTAGTCTTCTCTTTCTTGTTTTATATATGGGGCTTTTCTTATGCTTATGTAGGACTATGGGGTCTTCTCAGGACTGTGAAACCAATAAATGAGGTAGGAGGGAAAAGTTGAGAGAGAAGCAGCAGCAGCAGTGAAGATGCTCTGTGATCTTCTTGTACCCACTCCCATCTGATTCCAAAGGGAAGCCCCAAGTGGGCTGATGTCCCCTGCTGTGAAATACTCACCATCTGGAGAGAAATTGTTAACACTGCAGTATGTGTATACCCAAGAAAAAATGCACGTTTTACTATCCAACTTACATGGTCCTTCCTCTTTTTAATACTGCCTTTTCACTCATGTTATGTATATTTGCTCTGCTTTCCAAATTGCTTTCTAAAATGCTAAGTTGGCCAGGCGCAGTGGCTCAATGCTTGTAACCCCAGCACTTTGGGAAGCTGAAGTGGGCCAATTGGTTGAGACCAAAAGTTTGACACCAGCCTGGGCAACATGGCGAAACCCTGTCTCTAAAAAAATTTAGCCAGTCATGGTGGTACATGCCTGTAGTCCTGGCTACTCGGAGGCAGACAAATTGATTGAGCCCAGCAGGTCGAGGCTGCAGTGAGCCATGATTGTGCCACTGCCCCGCAGCCTGGGCAACAGAGCCAAGACTCTATCTCAAAAACAATTAAATAAATAAAATAAAATGCTAAGTTATTTAAAAATGTGAATTTCCTATTGTTGGGCAGCCACAATTAAGTCATTCCTTTAGAGCGTGAATAATCTAGGGCTTCTGAACTATTTTCTCCTCATGGCACAGGTAAAAAACAGCAGAAAAGTTTACAGTGCACGAGGTAATGGGGTGGAGGTTCGTGGAGCCAGCTGTCTGAACTTCCTGCCTCCACCTTCCAACCGTAGCTTAGCTTACCTGTGAGCCCTTCCAGGCTCTGTGCTTCTCACTGTCTGGGAAGCCCTAGTTGAGTGCCTCACGAGATCTTCGGGCATTAGATCTTGCCCAGTTAAGCCATTGTATATTTTATTGATTTGAAGATTTGTTAAAAGTGCTTTTAAAGAGAAAAATGTGAGAATATTTGATTCCTTTAAAGACCCTTCAACAACCACATGGAGGAGTTCTTCTCTGTTTTTATCCAAAATGGAGTATGGTTTACTTGACTAGATTATTTGTATTAACAGTGAAGTATTTGTGTGTGTGTGTGTGTGTGTGTGTGTGTGTGTGTGTGTGTGTGTGTGTGTTTGTTTTTTTTTGAAACAGAGTCTCACTGTCACCCAGCCTAGAGTGCAATGGCACGATTTCGGCTCACTGCAACCTCCACCTCCTGGGTTCAAGTGATTCTCCTGCCTCAGCCTCCCAAGTAGCTGGGATTACAGGTGCCCGCCACCATGCCTGGCTAATTTTTGTATTTTTAGTAGAGACAAGGTTTCACCATGTTGGCCAGGCTGGTCTTGAATTCCTGACCTCATGATCCACCCGCCTTGGCCTGCCACAGTTCTGGGATTACAGACATAAGCCATCGCGTTTAGCCTGACAGTGAAGGTATATGAATGAGCTTAATTAAAGAGATGCTGTAGGCCGGGTGCTGTGGCTCACGCCTGTAATCCCAGCACTTTGGGAGACTGAGGTGGGTGGATCACAAGGTCAGGAGTTCAAGATCAGCCTGGCCAAGATGGTGAAACCCTGTCTCTACTAAAAATACAAAACAAAATTAGCCGGGCATGGTGGTAGGTGCCTGTAATCCCAGCTACTCAGGAGGCTGAGGCAGAGAATTACTTAAACCCGGCAGGTGGAGGATGCAGTGAGCCGAGATTGTGCCACTGCACTCCAGCCTCGGCAACAGAGCGAAACTCCATCACAAAAAAAAAAAAAAAAAAAAAAAAAGAAGCTGTAGAGATGAAATATCACATCTGCACTTTAGGGCCTAATCAGTTAGTTTTCAGTTTGCTCACTGTTACATGAAAGACAGAGAGCTCTCAGATAATTTCAGAAGCTCATATAATAGTAACGTCAAATCTTTGTAAATAAAAACTCGTGGTTTGAAATGTTTGAAACGTGTTCTGTGGGTGAAGAGGAGCAGGTAGGACCTTTCTCTAGGTCCTCTTCAGTCCTGTTGTTTGAATTTACTTAGCATGTTGGTGAGAGTAAAAGGCCTTTGATCCTTCAGTCTTACTGGACTTAGAAGGGTAGAGCTGCCTGTTTTCTTCTCTGGCTCAAGGTAGCTTTAACTGTTGCATTTTTTGTTCTCTGGACCAACATGAGAGCCTTGAAGTGCCCACATAAAGGTGCAGAGCTGTGGGCTTTGTGGTCACTTGGCTTAACTGAGGCTCGGACCATTGTCACCTTAATGGCCTTCCTTAGCTGGATTAGTGAATATTGTATGCCAATAAGTGGATGTTGTACCACTGACCCTTTCTTGTGTTAGGCAGGAATAGGCCGTGAACACTGCACAAGTGACTTGGGATCCCCAAAAGATGAGACTGAGTCCACAAGAGTGAGGATAATAAGGAAATACATCTGGTGCTGGGCAAGACCAGCCTGGTTACTTAGTGCTGACAAGCTTCAGCTGTGTGGAAACAGCATGTTCTTATAAAATTCAATTGTTTCATTAAGCATTTTTTTTTTTTTTTTTTTTGAGACGGAGTCTCGCTCTGTCTTACTGCAACCTCCGACTCCCTGGTTCAACTGAGTCTCCCGCCTCAGCCTCCCAAGTAGCTGGGATTACAGGCACGTGCTGCCACACCCAGCTAATTTTTGTATTTTTAGCAGAGACAGGGTTTCACCATGTTGGCCAGGGTGGAAGCTTGTTGTTTTTTGTTTGTTTTTGTTTTTTGTTTTGTTTTGTTTTTTGAGGTATAGTCTCACTCTGTTGCCCAGACTGGAGTACAGTGACGCAATCTTAGCTCACTGCAACCTCCACCTCCCAGGTTTAGGCGATTCTCATGCCTTAGCACGAGTCCCCAAGTAGCTGGGACTACAGGTGCACCACCATCCTTAGCTAATTTTTGCATTTTTAGTACAGATGGGGTTTTGCCATGTTGGCCAGGCTGGTCTCAAACTCCTGACCTCAGGTGAACCACCCGCCCTGGCCTCCCAAAGTGATGAGATTACTGGCATGAGCCACTGTGCCCAGCTCATTAGGCATTTCTAATGAGGACTGTGATAAGTATTGTAAGTTATAGCTGTTTCTAATGGTCAGCTATGTTGAAGTTACACAGTTCAACTCTTCTGGTATTCTGAAAATGTAAGATACATAAGAAAAGTGGCTTTCTTCATGGTAAGAACTATTGAAACCTTAGTATTTTTTAAAAACCTGTTTAAGGGCCAGACATGGTGGCTCAAGACTGTAATCCCATAATCCCAGCACTTTGGAAAGCCGAGGTAGCAGGATCTCTGCAGCCCAAGAGTTTGAGACCAGCCTGGCAACACAGGAAGATCCCACCTCTACAAAAATTTAAAAAGTAGCTGGGCATGGTGGCACATGCCTTTAGTCCCAGCTACTTGGGAAGCTGAAGTGGGAAGATCACTTGAGCTCAGAAGATGGTGATATCAGACTGCTGCACTTCAGCCTGGGCAAGAGAGCAAGACTTTGTCTCAAAAAAGAAGAAAAAAAAACCTGTTCAGGGGTTTGGTGCAATTAAAGATGCCCAGGGGAATGTCTTTGCTGCCCCGATGTTACAAAGCTCACACTGAATATTTCAGAATTGGCATTTTGTATCACCATCCCCAAATCCTTGATTTTGCAGTTGGATGTGACTAAGAAGTTTGTCACACACAACTGCCTGTGTTTTGTGCTTATTATTGCCTTCTTTTCAGTGTTCTAAAGCTAACATGTATTTTTATTTATGTGCATGTGATTTTTTTTCCTCTTTTTCCCCCAGTTGTGAAAGATTTTCAAGACTATATGGAACCTGAAGAAGGTTGTCAAGGTTCCCCACAGAGAAGAGGCCCTCTGACCTCAGGCTCCGATGAAGAAAATGTTGCCCTGCCTCTGGGTGACAATGTGCTGACTCATAACCTGGGGATCCCGGTGTTGGTGGTGTGCACAAAGGTGTGTGCCAGGGGGTTGTTGGCTTGGCTGGGTTCGGGTGGTGAACAGTCACCATCTGAAAGTTTGAGAAACTGTTGACGTTTTTTTCCCAAGGGAGACTTGGGCTTATTTGAGATTCATTAAGGTACATTGAATATGTCAAGACAGAAAAAATTATCATGTAAATTGGAAGTTTAAATGCAGGAAACATGACTAGTCAGTTTGCTCATGGCCTAGGGTTAATGTCTCTGAAGCACTGTTGACTTTCAAACTTAGAACTCACAGCAGTTGGCCAGTTGCGGTGGCTCACGCCTGTAATCTCAGCACTTTGGGAGGCTGAGGTGGGCGGATCATGAGGTCAGTAGATGGAGACCATCCTAGCTAACATGGTGAAACCCCGTCTCTACAAAAAATACAAAAAATTAGACAGCCGTGGTGGCGGGCACCTGTAGTCCCAGCTACTTGGGAGGCTGAGGTAGGAGAATGGCATTAACCCAGGAGGTGGAGCTTGCAGTGAGCCGAGATCATGCCATTGCACTCCAGCCTGAGCGATAGAGCGAGACTCCGTCTCAAAAAATAAAAATAAAAAAAAAAGAACTCACAGCAGTTTCCTTAAGGCTATTTAAATCAGCTGATGTGGTCCAAACTGATGGTGGAAAATTAGAATGATGAGGTAGGAATAGAAATTAAGTTCAGTCATGCCAGACATGGTGGCTCATGTAATCCCAGCACTTTGGGAGGCTCAGGTGGGTGGATCATTTGAGGTCAGGAGTTCAAGACCAGCCTGGCCGACATGGTGAAACCCTGTCTCTACTAAAATAGAAAAATTAGCCAGGCGTGGTGGCAGGTGCCTGTCATCCCAGCTACTCGGGGGCTGAGGCAGGAGAATTGCTTGAGCTGGGAGGCTGAGGTTGCAGTGAGCTGAGATGGCGCCACTGCACTCCATCCGGGATGACACAGTGAGACTATGTCTCAAAAAAAAAAGAAAAAAAAAACAAACAAAGTTCAGTCATAGAGAAATAGAGAAATAAAGTTGTATCTCTTATATAAGGAAAAACAATAGGTTTTAAAACTTTTTTTTTTTTTTTTTTTTTTTTTGAGACGGAGTTTCACTCTTGTTGCCCAGGCTGGAGTACAATGGTGTGATCTCGGCTCACTGCAACCTCTGCCTTCCCAGTTCAAGCGATTCTCCTACCTCAGCCTCCTGAGTAGCTGGGACTACAGGTGTCCGCCACCATGCCTGGCTAATTTTGTATTTTTATTAGAGATGTGGGTTTCTCCATGTTGGTCAGGCTGGTCTCAAACTCCCAACCTCAGGTGATCTGCCCACCTTGACCTCCCAGAGTGTTGGGATTACAAGTGTAAGCCACCACGCCTGGCCACATTTTGGGTTTTAAAAGTACTTTATTTCCAGTCAGAGCCATCATGTTACCCAATTATAGTGTGCCATTCTCATCCTGTTCTTGAGAATGGAGCCCTGTGGAGTGGAGTGTACAACTGTGTACACCGGGCCTGCCTCCTGATGGGAGCTTGTTTGATGTTTAGAACAAACTGTTAGGTGATCAGGCCTATTACATCTTCACTCTACAGATAAAAAAAAAAACGAGGCCCAAGATGAATGAGAAAAATCTCCGGTTCTTTTTTACTCTTCTCTAATTAATGCTTGGACCCTGAGCTGTGGCTTTCTTCTTTGGAGCCACAATACTTTATTTCTGAAGAATGAGGTGTTCCCATCGTCAGCAGGCAATGAAGCAAAAAGGTGACTCTGTCTGTCTTCCCTGCAGTGTGATGCGGTGAGTGTCCTGGAGAAGGAGCACGATTACAGGGATGAGCATTTGGACTTTATCCAGTCACACCTGCGGAGGTTCTGCCTTCAGTGTATCCTTTGGGCGCTGTGTGGGGCCTGGGTCACAGGCTTTCTTCCAAATGGGGCATCTTCAAAGAGATAAAGCACCTCCCAAACCCAGAATAGTGTTCTGCCAAAGAGAATTTGTATATATCTTTTTACTAGGTTTATGTTTTACTGTATCGGAGTTTTAGGTTTATTAACTTGTGTCTACCTTTGATCACTCATTTATTTGTTTGTTTGTTTGTTTGTTTTAAGATGGTGTTTCACCACTTTGGCCAGGCTAGTCTCAAATTCCTGACCTCAAGTGATCACCTACCTCAGCCTCCGAAAGTGCTGGGATTATAGCTGTTAGCTACTGCGCTCGGCGTATTTTTTAATTTTTTTTCTGAGACAGAGTCTGCTCTGTCACCCAGGCTGGAGTACAGTGGTGCAGTCTTAGCTCTTGTGCTCCTGGGTTCAAGCAATCCTCCTCCCTCAGCCTCCTGAGTACCTGGGACAACAGGTGTGCGCCACCACTTCCAGATTTTTGTTTGTTTGTTTTGAGACAGAGCTTCACTCTTGTCGTCCAGGCTGGAGTACAGTGGCATGATCTCGGCTCACTGCAACCTCCACCTCCTATGTTCAAGCGACCCTCCTGCCTCAGCCTCCCAAGTAGCTGGGATTACAGGCATGAGCCACCACACCCGGCTAGTTTTTGTATTTTTAGTAGAGAACAGGGTTTCACCATGTTGGCCAGGCTAGTCTCGAACTCCTGACCTCATGTGATCCACCCACCTCGGCCCCCTCAAAGTTCTGGGATTACAGGCGCGAGCCACCATGCCTGGCCATCTGGATAATTTTTGTATTTTTAGTAGAGACGGTTTCAGCATGTTGGCCAGGCTATTCTCGAATTCCTGACCTCAAGTAATCTGCCCTCCTTGGCCTCCCAAAGTGGTGGGATTACAGGCGTGAGCCACTGTGTCTGCCCACTTTTAATTAATGCTATACATTTGATAAGCTTTCCTATTAAGAATTTAATGTGATCATTTTATCATCAAATTACTTTTATCATACTGTCTTAGAAATATTTTTAAACTTTGCTTTTATGTAGAAAAGGTCAATTACCAAACAGGGTATTGTTTTATAGGCTACTGGTGTTTCCCATATGTTTATGTTTTGTGCTGTCCATGATAGAGAGGTGGTGTCTGTAGTCTTTTGAGTCCTGTTAACTATAAAAAGCCAATAGCAGTTGGTGCCGTGGTTCCACACCCTGGGGTGGAGGTGAGAGATGAGTTCCTGCCATCTTTTTTGGGATGGCCCATTAGCCTGTTGGCACCCATCCCTCAAAAGATGGGTTTAATGATAAATTTGGTCGCATGTAGGCATCTGTCTGGGAAGGAATCTGTGTACCTTGATACTCTGAGAGTGTTTTCCTGGGCTAACCTCAGAGCCAATACTTTACTTCTCAGGAAGTAATCTGTGGGATCAAGACAACAATTTACACGTTAAAAAATAAACTCTACAGCCCACTAGCATCAACATAGCTTTATGCTTTTGACTTCATTCATCTGCTACTATGACCTTTTTACTTTTTTATTTATTTATTTATTTTTACCAGTGTGCAGTATGCCTATGTAATACTATAAGCGTTTTAGTTTTTAAAATTGTAATGCTTTCTGTTGCTCATATATTGATCAAAAACTGATCAACCTATGAGTAGTACTTTGAGGTTGTATGTGTTCGATTTTGTCTCCTCCTGCAGTGAATTGATTTTTCTTGAGCAGATTGATTAGATGGAGCTGCCTTGATTTACACATCAGTGAAAGAAGAGAAAAACCTCGACTTGTTGTATAAGTATATTGTTCATAAAACATACGGTTTCCACTTCACCACACCTGCCTTAGTTGTGGAAAAGGATGCCGTTTTTATGTGAGTTATTTTGAGCTGATGCTTTGAAACTCTTCTTTTTAAAGTACATTTGCTTTTTACATTTTACCCCTTCAAGGAAGGTGCCTTCTGTCTGTGTCTTCTACAGCCAGCTCTCTCACTGCACCTTCTCTCTGTTCCTTTCCGGATTATGAGGCATCTGCCTGAGGGAAGTGGGTGGTGTGGTCAGGGGTGCTGCCTTTCTTCCTCGAGAGCAAGTTGCCAAAACCTAAGCCAGCCATTTTTGGCACTCACTGTCAACTCTGGTAAAATACTGGCTGGGGAGGGAATATAGGGAATTGTGCTTGGGGGATCCTGAATGTCTTCTATTAAAGCGCCTGCTTTATCTGTGTGTTGGCAGGGATGACTGCAAACATCCTCTCGGCATCTCTGTCAGCATGGGCTTTCGCTATATTAAGTGCTTACTGTGCTTCTGGCATTTCACATTTTGGGAGCCACCGGGATTGATTGTCCTCGATAGAGACTTGGATACCTGTTTTCCTAAGCTGGTGTCTTTCTCTCACTGGAGAATCATAGTGTTGCTGGATGCATAAATATGAAGCTGTGGTCTCTGACAAGACTTGTGTTAGCAGATTGATGTTCAGGCTTCAGTATCCTCCTGACTTAACAAACAATTACATTATTCATTCAGGAAACCTTATTCAGCACCCACTAGGTGCTCAGGTTCTCTGCAAAGGACACAGAAATGAATGATACGTGTTCCTTGCATATGGCACTGTCTAGAGGGGACATACACAGCTGAAGAAGGGAAGGGCAGTGATGGGGTTATGGAGGAAGTATGGCAGGGAAAGCAGGAGGGTGATGCTGGAAGACAAATGGTAGATCCCAGGCGGACTGGAAAGAATTGCAATAGGGGGAGCCGGGGAGTGCAGTCTGTGAGAGGCTGGAAATGTGAAAGCCAGGAGCTCTCAGGGATTTGGGTTGCCTCCTGCACAGTCAAGGAGAGTGTCACTCAGGCTAGTCATAGATGGCATACCTACAGGCTTGGGCTGATTTTAGATAGTTGTTCAGAGCAGTCAGGCAGGCGCCAGAGGCACAAGCCCTGTGAGAGGTGTGTTTGGAATCACTTGGTATCCAAATCACATGTCATCCCTAGGAGCAAGGAGACCGGTTGGATTTGGGGCTGGTCTGGAATGAAGAAGCATCTCTCAGCTTCCGAAGGCTGCATGGCTCACGGCAGTATCTCAATCATGCCCTGCCCGTTTGCACATTTGGTCCTGTTGGTAGTTACCTCTCTGGTGACTGGCAAAGTCAGCAAGGATATTGGGGTGGAGCACCCTGGCTAAGCACCCTCTTGATTATAGAGCTATGGAGTAGAAGACAGATGGAGAATGAGAGGCCTGTGAGAACAATCAGTCAGTTGCCATCTTTCAGAGCTGCTCGAGTTCAAAAGTGTGTCATACAGGGTATTTTACCATTGCTACCTTTAAGGGATTCAGGTGGGAACCCTAGGCTGTGGCTTCACATAATGGAACTTGGGTGCCATCCTACCCTGTGATGTTGAGCTGGCCAGCACTGGTGTAGGAACCTCAAGGACTCTGTGCTTCTCTGGTTTGGGGCCTAGGATAAACACAGGCCCTGCTTGCCCCTTGGTTCTAGGACACATCTTCCCATGCCAGCAAAGTTAATGAACCAGTCTACAAGATAACTGTTGAAAGAATTCTTAGAGAAACAACCCACAGGAGGGGAGCCATGTCAGAGCCCAAGAAAACCATCCCATCCTGAGCTCTGCCTTCTGTGCTGCTCTCTGCATCCTATTCTCTGTCGGAACAGGACCCCACTGTGTCCTTGCTCTTCTAGGCAGAGTTGTGGGAGAGTGCTAAATGCTTTTGAGTGGGGCAGCCTGTGGAATGGGATCTCATACTGGCTCCTTAGACCTTGGGCCCATGAACTCAGTATGGAGCAGGACCTGCGATGTTCTGATGGATTATACCCACAGTGTATTTTGGCACATCTGCCAAAAGCTACAAACAACCCCCAACAACTACACACTATATCTTGTGAGAAGTGTCCTACCCAGGAGTCCTGAATGTGATCTGAGTATGCTCTAAGGCAGCCCCAGGAAAAGCAATTCAGTCCCTCTCTCTTTGCCTTTAGACCTGCAGGCTGGGACAATGAAAAGAAAATAGCTATTTTACATGAAAATTTTACAACCGTGAAGCCGGAAGATGCATATGAAGACTTTATTGTGAAACCTCCCGTGAGAAAGGTAGTCAAAGACAATTGCTTTAAGGGTTTAGGGCCGGGCGCGGTGGCTGATGCCTGTAATCCCAGCACTTTGGGAGGCCAAAGCGGGCAGATCACATGAGGTCAGGAGTTTGAGACCAGCCTGGCGAACATGGCAAAACCCCATCTCCACTAAAATACAAAAATTAGCTGGGTATGGTGGCAAGCGCCTGTAATCCCAGCTACTTGGGAGGCTGAGGCATGAGAATCACTTGAACCTGGGAGGCAGAGATTGCAGTGAACCCAGATTGCGCCACTGCACTCCAACCTGGCAACAGAGTGAGACTCCATATCAAAAAAAGAAAAGAAGAAAAAGGGTTTAGGTGTTTTTTAATGCAAAAAGAAGCCTATAAAGATGGGGCGTGGTGGCTGATTCCTGTAATCCCAGCAGTTGGGAGGCTGAGGCAGGAGAATTGCTTGAACCTGGGAGGCGGAGGTTGTAATGAGCCGAGATCGGGCCACTGTACTCCAGCCTGGGTGACAAGAGCGAGACTCCATCTCAAAAAAAAAAAAAAAAAAAAAACTATAAAGAAACAGGTCTTACACATTGTATAGTTTGTGGGGGGTAGTGGGGAGTAGTAAGTCCCAGGGCCTTTTTGTTGATCTTTAAATGAGGTCTGGCGTTATGTAAATGGCTCAGGGCTGGTGGGAAGGAGTGATGGAATGCTCACCTGGAGTTGGTGGTGTTTCCCATTAAGTCCTGCCAGTGCTGCCGTTGCCTCTGGATTACTGTTACTGGATCCCCTCATGTGATGTCCTGCAGACCCTGAGGTGTTTAGAACCTGCCAGACTTAAAAATGCCAGTTGGCTACATGCTGCGGCTGGTTTTGGGAGAGGTCTGTGCCAGGCTAGAAAAATATTACTCTGCAGTCTCAGTAGGGATCTCCCAGACCTGTGTTGAAGCCTGAGCCTCGGACTCTCCTTTCGGCATGAAGTTTGACAGTGGTTAGGAGTATTCTTGGCCTGTGGCCACAAACATGTATGTTGTTTCACAGCTGGTCCACGACAAAGAGTTGGCAGCAGAAGATGAGCAGGTGTTCCTAATGAAGCAACAGGTAAGAAGACCAGTGAGGTTAGAACAGAGGCCTTCTCATGCATGAAATGCCAGTCCCTAGGGTGGGGTTGGGGGTGTCTGCATGTGGGAAGTCACAAAGAGCTTGCAGTGGTAGAGGGGTTGAGACCAGGTCTCCTCATTCCCTCCTTATTTCTAGGATTAGTTGGGGATGGACCACCTCCTTAGGAGATCACCTACCTGCCTTGCAGACTCTCCTACAGGAATAGTAGGATTCGCATCTTTTAAGTGCTCTTTCTTTGGAAATGTGGTTTTCTGGCATAATACTTCCTATGTTGACAGTTAACCAAGTAACCTGACCACACTTCCATTATTTCATGTAGCCTCACACAGCCCTGTACATAAAGGCAGGTGATGCCTGTTTTGCAGATGAGGAGAGTAACTTCCCCAAGCTGACAGTTTAGAATGCAGACTTCCCATTTCTGTCACCCAGATTATTGTTAGATGTGTCCTGGGTCCACCTATCATCTGCCCAGTGGTACAGGCAGGTCAGCAGGAAGTTTTGATGGTTCTTTTTCCAACTGTTTCCTTCTTTTTCCATCTTTTTCCTTTCTGTCCTTTGCTTGCTTCCTTAGCTTCAAAACTGGTTACTTGGAGTATTTTTTTTCACCATATACCAAACGGCTCAATTAAAATTTTTTGGCATCTGTGGTATAAAACATAGGACTTAGTTGTTGTTAATAGTGCCCTCTAGTGGAGTACTTGGAGTAAGTTTTTCTCTAGACCTTCAGTGCTCTCTGCAGGCCTTGGTTAATAGCCAGTTTGTCCCTCTCTTTGCAGTCACTCCTTGCCAAGCAACCAGCCACTCCCACGAGAGCTTCTGTGAGTACCTTACACTAAACAGAGGGTCAAGGCCCAGTGTTGTGGGTGTCATCAAACTTTATACCATTATTTGTGAGAGCGTATATTTGTGTGGGTTTTGTATTTTCAGTGGGAATTTGGTTTCCCTAAAGACCCATGACCAGAAACATAAAAGAAACTCAAGAAGTTTCTGATGAAAGAATACAACTCTGGGAATTAGAGTGAGCTGGCTTTGTTATCTGGATGTCTTTCTCTCAGGAGAAAGAGAGCCAGAAAGGGCTTGAATTGAGAGCATACTCCCAGTCCTGTACCATAGCCTGTGAAAAATATCCCTCAGAAGCATGTCTCCATTTGTGGCATATGTATTTTTTGTTATTGTTATGCCTGTGTGTGACCTTAGCTGCTTTTGGACTTAGGAATCTCCTGCAAGAGGACCCTCTGGCTCTCCAAGGACCCAGGGTCGGGGAGGGCCAGCCAGTGTGCCTAGCTCCTCCCCAGGCACGTCAGTAAAAAAGCCGGACCCAAACATCAAAAGTATGTATTCCTCAAAAGTATGTCTCTTTGGAGAGTAGTTTAGTTTTAGACCTGAGCCCTGCAGGGGCTGGGTGGCTGAGTCTATAAGGTGGAGACTCATGGAAGCCAGGCTATTCTCTTCCCCGATAAGGGCTACTTTCCATTTCCCCCATTCCAGAGGAAGAAGGTCCATGGTAGGCAGAGACCAGGGCCTGTTCCTTTGTTAGAATTGGTAGCCCATGCACCTGGCTCTGTGTGAGACCTCACTTAGGCCCTGCTCATTCCTTCAGAGAGGAATGCAAAATAGTAACTTTATTTTTTTAGAGACAGGGTCTCACTCTGTCACCCAGCCTGTGGCACAGTGATACGATCATAGCACACTGCAGCCTCAAACTCCTGGGCTCAAGTGATCCTCCCATGTCAACTCTGGAGTAGCTGGGACTATAGGCGTGTGCCACCATGCCCAGCTAATTTTTAAAATTTTTATTGTAGGCCAGATGCAGTGGCTCATGCCTATAATCCTAGTACTCTGGGAGGCCAAGGTGGGAGGATAGCTTGAGCTAAAGAGTTCGAGACTAGCCCGGGCAACATAGTGAGACCTCGCCTCTACAGAATATTGAAAAATTAGCTGGGCATGATGGTGCTTGCCTGTAGTCCCATCTACTCAAGTGGATGAAGCGGCAGGATTGCTTGGGCCCAGGGCATTGAGGCTGCAGTTGAGCTGTGATTATGCCACCATGCTCCAGCCAGGGTGACAGAGTGAGAGACTGTTTCAAAAAAAAAAAGGCCTGGCGTGGTGACTCAAGCCAGCACTTTGGGAGGCTGAGGCGGGCAGATCACTTGAGGGCAGGAGTTTGAGACCAGCCTGGCCAACATGGTGAAACCTTCTCTGTACAAAAATTAGCCAGGCGTGATGGTGGGCACCTGTAATCCCAGCTACTCGGGAGGCAGAGGCAGGAGAACGGCTTAATCCTGGGAGGTGGAGGTTGCAGTGAGCCGAGATTGTGCCATTGCACTCCAGCCTGGGTGACAGAGCAAGACTCCATTTCAAAAAAACACAAACAAAAATATTTTTTATAGAGGTAGGGGTCTCACTTACGTTGCCGAGGCTGATCTCAAGCTCCTAGCCTCAAGCAGTCCTACGCCCTTGGTCTCCCCAAGTGATGGGATTACAGGCGTGAGCCACCACCCCTGGCTGAGGGAGTCACTTTAAAATGTGTATTTTGAATCTGTAACTTTGTTTCTCATTATGTTTATATGATGACTGTCTATGAATTGTGGGGATTTTTCCCCCTTCACTTCTCTTGTCAAGCTCAATTACTTTTCAGATTAAGTAGCTTTTATCCCAGTAACTTAGTGATACTCACAGATACTGCCTGCAGTAAAATCATTAAAAAACAGTTTTATTTAATGCTTGTTTGATGGGTGTCTTCTATTCAGGATGTGAGCTTTTCACAGCAGGTTTGGAATGTTAAGTGCTCATGCAACTTTGAAAAACACTGTCTCATGGACGGGGAGGTGGTGTGGAGCACAGGTTATCTATTCTGCTCCCAAACAAGTGGGAAATGTAAACATGGTTCCACTTAGTAATCATGCTAAGTAGCCTCAGCAGTAGCAGTGTAAAGGCATCGTAGCGAATGAATGTTATCAATATCCTAGGAAGCTGATAGCCACAAGTGGCTAATGCCAAGCTGAGAACTAGGGTGTTTAATTTTAAGTCTTCCAGTTTATATGATGCTTTTTTTTCTCTTTAATTTTCCTTAGATAATGCAGCAAGTGAAGGGGTGTTGGCCAGCTTCTTCAACAGTCTGTTGAGTAAAAAGACAGGCTCTCCTGGAAGTCCTGGTGCTGGTGGGGTGCAGAGCACAGCCAAGAAGTCAGGTACAGAAGGGCCCTGGAGACTTGTGACTCTTGTGGTTGAGTAGTGCTGCAAGGATGGAGAGGCAGACACCTGCCCTGCAGACCCTGCAGTGTCCTGAATAGCCAAGCAAGGAAGCAGGTCTTCATTTCCTACTGAGCAGTGTGCCGTGCTTTCAGTGGGATTGCCTTACTACCATGCAGGTTTCCTTGGCACATTGAGAGTGGGATTTGTGTACATTTGGGTTCTCGGGAACTGGGTGTTGGGTGAGTTGAGGTATAGCCTAAATTACATATGTGGCCCTGTTGTAGAACCTCTCCAGTAGAAGTCATGGTCCATGGAGGGTGTACCAGTGACTTTTTTTTTCTTTTTCCAAGGTGGAGTTTTGCTCTTGTTGCCCAGGCTGGAGTGCAATGACGTGATCTCACTGCAACCTCCGCCTCCCAGGTTCAAGCGATTCTCCTGTCTCAGCCTCCCGAGTAGCTGGGATTACAGGCGCGTGCCATCATGCCCAGCTAATTTTTTGTATTTTTAGTAGAGATGTGGTTTCATCATGTTGGCCAGGCTGGTCTTGGAATTCCTGACCCCAGGTGATCCCTCCATCTTGGCCTCCCAAAGTGCTGGGATTACAGGTGTGAGCCACCGTCTGCGGCTGACTTTTTTTTTTTTTTTGATAGAGATGGAGTCTTGCTCTGTCGCCCAGGCTGGAGTACAGTGGCATGATCTCAACTCACTGCCAACCTCCACCACCCGGGTTCAAGCAATTCTCTTGCCTCAGCCTCCCGAGTAGCTGGGACTACAGGCACGCGCCACCACATCCGGCTAATTTTTTTGTATTTTTAGTAGAGACGGTTTTTCGCCATGTTGGCCAGGCTGTTCTCGAACTCCTGACCTCAGGTGATCCACCTGCCTTGGCCTCCCAAAGTGCTGGGATTAGTGCACCTGGCCTACTTTTAATTTTTTAAAATTATACTAAAGCCTTAGTTGTTCTGAACCAGTGATGTTTTATTTGTTCTATTTTTTTTTCTGTGATGCTTTGTAAGGATTTTTGTTTACTCCACTGCCCCCAGTTTGGCTGTGAACCCTCACTGTCTCACTGCAGAGTCAAGGCCTCCTCCTCCCTGAAGCTCCCTACTTGTCACATACACACCTCTGTGGCAGCCACCCACCTGTCCTTCCATGTAAGCAGGTAGGGCGGGTCTATGTCTTGGAGATCTCTGAAACAAAACAAAACATGTTTTCCTTGGGAATTACACATTTTCCCAAGAAGCTGGAGGACATTTTAAGGGGTTTTTGCTTTCCATTTTCCATTGGCTATAAGGTATGTTTATACATTGTTTTCCCTAATTGATGTCTTCAGGGCAGAGGAGACCCTCAGGAAATCACTTGGGGCAGCCTGGGCCTCCAGTGGCTCCTATGTTCTAAGAAACTCAGAGTCTGGTCTAGTGGCCCAGACTCTGGGCTGGTAGTATTCCCTTCTGGGAAATAGGTGTCTATTTCTAGGCCTGTTCGTGTCTGACAGCAGAAAAATACAAGTATAGATTTTGTGCAGGACTGAACTATCTTATTCTTATTGAAACATAATGTTTTCAGGCTATCCATTTGAGTCAGTCTAGAATGTTATAAACAAAAACACCTATCTGGGGCAAAGAAAATAGTTTCCTTCGTTGCTGAAATTCAGGTACTACCTCTAGGAAGATGGTGGTGAGAGTGCACAGGGGTCAGGGTTGGGTGGTGAGAGGGTTTTCAGAAAGGTTCTTGTATTTGGCACAAAGGCACCCCCCGCCAGAGAGCAGTCAAGTCACTCCCTTGGAGTTGGAGGAAGCACTGGCCTGTGACTTTTGGGATTAGGATGTGCCGAGTTGGGGTCTCCTCACCACTGCAGTAGAAAAGGGCTTTCCTCATTCTTATTAAGGTTACTGTCATCAAGTGATTATAGAAGGCGTATAATTTTAAATGCTCCTTTAAAAAAAATTGTTTCCTCTTCTCACATCATTACTTTGCTTTTTTGCTTTTTTTTTTTTTCAGGACAAAAGACTGTGTTGTCAAATGTTCAGGAAGAACTGGATAGAATGACTCGAAAGCCAGACTCTATGGTAACAAACTCTTCAACAGAAAATGAAGCCTGAACCTCCTTAAAAAGTGCATATGTCGAATGACCAAATAACTATGTATATTGATCTGCTAAGACCAGGATTTTTCTGATATGGCACATGCTATCAGTTTTTTGGGGCAGGGGAGATGAACTTTAAAAAAAAAAAAAAAACTTCATTGGCTTGTCCGAGTGTGAAATGCACATTTAGGAAGGTTACATGTCAGACCCTTTGTTAAGGATAACCCTTGGACTCTGGGGCATGTGGCTCTTTTGTGGGAGGCAAGCACATCTGGGCTTCTTGTGGAGGGGAAGGTAGAGTGAAAGAAAGAGGGCCCACTTTCTAACAGGGTGGAGCAAATGAGACCAAGAAATCATTGGTAAGATGATGGTTAGTCTGACCAGTTTCATGTTAGTAAATTCACTTGTTCTTGGGAAGCAGATTAAGTAGCAGAAAGTCCAGGAAAGAAAGACCAGAAGGAGTAATGAGACAAGTGATGGTGGGGAAGCTGAATGTTGAGGGAGGTGGAGGAAGGAGGAGATGAGCAGTGTCAGTAAATACTGTGCATTCAGTAGAAGTTGAAGAATCATTGTTAGAAGCATTTCCAAACAAAACACTAAGCAAAATGGGAATTAGGCTTATTTTGAATGCATCTTTAACTTACGAAAGATGTACTAATTGTGGGGGTGCCTGAGTCAGGCGGAGCTGACCCAGGGGTGGGAACGATGGCAGCTGCCCAGGACCCATGTGCTTGGCCCAGGCTATGTCCTCGTGAGAGGTACTGGGGTCCACGGATATGTGTTGTGGGGCAGACAGTCACTGTGGGATGTCTTCAAAGTCAGCAGTTACAGAATTAGTTTACTTTGAATTTTGTTGTCTAAATAGCTCCTGCTTTATTTTTTAAATTAAATTTTTTGTTTTTACTATCACAGGCTGGCCTAACTAATACAAAATAGGTGATGAACCTCTGGTTTTACCATAATGCAATGTGCCACGGAAAGTTTGGGGGAGGTTTTTAATGTAATTGCACTCTGGTTAATTGGCTCGTACCAAGCCCTGCCTTATGACTTGTGGAAAGCTTCAAGGAGTTCCACTGATGCAAAAGGGTCTTTTCCTAGCTTCCTGGTCTGATCAGTGCTATGAGATGGACAGATAAGTGTGAATGTTTTATACAGAAAATGGAAATGATACATTTCTCTTGTTAGGTGTTTTCATAAAATGTAGCATTTTTTTTCTTATGGAAATAAGAGTTTCAGGTGTCTCCCCACCTAGGGCAAATTCATGCACATTGTCATGTTATACCACCATTCTGGAAATGATTTCTGTGGATTTGAAATTGCACTTTTAATTTTATATATGACAGCATTTAAATGCAAACACTACCATGAATTTAATGTATAAAATGTTGTCAAACCAAGGGAAAAAACCACAGTTCACCATGTGGAGTTTACTTTTTTTATATGAATGTTTGTTGTACTGTGTCTAAGCATAACTTCCCTAATGTCATTACTTTTACATACCAGATTTGACTGACCACTAATGTAGTACTGGGGATAACTTAATATCCTATGTTGTGTCAAGACTCTTTGAAGACTTTCTTGAATTGCTTTCGTAAAGGTCTGAACACTGTTAAGGAGAAAGCTGAGTATCAACTTGCCTTTCTGATAGAAATGTTTCTTGTGCCAGTTTTATTGTTGAGATATACTATTTTTTTCCTTTTTTAATTCAGTTTTTTAAAAAAACAAATGTATTGTGGCTTCCAGTTACCAGGTTGTCTAGGTAATGACAGTAAACTGACTGTAGAATGATAATTGTGGTATAGTGACCAATAGATGCCAAACAGCTTGTGGCCTCACTAAAGGTGGGGTCGCTTAGTCCCCGGGAGTAAAATGAGTGACCTCAGAAACAAGAATTCCTGGAAAGGCACATGCCGAAGAGGAATATGGTATAATTTTAAATTTTAATGCAAAATTTTAATTTGTCTTTATTTTTTATCATTTGAACTGATAAGCACTTTTTGTGTCAATATAAAATATACTAAAACTGATGAAATGCTAAGACATGTCTTGTGAAGGAAGGTTTCTTGGAGACCACTTTTATTTACTCATGAGAAGTGGAAGCTCCTAGTATCAGAAGAAGCTGATACATAGTGTCATGTGCTCAGTGGTTGCCAAAGTCTACCAACTTTGGGGAGCTGCAGGGTTCTTTTTGGGAGGTGGGAGGAAGGGAGATGAGTTTTGTTATTTTGGGGTTTTCAAGCATTGGAACCAAAGGCCAAATAATAAACAGCCTTTAGTTTTTAAAGTAAAATTCATTTTATTTGCAGAGTACACTTGTATGGTAGACTGTTAAAGACAATTTTATGACTATTTATGCACATTATAATGGTTACATCTGCTTTTTGTCTTTAAAATAAAAAAAAAAATCAGAGAAAAGCCCACCTTTGAATACGTGGCTGAAGATAACAGCCAAGAATTGGTCTTTCCTAAAAATGCAACAGATAATGCTGCTAGATTGTTATTTTGTTTGCACTTTTTTTTGATTGGCATTTTAAAATCGGTATTTAAACTGAAGACATTGTCATGTTTTATTAATTTAACAAAGTTGAAAGTGACTGCTCTGTACATCATGACCTTAACAATGTTAATGCTGTAAGTGAAAGTTCACTGTCGTCTGTATACTAAATTTATTGGTGTTTCTAACTTAAAAGTAAGACTGCAGATTATCCCCCACCAGCCTTAGTCCAGGGGTGTGGCTCTGTCCGGGTGCAGTATGCAGTCATGTGGAACCTTGCTTTCTAGTCCTGGGAAAAAAAGATGTCTCTAATTACTGGCTTCAATAAACACGAATCCAGACTGCTTACAAGTTTTGGTGGCTTTCTTTATGGTGAATCATCCCACTGGAGATACATTGAATTTTCTGCTAATCATATGGGGTATCTGATCACATAACTAAAAATGTTTACCTGTCTCACTTGAAATTGTCAGAAATTCTGGAAAGAATAACATTGTAAAGCCATATTTATTTTATCTTATTTTTTAGAGCTGGGGGTTGTCAAGTCTGGTCTTGAACTCCTGGCCTCCAGTGGTTCTCCCGCCTTGGCCTCCCAAAGTGCTGGAGTTATAGGTGTGAGCCACCACACCCAGCCTGGTTTTTTTGGTTTTTAAAAATTACAACCATCCTCATGAGTATGAAGGTGGTGGGTATCTCAGTGACTAACGATGTTAAGGAGCATCTTTTGATGTGTGTATTGGCCATTTATATATCTTTGGAGAAATGTCTATTCAGATTCTTTGCTCATTTTAAAATTAGGTTATTTGCCTTTTGTGTTTTTTGTGTTTGTTTTGAGGGTCTTGCTTGTGTCTCAGCCTCCCAAAGTGCTGGGATTATAGACATGAGTCACTGCACCCAGCCTATTTGACTTTTTATCATTGGGTTGTAAGAGTTATTTATGTATTCTGGATACTATACTCTTAACAGATATAACTCTTTCCTTTTGATATGCTCCCCTTAATCTCTGAGCATTTTCTTACTTTCTGGCACAAAAAGGTGTTCCAGGCTCACCTTGCATTTTCCCTGACTTTGACCTGGAATCAGCCGTTTTTCCAAGGAGTCCTGGTTCCTGGTTTCTTTTTTTCTTTTTCTTTTCTTTTCTTTTTTTTTTTTTTTTTGAGACAGTCTTGCTCTGTTGCCCAGGCTGGAGTGCAATGGTGCAATCTCAGCTCACTGTAACCTCCACCTCCCGAATTCAAGTGATTCTCCTGCCTCAGCCTCCTGAGTAGCTGGGATTACAGGCATGTGCCACCACGCCTGGCTAAGTTTTATATTTTTAGTAGAGACGGGTTTCGCCATGTTGGCCAGGCTGGTCTCGAACTCCCGACCTCAGGTGATCCACCCTCCTCTGCCTCCCAAAGTGCTGGGATTACAGGTGTGAGCCATCGTGCCCGGCTAGAGCCCTGGTTTCTTTTAGTGGGAGATTGGTTTTTGGAAACCAAGATCTGGACGATAGGCATACTTAATTTTACTGAGTGCTATTACTTGTAGGCCTTTTGAGTGGACGCACCATGTCTACTTTTTCACTTAGCATTCCCTGTAAGTTGGTTTATATTAGTTCATGGAGATGTTTATTCTTGTTTATGGCTACATCCTATTCAATTGTATAATGTACCTTGTTTATTCATCCAGTCTCCTGCAGATGGGCATTTAGGATGTTTGCAGTCTTGTATTATTACATCTAATGCTGCAGTGAGTAACCTTCTGCATATCTTGTGTTTTATTTTGGAGATGTGTCTTCAGGGTAAATTCTTAGCAGTGGGCCTACCTACTCAAAAGGTAAATGCGCGTCTGTGGTTGTTAGATATTATCAAAATCCCTTCCATAGAGGTCACACCAGTCTGCGTGCCTGTCAGCACTTGTACAGATTATTAATTCATTGTTACATTTTGTCTTAAAATTAAGTTAGGAAGTTTGGTGAATAAATGTGTTGAGGATTATTTTATTTGATAATACGGGCATTAACATTGTAATAGTAAACGCTTACATTAGAGATTGCTGTATACCAGTCACTTCTATTTTTATTTATTTTATTTTTATTTTATTTTATTTTATTTTTGAGATGCAGTCTCGCTCTGTCGCCCAGGCTGGAGTGCAGTGGCACAATCTCGGCTCGCTGCAACCTCTGCCTCCTGGGTTCAAGCGATTCTCCCTGCCTCAGCCTCCCGAGTAGCTGGGACTAAAGATGCACGCCACTACGCCTGGCTAATTTTTGTATTTTTAGTAGAGACGAGGTTTCACTATATTGGCCAGACTGGTCTGGAACTCCTGACCTCAGGTGATCCGCCCGCCTCCGCCTCCCAGAGTGCTAGGATTACAGGTGTGAACCATGGCGCCCAGCCACCAGTCACTCTTCTAGGTGGTTTATACAAACTGATTTAAACTTCACAACAACTCTGCTGATGTCCATCTTAGTTTCCAGATTGAGGAAATTAAGACATGGATAAGGTAAGTAGCTACTAAGGTCCCAGAATTTGAACCCAGGCAGTCTAGCTTGAGTTTCAGCTAATCATGGTGGTATGCTGATACTCTGTGCTCATTTAAAGCAGTTGGGGGCCTGCACACGGTGGCTTACATCTGTAATCCCAGCACTTTGGGAAGCTGAAGTGGGCAGATCACGAGGTCAGGAGTTCGAGACCAGCCTGGCCAACATGGTAAAACCCCATCTCTACTAAAAATACAAAAATTAGCCAGGCATGGTGGCACAAGCCCGTAGTCCCAGTTACTCAGGAGGCTGAGACAGGAGAATCACTTGAACCTGGGAGGCGGAGGTTTCAGTGAGCCGAGATCGCATCACTGCACTCCAGCCTGGGCGACAGAGTGAGACTGCGTCTCAAAAAAATAAATAATAAAGCAGATGGGGAAAATGTATCAATCGAGAGTGTTTTCATCTGTGGTCGTAAGCAGCTGTGTGCTGCTGTTCAACCTTTTCCCCTTGCCATGATGGATGGAAGAGTCACTCTTGCTAGGTGGAGAGAAATGGCAGATAAAGTACCCAATATCCTCTACAAAGGGAGAAGGGGCTGCAGTCGCAGGTATCTTTCTGGGAAACGCAAATTGAGGTGTCTGCCACTCCTAATCTTGGAATTTCCTTTCTCTTAAGGTATGAAGAGCTTTAGGTGTTGCCTGCGGCAGGAGCCCTTGGCAGGCTCTGAGACAGACTTTCACCAGTGCAAATGTTCCTAGGTGTGCCTGTGAGGCTAGCAGGCTGGCCTGCCTCTAGACCTGCCTTAGGGGCCCTTACACACACCACTAACCTCTCTGGAATTCCTCTTCTGCCACCTCTGGATTGGGAGCAACCCGTGGAGGGAGGCAGTTGGAATGTTGGGGAGGGCATGGGCACTAATGGGTTCCAGTCCTAGTTCATTCTCTGGTGACATTTGAATCAAGCAAGTGCAGTTCAGATGGATGAGAAATTGATCAAGAAGCAAAACAAGAAAACAACCAAAATTGGGGAACTTCACCCCTCTCAGGCCTCCTTTTCCCATCTTTGTAAAGTAGGGATAAAATTTCTTTCTAGTCATTGTGGACATTAGAGGAGGTACACATGTGCCTGGCATATGGTAGGTCTTCAGTGTGATTAATGACCTTGAAAACATCTCTAGGACGTCATCTCTGAGTAACACTGATCCAGCAACCTCATTCTTAGCCCCTACCCTTTTTGGTTGTGGCATTTCAGTTTGTGGTGTAAATACCATCTCTAAAGACAACAGAGCGTAGAGGGATGGATATCCTGTGACCGTTCACTGTGATGATGCCTGGTGCTGCTCCTACAGGATGCCACAACCGAGTTCTGAGGTATTTAGTATTGTATTCCTTACCCTGCAAGGCTTGCAGATAGCCGAAAGGATGCCAAGTGCTGTCTTGATGCCGTCTGTATTGATAAGGCAGAGATGGTGTGTTCTGACCAGGAGACAGATGACAGGCCAGTAGCAGTGATGGTGAGAGCTGGAGGAAGGAAGCGGCTGACACTCCCACTGGAGATGAACAGCACACCCTGCTGGCTCACAGTGAGACGGCCGAAAGTGTCTCCCTGCGCTTGACGCTGAGGGACTCACAGCCGGAAAGGAGAGGAGAAAGCAGGGGTTTGAGGCCAGGAATTGGGGGTGGATTCTGTGTGGGTCAAGAACTCCTTTCCCCAACCTTGGGCAGTATTTCAGATGGGACAAGCCTAACCTTTCAAATGTTTCTAACCTTGTTACGAAATTACTATGAAAATTTGGCTGGCGTGGTGGGTCACACCTGTAATCCCAGCACTTTGGGAGGCCGAGGTGGGTGGATCACCTGAGATCAAGAATTCAGGTCCAGCTTGGCCAACGTGGTGAAACCGTGTCTCTACTAAAAGTACAAAAATTACCTGGGCATGGTGGCGGGTGCCTGTAATCCCAGCTACTGGGGAGGCTGAGGCAGGAGAATCACTTGAACCCGGGAGGTGGAGGTTGTAGTGAGCTGAGATCGTGCCACTGCACTCCAGCCTGGGTTATGGAGTGGGACTCACTGTCAAAAAAAAAAAAAAAAAAAAAAAATTCCTGGCCAGGCACGGTGGCTTATGCCTGTAATCCCAGCACTTTGGGAGGCCAATGAGGGGTGGATCACCTGAGGTCAAGAGTTTGACAGCAGCCTGGCCAACATGATGAAACCCCATCTCTACTAAAAATACAAAAAACTGGCCAGGCGTGGTGGCTCACGCCTGTAATCCCAGCACTTTGGGAGGCCAAGGTGGGTGGATCACGAAGTTGTCAGGAGTTCAAGACCAGCCTGACCAACATGGTGAAACTCCGTCTCTACTAAAAATACAAAAATTAGCTGGTCATGGTGACGTGCGCCTGTAATCCCAGCTACTCAGGAGGCTGAGGCAGGATAATCGCTTGAACCCAGGAGGCGGAGGTTGCAGTGAGCCGAGATTGAGCCACTGCACTCCAGTCTGGGCAACAAGAGTGAACTTCATCTCAAAAAAAACAGAAAAAAGAAATTCCTATGTAAAAATTCATTTAATGACAAGATATTTTCATGGGTAATGTTCTGTAACAAACTTATTTCTTGTGTAGAACTGAATTAACTGACATTCCTAAGTGATCATCAAGCTCCTCCATCCTCCCTGCCCTGCCTCCCCACAAATCTCACCCAAGCAGGATCTTCAAAGAACTATTTAAAGTTCTGCTAGAAAAGGCAAACCTAATGTGAAGCATGTAAGTTTTTGTTCTGGGAAGAGTTCAACAATTTATATGCCTTTTTAGGGCAATAATTTATTTTAAAGAGTGGGAGTGCAGCTGTGGCCTGTTAACATCTGCCCTTGATATTTAAAATATTTGGCACAGTTTGTGAATCTGTTTTTTACCTATTCAAAATCATCTAACAAATGCTAGCCTGGAATTAAACTTTGGAGTATATAGGACACAACACTGTCACTGTTTAAGCTTTGTATATAGAAAATATGTGGGTGTCGAGAAGGTATATTTTATTTTATTTATTTATGTTGAGACTGTCTCGCTCTGCCACCCAAGCTAGAGTGCAGTGGTGCAATCATGGCTCACTGCAGCCTTAACCTGGGCTCAAGTGAGCCTTCCACCTTACCTCCCAAGTAACTGGGACTACAGGTGCATGTCACCATGCCTGGCTAATTTTTGTATTTTTTTGTAGAGATGAGGTTCACTATGTTGTCCAGGGTGGTCCCAAATTCCTGAACTCAAGCGATCCACCTGTCTGGGCCTCCCAAAGTGTTGGGATTACAGGCGTGAGCCACTGCGCCCGGCCCAATACGTTACTGTTAACCATAGTCATCCTACTATGTGATAGAATACCAGAACTTACTCCTCCTATCTAATTGTCACTTTATACCCATCAACCAGCCTTCCTCATCCTTTCTTCCCCCATCCCTTTCCCAGTCTGGTAACCACTGCATTAGACAGATTTTGGGTTTGATTTGTTCTATGGGTGACTGGTAGGTCTGACACGTCTTTGACTGTGGGCATCTTCCAGGTCCCACAGAACACCCTTTGAGAACATTCACATGCCGGGTTTCTGAGGCTTGATAAAGGTCCATGTTTTTATGAGCCTTGGAATTTGGACTCTGGTGATAGTACCTTTCAGCCTCTGTTTTATCTCTCCTGCCCCACCTTCTCTTCCCCCTCACAATCCCTGCCCCAGAGGAAATAAGCACTGTGAATTGGTGAATTTGTCATAACTAGGACAATGCTGGGAGTTTTTTCCCCCTAGGAGCAGGTTTCTCCCTGATGCCTATGGATAGTACAGTCCTAGCCACAAAGGGGAGTTCAGCAAACATTGCCTGCTGCTGGTGCTGAGTCCTCATAGGAATCATCATCAAGAACAGCCTCAAACCAGCCACTGTACCAGATGGCTCTCCCCACACTTGGAACCGTAAATAATTTCTGGCATTGAGCCGAATCAGAACTGCTCTGACATAAAAGAAAAACTGTAATCCATAGCCCCAGGCCCAACACCTGGGCTGTCTCAGCTGGGAACTTGTTTCAGGTCGACTTGGGTTTGAGTCGTGGCCCCAGAACTTCACAGTTGTGTAGTCATGGAGAAGTCAGTTAACCTCAGTGAATCTCAGCATCCAGTGAGAAAATCCTCATCTCCTTTATAGGGATGCTGGATGTGTGCCTAGCACAGTGCCTGGCTTGCAGACAGTGTCCCCAAACAGAACCAGCCCTGAATAAATTGTGTGACACACAGGCCTCAGTTCTTGAAAAGGCTTGAGAGACCAGGCATGTGGCTTATGCCTATAATCCCAGCACTTTGAGAGGCTGAGGCTGGAGGATCACTTGAGCTCAGGAGTTTGAGACTAGCCTGGGCAGCACATTGAGACTTTGTCTCTAAAAAAAAAAATCAAAAAAATTAGCGAGGCATGGTGGCACATGCCTGTGGTCCCAGCTACCCTGGAGGCTGAGGTGCTGAGAATTCCAGCCTGGGTGACACAGTGAGATCTTGACTCAAAAAAAAACAAAAACAAAAACAAAAACAAAAAAAAACGAGCCTGGGCGCAGTGGCTCATGCCTGTATTCCCAGCACTTTGCGAGGCCGATGCAGGTGGATCACCTGAGGTCAGGAATTCAAGACTAGCCTGGACAATGTAGTGAAATTCTGTGTCTACTAAAAATACAAAAATTAGCTGGGCGTGGTGGCACACGCCTATAATCCCAGCTTCTCGGGAGGCTGAGGCAGGAGAATCGCTTGAACCCGGGAAGCAGAGGTTGCAGTGAGCCGAGATTGCACCATTGCACTCCAGCCTGGGCGATAAGAGCAAAAACTCCATCTCAAAAAAAAAAAAAAAAAAAAAAAAAAAAAAAAAAAGCCGGGCGCAGTGGCTCACGCCTGTAATCCCAGCACTGTGGGAGGCCGAGGTGGGTGCATCACCTGAGGTGAGGAGTTCGAGACCAGCCTGACCAACATAGTGAAACCCTGTCTCTACTAAAAAAAAATACAAAAATTAGCTGGGCATGGTGGTGCCTGCCTATAATTCCAGCTACTCGGGAGGCTGAGGCAGGAGAATCACTTGAACCCAGGAGACGGAGGTTGCAGTGAGCCGCGATCGCACCATTGCACTCCAGCCTGGGCAACAAGAGCGAAACTACATTTCAAAAAAAAAATAAAGTAAAAAAGGAAAAGGCCTTAGAAATTATTTGCCAAGGTTACACAAAGTCAGGAACAGAGTTGGGAATAAGAAACAAAGTATTGCTGCTGTCTTGCAGCCTTCCTCTACCCAATCTGCCTACCTTTCCCTAGCTAGTTAGCTGGTAGCCCAGGCAGTGCTAAACAGCAGGTCTTAAATCTGAAGAAATAAATTGCTAGTTGAGACTGAGCAAGAGAGCTATTTTAGGGCAGACAAGCTTTCAGCACACCATAAATTCCATCACCTGGCAACTGCCTGATTTCTTGGGCAAGGCAGCTTTCTGCCATCTGCATGTGTGGGCATCCAAACACGTGTTTGAGGTATGTGGCCTCTTGGGGCCTTCTCCCTGCCTCTGCTCAATAACCATAGCCATCTTCCAGGGAACTGTGGGCATGGGTTGGTGACGCTCAAAATGTGAGTGACAAGGAGGTGAACAAGGTAGGCCCTCCCCCTACTGGGCTGGTATTCTGGGAACAACAGACAAGCTAACTGATGTCTTTAATGCCACAGTCAGCTTCTCTCTGCTCAAAATAAAAACCAAAATCTTTGTCAAGCTCTTCTCCCCCAACAATTAAGCCCCGAAGCCTTTAGGTGGGCAGAGCATGGCAGGTATCTGCCTGGGGGTGGAGTGGGGAATTGTGGAGACCCAAAGGAGGGTTTGGAACCTGAGCAGGGTGGAGAGTGTCCCCATGAGTAGGAATGGATGAATGGCCTGGCATACAGTATTAGCCCAAGCAGGGTGGAGAGGGTATACTTATTTGGAGATGGGGCAGGAGTGCAGAGTGTCAGAGAGTGAGTGAGAGCAAACCCATGAGTAGACTCCCCCAGTGGAGAGGAGAGGGTATCAGCTAGGGTAGATGAGGAGGGCATCTACAAGGAGTAGAGCAGGCATGGGGTGTCTGAGTGGGGTGGCCCAGGGCAGGGTCATGTGGTAAGGAGGGCATCTGTGCAGGGATGGAGGTGATGGAAGAGGGGCTGCATACAGGCATTGGTCAAATAAGTTAAATGTATATGGCATTGGATTGGAATTGGAGGTATCAGTGTGAACTCATGGTTTTGGGTTTTTTGTTTTTTGCCTTTTTTGTTTTGTTTTTGTTTTTTGAGGCAGGGTGTCACTCTGTTGCCCAGGCTGGAGTGCAGTGGCACGATCACAGCTCACCACAACCTCTGCCTCCCAGGCTCAAGCAGTCCTTCTGCCTCAGCCTCCTGAGTAGCCGGGACTAGAGGTATGCACCACCACACCCAGCTAATTTTTGTATTTTTTTGTAGAGATGGGGTTTCGCCCTGTTGTTCAGACTGGTCTTGAACTCCCAGGCTCAAGCAATCCTGCCTCCTTCACCTCCCAAAGTGTTAGGATTACAGGCGTGAGCCACCATTCCTAGCCCATGGTCTTCAATACACTCATGCATACAAATTTTCAAAAGGCTAGGCACAGAGGCTCACACCTGTAAAGCCCGGCATTTTGGGAGGCCCAGGTGGGTGCATTGCTTGAGCCTGGGAGTTCAAGACCAGCCTGGACAACATGGTGAAACCCCATCCCTACAAAAAATATAAAAATAAGCCAGGCATGGTGGCATGCACCTGTAATCCCAGCTTGTCTTGAGGCTGAGGCTGGGGTATTGCTGGAGCCTGGGAAGCCAAGGCTGTGGTGAGTCATGACTGGGCCACTGCACTCCAGCCTGGGTGACAGAGTAAGACCCTGTAGATGTAGAGGTGTGCCATATGTATATGTGTTTGCACACATATATCCCTTAGCTTTTTGCCCTGAGAGGGCCTGGGAGCAGCAACAGCCCAATAGCAATGAGCACACCTTATGCCATGATCTTGGTTTCTAAATACCACTCTCTCATAAAATAAATTGGGGGCTGAGTGTGGTGGCTCATGCCTGTGATCCAAGCACTTTGGGAGGCTGAGGTGGGCAGATTGCTTGAGGCCAGGAGTTTGAGACCAGCCTGGCCAACATGGAGAAACCCTGTCTCTGCAAAAAATAACAAAAATTGGCCAGCAGGATGGCACACACCTGTAGTCTCAGCTTCTTGGGAGGCTGAGGCAGAAGAATTGCTTAAACCCCAGAAGGCAGAGGTTGCAGTGAGCTGAGATTGTGCCACTGCACTCGAGCCTGGGCAACAGAGCGAGACTCCATCTCAATAAGTAAGTAAATAAATAAATAGGCCAGGCATGGTGGCTCACGCCTGTAATCCCAACACTTTGGGAGGCTGAGGCGGGTCGATCACCTGAGGTTGGGAGTTCGAGACCAGCCTGGCCAACATGTGAAACCCCGTCTCTACCAAAAATACAAAGATTAGCTGGGCATGGTGGTGTGCACCTGTAATCCCAGCTACTCAGGAAATTGAGGCAGGAGAATCACTCGAACCTGGGAGGTGGAGGTTGCAGTGAGCTGAGATTGCGCCACTGCACTCCAGCCTGGGCCACAAAGCAAGACTCCATCTCAAATAGGGCCAGGTTTGGTGGCTAACGCCTGTAATCCCAGCATTTTGGGAGGCCGAGGCGGGCAGATCACAAGGTCAGGAGTTCAAAACCAGCCTGGCCAGCATGGTGAAACCCCGTCTCTACTAAAAATACAAAAATTAGCCAGGCATAGTGGCGTGTGCCTGTAATCCCAGCTACTTGGGAGGCTGAGGCAGAATTGCTTGAACCCGGGAGGCAGAGGTTGTAAACCAAGATCACGCCACTGCACTCCAGCCTGGGTGACAGAGCGAGACTCCATCTCTAAAGAAAGAAAGAGAGAGAGAGAAAGAAAGAAAGAAAAGGGGCTGAGAGGCAGAGGATGAGGAAGCAAGGAAAAAAAAAAATAAAAAACCTGGGGTTTCTTGGGGAAATGGTAGATTCTGGGGCTGAGACAGGGAAAGTGTAAGATGAGCCTGGAACATCCGTGCCAGAAAGTAAGAAAGGGCTCAAAGAACCATAGACACGTGTCGAAAGACAGGAGCTGTATGCATAAAGGCATGAAAAAAATTTCTTAAAAGGAGCCAGGCATGGTAGTGCATGCCTGTAGTCTCTGCTACTCAGGAGGCTGACGGGGGGGATTTCTTGAGACCAGGAGTTTGAGGCTGCAGTGAGCTATGATGGCGCCTGTGAGTAGCCACTGCACTCCAACCCGGGCAACAGCAAGACCTGTCTCTTTTTTCAATTTTAATTTAATTTAATTTATTTTTTTGAGACGGAGTCTCCCACTGTCACCCTGGCTGGTGTGCAGTGGCACGATCTTGGCTCGCTACAACCTCCGCCTCCCAGGTTCAAGCGATTCTCTTGCCTCACCCTCCCAAGTAGCTAGGATTACAGGTGCCCGCCACCACACCTGGCTAATTTTTCGTATTTTTAGTAGAGACAGGGTTTCACTATATAGATCTTATTTATTTTATTTTTGAGATGGAGTTTTGCTCTTGTCATCCAGGCTGGAGTGCAATGACATGATCTTGGCTCACTGCAACTTCTGCCTCCCGGGTTCAAGTGATTTTCCTGCCTCAGCTTCCTGAGTAGCTGGGATTACAGATGCCTGCCACCACACCCAACTAATCTTTGTATTTTTGTATTTTTAGTAGTTGGAGTTTCGCCATGTTGGCCAGGCTGGTCTCAAACTCCTGACCTCAGGTGATCTGCCCACCTTGGCCTCCCAAAGTGCTGGGGTTACAGGCATGAGCCACTGTGCCTGGCCAATTTTTATTATTTATTTATTTTTGAGACGGAGTCTCACTCTGTCGCCCAGGCTGGAGTGCAGTGGTGCAATCTCAGCTCACTGCAACCTCCACCTCCCAGGTTCAAGTGATTCTCCTGCCTCAGCCTCCCAAGTAGCTGGGATTATAGGTGTCCGCCACCATGTCTGGCTAATTTTTTTTTATATTTATTTTTAGTAGAGATGGGGTTTCACCATGTTGGCTAGGCTGGTTTTGAACTCCTGACCTCAAGTGATTCGCCCACCTCAGCCTCCCAAAGTGTTAGCATTACAGACGTTGAGCCACTGCGCCCAGCCAAGACCCTGTCTCTTCGAGAGAGACTGAGAGAAGCCCACTGGCCAGGGACAATTTGAACATCAAAAAAAGAAAAAAAAGATCATAATGGATTATAACCCATTGAATAAAATAGGAAGTCATGAAGCTATATAAATAAATTAGTAAATTGAAAGTTCAGTGTGAAACAGCATTCCATTCCTCATCAAAACTTCAAATTTACATGATTTATTCAATGGGTTATAATCCATTACTATCAGTATTTATTTTGATGCACAAAGTGTCAGATTTGTTCATTACAAGGGGGAAAAAGCGTATTACAGTGGAGAAGTCTGGCGGCCAGAAGCTCAATCACCTGATGGAAGTGAACATCATTAATAATGGGACACATAGCAGTTATGTGCCTCCTGATAGACTGAACAGAGAACACAGTGTTGCTGCTGGGGGATTTCTGCCAAAAATGTATAACCAGGATCTAATCACAAAGAAACATCAGAGAAACCCAGACTGAGGGACATGGTACAAAATAACTTGGCTGCATTACATCTTTGAAGGTGTTAAGGTCATAAAAGACAAGGAGGGTCTGAGGAACTGTTCCAGTCTGAAGGAAACTGGTGACATGACAACAAGAAGAGCAACACATGATCCTTAATGGCTTCATTTTGCTACAGAGACATTATAGGGACATTTGGCAGAACTTGATTGGAATGTGAGGGTTAGATGGTAATAAGGTATCAAGAATAATTTCCTGGCCAGGTGTGGTGGCTCATGCCTGTAATCCCACTTTGGGAGGCCAAGACAGGCAGATCAGTTGAGATCAGGAGTTTGAGATGAGCCTCGCCAACATGGTGAAACCTTGTGTCTACTAAAAATACAAAAATTAGTTGGGTGTGGTGGTGTGCACCTGTAGTCCCAGCTACCCAGGAGGCTGAGGCATGAGAATTGCTTGAATTCAGGAGGCAGAGATTGCAGTGAGCCAAGATCACACCACTGCACTCCAGCCTGGGTGACAGAGCAAGACTCAGTCTCAAAAAATAATAAAATGAATAAAATAAAAAAAATAATTTCCTGATTTTGATGCACATTCTGGTAAAAGCAGAGAATGTCCTTCTTTGTAGAAAATACTAAAGTATTTGAGGATGATGGGCTGTTAGGTTGGTAACATACTCTCAAATGATTCAGGGAAAAACATTATACTATACTTATCTTTTTTTTTTGTAATTTTGAGATTGTTTTCAAATAAATACATTAGTTAATTAACCTTCATGTCTTCCCATGTGTGCATACTAACAGCCAAAGTGGTATGATATTCACGCCTTTCACAGTGGCCCCTAACACCTCTCCAACCTCACTACTTTACTAAGTGTGTTCCTGGCTGAGTGCAGTGGCTCACGCCTGTAATCCCAGCACTTTGGGAGGCCGAGGCAGACGGATCAGTTGAGGTCAGGAGTTCAAGACCAGCCTGGCCAACATGGCGAAACCCCATCTCTACTAAAAATACAAAAATTAGCCAAGCATGGTGATGGGCGCCTGTAATCCCAGCTACTCGGGAGGCTGGGCAGGAGAAAAGCTTGAACCAGGGAGGCTGAGGTTGCAGTGAGCCAAGATCATGCCACTGCACTCCAGCCTGGGAAACAGAGTGAGACTCCATCTCAAAAATTAAAAATAAAATCAGAGTGTTTTTCCAGCCACCCTTTCACTCCTCCTCCCCCAGCCTCCCAGCCTCCTGGCCTCTGCCCTTGCTGTGTCCTCCCATTATGCTTTCCTGCCCACTCTGATAGCTCACCTGAGGCCAGTCTGACCTTCGAGGCTTTGCTCAAGGGCTCATGAATCTGGCTGCTTGAACTCTTGGGGCAATTCTGGCTGCTCCAGGGTTTGCCCAAATGGGTCTGGGGAGCCCTGGATGTCTGCAGATGTTCTCTTGGGGTCCCTGAGACCTTTTTCCCTTTAAAAGGGCTCTATACATTATTCACGGCAACAGTGTTTCTACTACCCATTTGACACCGGGAGATAAGACTTTGAATTATTCATTAGTACTTTTTGTTTTTGTCCAAATCTGATCACGTCAGTCCCCTGCTTAAGGAGCAAAATGCAGCTCTCATGGCTCCACGGACTGCAGGCGTCTTCAGAATCAGTTCCCAACCTTCCTGTCCCTCTGTCCCTGCCCCTGCCCTTCACATACCTTCTCGACCCTGCCCATATCTGCGAAAGAAGCCAGACCACTCACCCCTTTCTGAAGTCCTGGGGCCCTTTTTTTTTTTTTTTTTTTTTTTTTGAGACAGTCTCGCTCTGTCGCCCAGGCTGGAGTGCAGTGGCACGAACTGGATCTCGGCTCACTGCAATCTCCTCCTCCCGGGTTCAAGCGATTCTCCTGCCTCGGCCTTCTGAGTGGCTGAGATTAAAGGTACATGCCACCACAGCTGGCTAATTTTTGTATTTTTAGTAGAGATGGTTTCGCCATTTTGGCCAGTGACAGGCGCCTGTAATCCCAGCTACTCGAGACGCTGAGGCAGGAGAATCACTTGAACCCAGGAGGCGGAGGTTACGGTGAGCCGAGGTCGTGCCATTGCCCTCCAGCCTCGGCGACAGTGAGAGTCCATCTCAAAAAATTATTAAATAATGAAGTCCTCAAAATCATCTTCAGAAAAAGGCACGGACTTTACGGTCTCCTGGGCAGATCCTCAACCTTGACAAAATAAACTTCTGAATTGATTGAGACTTGTCTCAGATACTTTTGGTTTATAACTCCCTCCCACCGCAGTTCTTCTGTGAGAGCCGTGAAGCCCCAGGATATGGCCCAGTGCCTGGCCCCGGGGGGTGGGGCAGCCGCAAATGCCTGGCGAGGTGTCTGTTGCCTCCTGGTTACCTCAGCAGCTCCCTAGGGTTCACATGGCTAGTTTAGCCAGGCCCAGCATGGACACCAGTCCTGGAGGGTGAAGGCAGGTCCCACATTTCCTTATGGCCACACTCTCGGCCTTCTTCCCCAGAAACCCATGCCACTTCCTCTGCCATGGAGAGAGAAGGTGGAGGGCAGCCAGGGAGAAGCGAGGCGGCTGCTGAGCAGGTGAATTCTCCCCAAATCATTATGTTTTGGAAGCAGCAGGAACCACAAACTGGGGTCCCGCAGAAGCTGGGATTCCCTGGAGGCTCTGGTTAGAGGCCCAGGGTGGACTGGCTTGGATTGTCTTTGGTCATTGTAATAAAAGGAATGTCAAACTGGAAAATCCCAGCGAGCACTATTTTTAGAGACTCGGAGAGCATTTTTCCGGCTGAAGGGACAAGTTCCTTCAGAAGCAGCAGTTAACTCTCACCCCTGAACCACTCCTCCCTGGAACTGGCCCAGGCTCTGGTCCCTCCCTCCAGGCATGTGGGAACATTGCTGGAGGAGTCTGGTCAGGGCCCTGCCACCAAGGAGAGGGACAGGGACATCCGCTTCTTTCAAACACGAAACAGTGGGTTTTGATTTTTACATCTTTGAGTCTAATCCTTCAGACATCAAGACATACTGGCACCTTTATTTTTAAATTTTTTAATTTATTTTTTGAGACAGGATCTTGCTCTGTTGCCCAGGCTGGAGTACAGTGGGTGGATCATGGCTCACTGCAGCCTCTACCTTGTATACTCAACGGATCCGATCCTCCCCACTCAGTCCCCCGAGGAGCTGGGATTACAGGTGCACACTTAACATGATTGGCTAATTTTTGTATTTTTTGTAAAGACGGGGTTTCACCATGTTGCCCAGGGTGGTCTCGAGCTCCTGAATTCAAGTGATCTGCCTGTCTCAGCCTCCCAAAGTAGTGGGATTTACAGGCATAAAGCACTGCGCCCAGCCTGGTACCTTTCTTTAAAAGGCCTTTTAGAAATAGAATCATTTGCCGAGCGCGGTGGCTCATGCCTGTAATCCCAGCACTTTGGGAGGCTGAGGCAGGTGGATCACCTGAGGTTGGGAGTTCGATACCAGCCTGACCAACATGGAGAAACCCCGTCTCTTCTAAAAATACAAACTTAGCTGGGCGTGGTGGCACATGCCTGTAATCCCAGCTACTCGAGAGGCTGAGTGAGGAGAATTGCTTGAACCCGGGAGGCGGAGGTTGTGGTGAGCTGAGATCGCGCCATTGCACTCCAGCCTGGGCAACAAGAGTGAAACTCTGTCTCAAAAAAAAAAAAAAAAAAAAGAAATAGAATCATTTCATACCAAGTTGTTAGTCTTGAAGCACTAAATTAAAAATGTTCTTGTGTTTTTGGTTCATGCTTTTAACATTGATAATTGTTAATGATAAACTTAATCAGTCTTCCTACTATATACCTTATGCTTGAAATCTTCTGCTTACTGTCCCTGTCTATATAATTTTGTTTGAGGTAGAAGTCTTTAAGGGCTCCTGCTAGTTTTTTTTTTTTGAGACAGAGTTTTGCTCTGTCACCCAGGCTGGAGTGCAGTGGTCCATTCTCGGCTCGCTGCAACCTCCACCTCCTGGGTTCAAGCAATTCTCCTGCCTCAGCCTCCCGAGTAGTCGGGACTATAGGCGCATGCCACCGTGCCCGGCTAATTTTTGTATTTTTAGTAGAGATGGGGTTTCACCATGTTGGCCAGGCTGGTCTCGAACTCCTGACCTCATGCTCTGCCCGCCTTGGCCTCCCAAAGTGCTGGGATTACAGGTGTGAGCCACTGTGCCCGGCTGGGCTTCTGCTAATTACTGAGTATATGAAATGTAGTAGATCAAATCTATTGCTTAACAGAAGTTACAGGACAAGCTATCCCCATTCCCCCACGTTTGTAAGGATGCACTGAGGAGGGGCCTCAGTGAGAGATGAAATGAAGTACAAACCCGTCTCTCCTCCCCATGATTAGGCACTGGCTCCAGACACAGAACACGCAGAGACCACAGTTTGGGAAGGTGTTTTGCTCCTAGCCCTTCGTGAAATTTAGAATCTAAGGTCTTTGTAGGACCAATGCTTTTTTTTTTTTTCTCCTTTTCTTACTTTTCCTAAAAATAGGGTCTTGCTATGTTGCCCAGGCTGGTCTTGAACTCCTGGCCTCAAGTGATCCTCCCATCTCAGCCCTGCAAAGAATTGGGATTATAGGCATGAGCCACTGCACCCAGTCTAGACCAATGCTTTTGAGGTTAGGACTCTCCATGAGTCCTGATGCTCAGGGAAGTCAGAGTGTGAGTGTGTGTGTGTGTGTGTGTGTGTGTGTGTGTGTGTGTGTGTAGGAGGGTACAGTTAGTGGTCTCCAGACTTGGAGGTAGTTGCCCTCAAGCCCAGGACTAAATGAGACACTGAGGGACAAACCTGATCCAGGTGAACCAAGGTATCCCGGGGACTAGCCCCTACCTAAAGATGCTAAACATGAGCATGTTCTGAACACACAGGTGCTGACTGTGTAGAGAAAAGGGTCAATGATAAGGAACTTGCTAGTGCCTAAGCACTGCCTGGGGTGAGAAAGACGCTGTTGTAAAAGACCCTGGGCAGCAGCCTAAGCCTCCTGAGGCCCAGGCATGTCCTTCCACATCAGCTGGCTGCCCTGAGAAGCTCTTCCAGCATAGGGTCTGAGATAAGAATCAGCACTCTGGCAGAGTCTATCCTCCGGCAGTAATTAACAAAGTAGCATCTGGCTTATTCATCAGTCTCTTCTGAGTCTGGTTGTCCTGAGTCAGCTTGGATATGGGGACTAGACCCTGGAACCCAGGGACCTGGCCAAGGGCTGTCTGTTTCTGTGTCGTCTTCATTTTGTCTTCAGCACCCGTAGACACCCGGAGGCACAGCTACACCCAGGGACTCATGATGTATTACAATCCAACGGCAAGGAAGGCACCACGATACCAGGTTTTGTCTACTATTTAAGGATCCGTGTGGGATTCCCAACAACACCCTTTGGAAGTCTGCAAACTTCTTTTAAAAACCAGAAGTGAAAATTTTGAGTCTGTCCCTAGAACTAAAAATAAACTTAGGCTAGTGTCCAGGAACGGGAAACAGTTTAATAAGTACTGGAGGACAGCCTCCACTGTTGCCTCTGCTCAATCCATCACTGCACTGAAGCCAGAGAGAGCACCCTTCAAGGCAGGCCTTGTTGGGCCACTCTCAGGCTTAGCCCTCTCCTGTGTGGAACCTACCCTCTTCTGTGGACCATGAGGTCCTTTCAGCTTCAGCTGCCTTTCAGCTTCAGGTCTCCTCTGCCAGTTTCCCACACTTGAATTCTGCACTCCTTTCTCTTCAGTGCGCCTTGCTGGTGCTTGTCTCTGGGCCTTGGCACATGCTGTTCCCTCTGCCCGCAGTATTTTCCCCCAACCCTTTTGCTTAGATAACTGCTGTTTGTATTTCAGATCTCAGCTGAAATTCTGACCCACAGACTCAATTAAATCTTTTTGCTGGAAATGTCCCTACTGTCATGAACACCCTCCTTCCCCCAACAACACTCAGCACATATTCCATTGCACTTACTGGTTTCAATACTGGCTCTCCATGTCCCCGCTGGCAGGGACTATCCGTCCCAACAAATGCCAAGTTTTTTTTTTTGTTTGTTTTTGTTTTTTTTCAGACGGAGTCTCGCTCTGTCGCCCAGGCTGGAGTGCAGTGGCGCAACCTTGGCTTACTGCAAGCTCCTCCTCCTGGGTTCACCCGCCATTCTCCTGCCTCAGCTTCCCAAGTAGCTGGGACTACAGGTGCCCGCCACCATGCCCCGCTAATTTTTGTATTTTTAGTAGAGACGGGGTTTCACTGTGCTAGCCAGGATGGTCTTGATTTCCTGACCTCGTGATCCACCCACCTCGGCCTCCCAAAGTGCTGGGATTACAGGCGTGAGCCACTGTGCCCAGCCGCAAAGTTTGTTTTTTAAAAAATCTTTCTTTTTTTTGAGACAGGGTCTCACTCTGTTGGCCAGGTTGAAGTGCAGTGGTATGATCATGGCTCACTGCAGTCTTGACTTCTGGAGGTCAGGTGATTCTCCCACCTCAGCCTCCCAAGTAGCTGGGACTACAGAGGTGCGCCACTACACACGGCTCATTTTTTTGTAGAGACAGGGTCTCACCATGTTGCCCAGGCTGTTCTTGAAACCCTGAGTTCAAGTGATTCGATCATCTCCTCGGCTTCTCCCAAAATGTTGGGATCATAAGCGTGAGGCACCATACTGGGCCTCAAACACATTTTTTTTGTTTTGAGATGGAGTCTCGCTCTGTCACCCAGGGTAGCACGATCTCAGCTCACTGCAACCTCCACCTCCCAGGTTCAAGCAATTCTTCTGTCTCAGCCTCCTGAGTAGCTGGGATTACAGGGGCACACCACCACGCCCAGCTAATTTTTGTATTTTTAGTAGAGATGGAGTTTGGCCACGTTGGCCAGGCTGGTCTCAAACTCCTGACCTCAGGTGATCCACCCGCCTTGGCCTCCTAAAGCGCTAAGATTACAGGCATGAGCAACATGCCTGGCCCTCAAACACATTCTTTTTTTCTTTTTTTTGGAGACAGAGTCTCACTCTGTTGCCTAGGCTGGAGTGCCGTGGCATGATCTCGGCTCACTGCAACCTCAGCCTCCCTGGTTCAAGCTTTTCTCCTGCCCAGCCTCCCGAGTAGCTGGGATTACAGGCGCCCATCACCATGCTTGGCTAATTTTTGTATTTTTAGTAGAGATGGGTTTTCACCATGTTGGCCAGGCTGGTCTCGAACTCCTGTTTCATGGGGTAATGGAGGACACTTGGCTTGTGCTTACTTTTTGGCTACTGTGGACAGTGCTGCTACAAACCTTCATGAAGAAGGTTTTTTTGTGTTTCTTTTTATATAAGGGCATAAAAATAAGGTTTCGTTTGTTTGTTTGTTTAGATGGTGTCTTGCTGTGTTACCAGGCTGGAGTTTGTAGTTACTCATAGGTGCAATCATAGCAAACTACAGCCTTGAATTCCTGGGCTCAAGTGTTCTTCCTGCCTCAGGCTTCTGAGTAGCTAGGACTACAGGCCTGTATCATGGAGTCTGGCATGTCTCATACAAGTTTTTGTTTCAGCACCTATTATCAATTTTTTTCTTTCTTTTATTTTCTTTTTTTCTTTTTTCTGTTTTTGAGAAAGGGTATCACTCTGTCACCCAGGTTGGAGTGCGGTGGTACAATCTCAGCTCACTGCAACCTTCCTCTCCCAGGTTCAAGCAATCCTCCCACCTGAGCCTCCCAAGCAGCTGGAACTACAGGCATGTGTCACCACACCCAGCTAGTTTTTTGTATTTTTTGTAGAGATGGGGTCTTGCCATATTGCCCAGGCTGGTCTTGAATTCCTGGACTTAAGCAATCTACCTGCCTTGGCCGCCCAAAGTGCTGGGATAACAGGCATGAGCCACTGTGCCTGGCCACCCATTATCAGTTCTTTTGGGTATATACGCAGGAGTGGAATTACTGGGTCATATAGTAATTCTATGTAACTGTTTGAAGAACTGCCAAACTTTCAACCCAGCAGTTACACCATTTACATTCTTACCATCAATGTATGAGGGTTCCAGTTTCTCCACATCCTCACCAACACTTGTAATTTCCTGTTGTTCTTATTATAGCTATCCTGGCAGTTATGAAGTGGTTTTGATTTGCATTTCCCTAATTTCCTTCAACTAATAACATTGAGCATATTTTCATGTGCTTGTCTAAGAGGTTTTTTTTTTTCTCTGAATATTCCTTTTTGGTAACATCTTATTCTAAACTTTTTTTTTTTTTTTTTTTTTAATAGAGATGGGGTCTTGCTATGTTGCTCAGGCTGGTCTCGAACTCCTGGGCTCAAGCCATCTGCCCACCTCAGCCTCCCAAAACGCTGGGATTACAGGCGTGAGCCACCTCACTCAGCCTTATTCTAAACTTTTTTTTTTTTTTTTTTGAGACAGAGTCTTGCTCTGTCACTCAGGCTGGAGTGCAGTGGCACAATCTTGGCTCACTGCCACCTCTGCCTCCCGGGCTTAAGCGATTCTCCTGCCTCAGCCTCCTGAGTAGCTGGGACTACAGACATGCACCACCACTCTGGGCTAATTTTTGTTTTTTTAGTACAGATGGAGTTTCACCATGTTGGCCAGGCTGGTCTCGAACTCCTGACTGTAAATGATCCACCCACCTCGGCTTCCCAAAGTGCTGGGATTACAGGCATGTGCCACCATGCCCAGCCTTATTCTAAACTTTTTATGGTTACAGTATCTTCTCAGTTTACCTGAGAATACTGATATATACATGTGTATAAAATGGTATATATATGAACACACATATATATACCATTGTAAACATTTAATGACATATCTTTTTCTTCGTTTTGACCTCTGTTATGTTATAGGCTTTCCTCAAATGTTTGGTGACTCTTAGTTGTCATTTATATTTCAAAGTAGAGTCCTCAAAAGCTCATTGGAAGCTCTGTGCCTGTAGGTGAGAAGTCTCAACTGTGGGATTCTGTGTTGGGTGATCTGGCTGGGCTCCACTTTGGGGTACTTCCATTGTCAGGATCTTTGGGTCTTTCTTCTTGTGCTAATCATGTTTTCCAGAGAGAATGTGAGGTCTTGGCTACCATGATCTCGGGAAGGATGTCTGGGGGTCTCATTCATTAAGCAAACTTTCACTTACTCCACCTGTTTTTAGTACAGTATTCCTTCCCTGAACTGTGCCTAGTGATCTCTAACTAAGAGGCCTTCTGTTTCACCCTCTCCAGAGAACAAAGCTCCAGTCTTGGGGGATGGGTGTGAAAAGGGATCTAGGGATCCACTTGCTTCTTTAAAAGACTTTCACTTGCTCTTCTTGTTTATTACTCCTGCCTTCACCCCCTAACTCTACACTTACTTGGTGCTGCCCATTCCTGAGCCTTTTGTTCTGTGATATAACCTGTGCTGCATAATATTTCAGCCTTTCCCCTGCCAGTTTAGGGTTTGGCTTTCTTGGATCTGCTAAGTTACAGTTGCCCATTTGCTTCCCAGCTTCCAACATTTTGTTGCCATTGTCTCCTTTCCCATTCCATTTTTTTTTTTTTTGGTAGCCCAGGCTGGAGTACAGTGGGGTGATCTCAGCTCACTGCAACCTCCACCTCCCAGGTTCAAGTGATTCTCCTGCCTCAGCCTCCCGAGTAGCTGGGATTACAGGCGCTCGCCACCATGTATGGCTAATTTTTTTTTTTTTTTTTTTTTTTTTATTTTTAGTAGAGACAAGGTTTCAACATGTTGGCCAGGCTGGTTTTGAACTCTTGACCTCAAGTGAACTGCCACCTCAGCCTCCCAAAGTGCTAGGATTACAGGCATGCACCATGGTGCCCTGCCTCCTTTGCCATTCTTTATCCCAACAGTTTAATGCCCAACCCCACCCCCTCAAAAAAATCCCTGTAACTGTCATTTCACTGGGATTTTGGGAGAAAGCAGAGGCAAGAGTCTACATCCAACCACTCAATGTCACCACCGTCTAGCACCATTGTCTATCTCAAGTTCTTAGTATATTGCTTAATCCATAGTAAGTGCCCAATAAATATTTGTTGATTTAGGGTCAGTCCTCTATATCTGTGGTTTCTGCAGCTATGGATTCAACCAACTGCTGATAAAAAAAAATTTGGAATAAAATAGGCTGGGCACAGTGGCTTATGCCTGTAATCACAGCACTTTGGGAGGCCAAGGTGGGCAGATCACTCGAGGTCAGGAATTCAAGACCAGCCTGGCCAACATGGCAAAACCCCGTCTCTACTAAAATCACAAAAATTAGCCAGGCGTGTTAGTCGGTACCTGTAATCCCAGCTACACAGGAGGCTGAAGCATGAATAATTGCTTGAACCTGGGAGGTGGAGGTTGTAGTGCGCAGCAATCATGCCACTGGGTGACAGAATGAGACTCCGTCTCAAAAAAAAAAATTATTTGGAAAAAACAATAAAAAATAAGCTGGATGTGGTGGCTCATGCCTGTAATCCCAGCACTTTGGGAGGCTGAAGTGGGAGGACTGCTGAGACCAGAAGTTTGAGACCAGCCTGGGCAACATAATGAGACCCCATCTCCAAAAAAAAAGAAAGAAAAAACAATTTAGCCAGGCATGGTGGTGGCATGCCTGTAGTCCCAGTTACTTAGAAGGCTGAGACAGGAGGATTGCTTAAGTCTAGGGGGTCGAGGTTACAGTGAGCTATGATTGTACCACTGTACTCCAGCCTGGATGACAGAGTGAAAAGTCTATTTTAAAAACAAACAAAACAAAACAAAACAGAAAAACAGGTGGGGCACGGTGGCTCACATCTGTAATCCCAGCCCTTTGGGAGGCTGAGGTGGGTAGATCACTTGAGGCCAGTAGTTTGAGATCTGCCTGGCCAACATGGTGAAACCCTGTCTCTACTAAAAATGCCAAAATTAGCTGGGCGTGGTGGTCCCAGCTGCTCGGGAGGCTGAGGTGGGAGAATCGCTTGAGGTGGAGGTTGCTGTAAGCAGAGATCTCACCACAGCGCTCCAGCCTGGGTGATGAGCAAGACTCTGTCTCAGAAAACACACACACAAAAAACCCCCAAACAACACACACACGCACACACAAAAATATAGATAAAAAGTAATACAGTAGAACAATTATTTAAAGTATACGAGAAGATGTGTGTAGGTTATATGTAAATACTACACCATTTTATATAAAGGATTTGAGAGCATCTTCAGATTTTGGTATTTGAGGGGGTCCTGAAAACAAGCTCCCTCTCTTGCCCCCATACAGAAGGACAACAGTATTAGAGTCACTGTCCTTCCTATCTTTGAAAAAGTTGAGGGCTGGGCATGGTCAGTCACACCTGTAATCCCAGCAATTTGGGAGGCTGAGGCAGGAGGATCCCCTGAGCCCGGGAGTTCGAGATCAGCCTGGGCAACACAGTGAGGCCCTATCTCTACAAAAATAATGATGATGAAAATAATAAATAACTTTTTTTTAAAAAAAGAAAAAGTAGGAACCTGGGCTCTGCCCACCAATGAACTGTGTGACCTTGGACAAGCTACTTCCAGTCTGCAGCCTTAGTCTCTTCTTCTGTAAAATAGAAATAACAACGATACGTTCTTCAAGCGCCTTGCTCAGTGCCTAGAACATGGCAAGCTCTCGGTATTTGTGGTTGTGGAAGGGTTCAATATCAAAGCGACACTTCTTAGTCAGTGTTTTACTTAGCTTAAAATTAGCCTTCACACTTGAATTGTAAATTGGTCCCTAATTAATGCCCTTCGGGGCAAAATCTGTGTTTAACCTTACTTTATGCGTAGACAGAGCTAGCAAAGCTTTTCAGCTGAGAGGAGAGGAACATGTCAGTCGCCTGGGTCAGGCCGGCGGGGACAACCTGCAGTGGGGCGGCTCCTCACCCTGCCCCGCCCGCCCCTGGCCTCGGAACCGGTTTGTTCCAGGCGCCCAGCGTGAGAACACAGGCACTTACCCACCTCTCGTCGGCCCAATAGTCTGAGTCAAGCCCACCCTGGCCACGCACCGTTCCCGGCACCCGGGTGGCGCAGCCCGTCTCTGTCTTTACCGAGAAGCTCCCCACCCTATGCGTCGAGGACCCCACTTTCTTCAAAGGAGAACCTGAGGCAGCGTCTGGGAAAGCAACTCCATGGCCTCCAGGTCCACCTCGACCCTTTCCTCAGCCCCAAGACCCCGCTGCCTGAACCCCATCGCCCCGCGTGCCGGGATCGCCAGCGCCCACCAGCGGCTCCCGCCCCGGCTCTAGGCGCAGGTGGGGGCGGGGCCAGGGCGGGGCCTGAGGAGCCGGCGCCCCGCCTCGCCCCGCCCCTCCCCGAGGCCCGCGGCGCCGCCGCCTCCACCTCGCTCGAGCCGCGGAGCGCCTCCGAGCGGCCGGCTGCGGCCTGGCTCCGCCTCTCCCGGCCCGGCGCGCCCGCTCCCGCCTCCTTCCCTCTCCTGGCTCCCACCTCCCTCCCTTTCCGCTGCCGAGGCGGCGGGAGCCGAGCCCGAGCGGACCGAGCCGCAGCCGCAGCCGGGCGGCGGGCGAGAGGCGGCGGCGGCGGGCGGGCCGCGGGCAGTCAGTCGGGCGGCGGCGGCGGCGGCGGCGGCGGCGATGCGGCGGCCCCGCTGAGTCCGCCCGCTCCTGGCGCCGGGAGCCAGCCGCGCGAGGCGGCCCGGGCCGGGCGGCAGCATGCGGAGCGGCGAGGAGCTGGACGGCTTCGAGGGCGAGGCCTCGAGCACCTCCATGATCTCGGGCGCCAGCAGCCCGTACCAGCCCACCACCGAGCCGGTGAGCCAGCGCCGCGGGCTGGCCGGCCTGCGCTGCGACCCCGACTACCTGCGCGGCGCGCTCGGCCGCCTCAAGGTCGCCCAAGTGGTAGGTGCCGGGCGGGGCCCCAGGTGCCCGAGGGCGGCCTAGCCGCACGCCTCCCTCCCCGCCCCGCTGCGGGGCCTCCGCCGCGTACCCGCTTGCCCAGGCCGGAGCCCGCTCCTCGCGCCCCCTCTCCCTCGTGGGGTCCCGGGACCACTCTGCAGCCTTCTCTGGGGACCCCGCCTTCGGCCAGAGCCTGCCCTTCCCAGGCCGGCAGCCTCAGGTGTGCGCCTCCTACCTGAGCACCTGCCTTCGGGCCTACCTGTCCGCTCCGCCCTCGCTCCCGGGAGTCTGTGGCGTTACTGGGCTGGGTGCTGCTGGGAATCCTGCTGTCTCCTGGGTACAGCTGGTCTTAGCAACCTGTGGCAGGTTTTCCCGGCCCGCGCAACCTCCGGACGGTGCCTGTTTCTGCCTGCGGAGACGAGGGACTGTGGTTTGGTTCCCACTTGATGTCTAGCTGGGTGCCAGGCGTATATGGTAGGCGCTTAGTAAGTATTTGCTGGATGGAGGCAGGTAGCCCTGATGCAGTGGAGGAGCCCAGATATGCCCACAATTCTCTACACTGCAGAGGTTTGTGTCCTTCTAACCAAGAAGACAGACTTGGCATCCCGGAATCCACCGCCCAGCACGGTGGCTGGCACTGCCCAATTGGTACCCAGAGTTAAATCTGGGAGGGCAGCCAGTTTTGGAGGTAGCAGAAACAGAGAACTTTCTGTTGGACTTGTCTGTAGTAGAGCTCATTTCTCAGGGTCCTGTGTTTTAGCTTCCAGGGTGTTCTGGGCAGGGGCCTCTCAGCTCTGTTCCTGCTTTGTGGTTTTGTAACATGCCTCTGCGGGCAATTGCTTAGCTCTGTTGTGGGCATGCTCTAATTCAGAAAAACCCGTGTGTCCCCCCAACATTCTCTGTCACAGGTAGGCCTTCTGAGGCCACCGGCCTCAAAACTTTATAGACTTCTCATAGCCAGAGAAGCCACTTGTTCTTGTTCTCTCTCTCTCTCTTTTTTGAGACCGGGTCTCTGTCGCCCAGGGTGGAGTGCACTGGTGCGATCGTGGCTCACTGCAGGTTCGACCTCCCAGGCTCAAGCGATCTTCTCACCTCAGCTTCCCGAGTAGCTGGGACTACAAGCACGTTCCACCATGCCGGGTTAATTTTTGTATTTTTAGTAGAGATGGGGTTTCACCATGTTGCCCAGACTGGTCTCCAACTACTGGGCTCAAGCGATCACCCCTCCTTGGTTTCCCAAAGTGCTGGGATTACAGGCATGAGCCACCGTGCCAGGCCTGGTCCTCCTTTTCCTACTTGAGTGCATAAGCATTCCTTGGGAATAATATAATGTGTGGATACCCTTTAAATAAATGTCCTGGCGTTTGTAAATGACAGAATCATAGGCTATTTTATGTCTCTCTTGGGTGAAAGGCTTGTTCTGCTGACTGCCAGAGGGTATTTTTGAAGGGCTTTATGGAAAGAAAAATGGATCAGATAATCTGTCTTCAGAATTTTAAATTTACCTTATCTGGTAAACTGGAATGTTTTCAAAGATGCATTGGTTTTTAGTTTGGCGTTGCTGTTAGCAAAGAGAATGTAGGAGGTGAAGGGAGGTGTGCAATTGCCTTTTTTTTTTTTTTTTTTTTTTGAGATGGAGTCTAGCTCTGTCGCCCAGGCTGGAGTGCAGTGACACAATCTTGGCTCACTGCCACCTCTGCCTCCCGGGTTCAAGCGATTCTCCTGCCTCAGCCTCCCGAGTAGCTGGGATTACAGGCGCCCACCACCACGCCCAGCTAATTTTTGTAATTTTAGTAGAGACGGGGTTTTGCTGTGTTGGCCTGGCCAGGCTGGTCTCGAACTCCTTACCTTATGATCCGCCCACCTCGGCCTCCCAAAGTGCTGGGATTACAAGCGTGAGCCACCACACCCTGCCTGCAATTGCCTTTTAAAAGAGGCAGCTAGCCAATGTTTGAGTATGGGGTGCCAGCAGCCCGTACAGATAATTAGAAATGAATAAGAAAAGAGCAGGGCTTGGTCAAATACCTTGCTTTGTTTGCACTGTGGGAGTTTGAAAGTAAATAGAACTTGTCCCTAAAAGGATCTAGTAAAAGAATTGAAATCTAGTTTGTAGACTGTTAGTTATTACTGCATTGCTAGGAGTTTATCACCTAAGTCCAGGGATGGAAGCCTGTGGCATTTATCATTACTTTTTGGTAAGGTACTGTTTTGTTGTAGCGTTGTTCTTTTCTTTTTTTCTTTTCTTTTCTCTTTTCTCTTTCTCTCCCTCGCGCTCTCTCCCTCTCTCTTTCTTCTCACTCTTTCTTTTTCTTTCTTTTTTAAACACTGGGTCTAACTCTGTTACCCAGGCTGGAGTGCAGTGGCACAATCTTGGCTCACTGCAACCTCCGCCACCTGGGCTCAAGAGACCCACCCACCTCAGCCTCCCAAGTAGCTGGGACCACAGACGCACACCACCATGCCCAGCTAATTTTTTGTATTTTTGGTAGAGACGGGGTTTCACTATGTTGCCCAGGCTGGTCTCGAACTCCTGAGCTCAGGTCATCTGCCCGCCTCGGCCTCCCAATGTGCCTGGATTACAGACGTGAGCCACCACGCCTGGCCTAGATTTGTACTTTTCATCCGGAAGAACTTTTGGGCCTAGCCCCCAGAATCTCGCCTAACTCTGTTGTTTGTTAATCTCTAGAACTTAAACTCTGAGAGGTTATATGTGGGTGAGTAAAGGAAAGGGACCTGCTTGAAGGGTATGGCAACTTCAAATGGTTTTGGTGTAGTTGGCTTCCCAGCCTTGATGAAAATCCCACAAAACTCCAAGAAATTGGACTCTAAATTTAAACTGAAAAGAAAATAAGAAGTCATTATGAAGATACTTCTGAGATGTTACAAAACTCAGAATCCATCAAGAAATATGAGTAAGTTCTAACTCTGCGGTTTGGAGAAAAATTTGACTTTTAAAAATCAGGAAGCTGAGGTGGGGGGACTGCTTGAGCCTAGGAGTTCAAGGTCACAGGGAGCTATTATGGTGCCTCGGAGTAGCCACTGTGCTCCAGCTTGGGCAACGTAGCAAGATCCCATGTCTAAAAATAAATTTAGTGGTGTGTATGTTTTTTTTTTCTTTGTGTTAGACTTTTGTTCTTGATGCCCAGGATGGAGTGCAATGGCACCATCTCAGCTAACTGCAATCTCCGCCTCCTGGGTTCAAGCAATTCTCCAGCCTCAGCCTCCCGAGTAGCTGGGATTACTGGCGCCTGCCACCATGCCTGGCTAATTTTTGTATTTTTAGTGGAGACGGGGTTTCGTCATGTTGGCTAGGCTGGTCTCAAACTTCTGACGTTAGGTGATCCACCCGCCTCAGTCTCCCAAAGTGCTGGGATTATAGGCGTGAGCTACTGCGACTGGCCATAAATTTAGTTTTTTTAGATTTTTTTTTTTTTTTGAGATGGAGTCTTGCTCTGTCACCCAGGCTGCAGTGCAGTGGCAAGATCTTGGCTCACTGCAGCCTCCACCTCCCAGGTTCAAGTGATTCTCCTGCCTCAGCCTCCCAGGTAGCTGGGATTACAGGCGCCCACTAGCACGCCCGGCTAAGTTTTCTATTTTTTAGTAGAGATGGGGTTTCCCCATGTTGGCCAGGCTGGTCTTGAACTCCTGACCTCAAGTGATCTGCCCATCTTGGTCTCCCAAAGTGTTGGGGTTACAGGCGTGAGCCCCTGCGTTGGGCTGTAGACTTTTTGGTGGTGTTTTTTGTGGCCTATTGCAACCTGTAGATCCTTGCTATTCCAAGTTTGGCCTTAGGCCAGCAGCATTGCCATCACCTAAGGGCTTGTTAGAAATGCAGAATCAGTGGCCTTACCCCAGAACTTCTGAGTCATCTGCATTTAAACAAGATTCCCCAGGTGATCCACGTGTACATTAAAGTTTGAGACTTACCTTTCTATATCCTTTCAGTGTTAACCTTGCAACAGGCCGGGCTCACGCCTGTAATGCCAGCACTTTGGGAGTCCGAGGTGGCTGGATCACTTGAGGTCAGGAGTTCAAGACTAGCCTGGCCACCATGGTGAAACCACATCTCTACAAAAATACAAAAAATTAGCCAGGCATATAGCGAGTGCCTGTAATCCCAGATACTCCAGAGGCTGAGGCAGGAGAAGCGCTTGAACCTGGGAGGCAGAGGTTGCAGTGAGCTGAGATTGTGCCCTTGCATTCCAGCCTGAGTGACAGAGCAAGACTCCATCTCAAAAAAAAAAACAACAAAACCTCACACAGGTGCTAGCAACCAGCTTTCGATAAATAGTCAACCTTAAAGCTGAGATTTTTCGGTAAAATGAGACTGCCAATACCTCCCTCAAAGGATTAAGAAAATGAAATAATATGTGTAAGTTAGTACCTACCGTATTAGGTATCTAACTGATGTGCAATAAATGTTAGCTGTCATAGTGCTAACAATGCCTGTCTCTAAAGAAACTGTGTGAAAATATCACCAAAAACATAATTATGTGTTTGAATTAAAGATAGTTTAATTCCTTATGATTTAAGTTAAATTGGTATTTTTAATGGAATGTGATTGGATACTAAAGCTAATCTGAAACATTATGAAAAAATTAAACGGTGCAGTTGCATAGATTTTATCTTTTCTTTTTCTTTTTGAGACAAGGTCCTGCTCTGTGCCCAGGCTGGAGTGCAGTGGTACAATCATAGGTTACTGCAGCCTCGACCTCCTGGGCTCAGGTGATCCTTCCACCTCAGCCCTCCAACTAGCTGGGACTACAGGTGTATGCCACTATGCCTAGCTAATTTTTAAATTTTTTGTAGAGATAGGGTCTCCCTGTGTTGCCCAGGTTGGTTTCAAACTCGTGAGCTCAAGCAATCCTTCCTCTTCGGCTTCCCAAAGTGCTGAGATTACAGGCATGAGTCACTTACCTCCGCCTATATCTTTTCAAAATGAAACCTGTACGTATCTCTTAGTTGGGGAGAATGTCTAGTGTGGTTAAACAACTGATTTAAATTATCTTCTTCCTCCTTGTGTGAATTTTTTTTTTAAATGAATAAAGACAGTCTAATGAGACTGTGTTGCCCAGGTTGGTCGCAAACTGGGATTACAGGCGTGAGCCACCGCACCTGATCCACATCCCTTTCTTGAGCCCTTCCCATGCCTAGATGACTTTCTGACAATGTATTTGTATAGGACTTTTTAATAACAAAAGATGGGTAATAGGAATTTTTTTTTTAAGACAGATTTTTGTTCTGTCACTGCAGGCTGGAATGCAGTGGCATGATCATAGCTCACTGTAACCTCGAACTTCTGGGCTCAAGGGAGCCTCCTGCCTCAGCCTCCTGAATAGCCAGGACTACAGGCATGTGCCACTATGCCCTGCTATTTTTTTTTTTATTTTTGTAGAGACGAGGTCTTGCTATGTTGCCTCAAACTAGAGGCTAATCTCGAACTCCTGAGCTCAAGCAATCCTGCTGTTTTGGTCTCCCAAAGTGCTGGGATTACAGGTGTGAGCCACTGCGCCTGGCCTGGAAATGTTTAAATGCAAATTTTAGCTCAGCTGATTTTGATGTCTCTTAATCTCATCGAATCTGGGTTCCTCAGTTGTACAGTATGGGTAGTAATGACTAATTGACCATTTTAGGAATTGTAAGAATTAAGAGGTTAATGTTTGATAGTTGCTTTCTTACGTAACTCAAAAACAAATGTGAGTATTTGCACTTCAGGGGTGGGTAATGGCATCTCTTTTATTTGGTGGAAACCTTGTTAGTTTTTTAAATCTCAAGCCAGTCAGCACAATCCCTGGCTGGTTACTGTTCTCTGGAGGATGTGCAGGGGTGGGGCAGTAATACATTATAGAAATCATATGCAACACAAATATAGCTACATTTACAAAGCTGCAACTTTGAGAAATGACTGGCTGTAGACATAGCACTGAGCTTATCAGCCCCAAATCCCCTCAGTTCTGTTGGAGGGGCTGGTTCAACTGAGGTTCAGCTGGGTTCCTGATTCGTAAGAGCTGGTCAAATGACCAGGCAGACACACAATGACCCTGGTCAAACCGTGAAGGGTTCTGCGTTTTGTTTACTACTGAAGATTCCTTTGTACTTCTGGCTCCCATTTATCCCTGAAGTCATGCATATACAAGCGCATAATGGTAGATGAAGCAGTGGGTTTCTCTATGTTGGATTCTCAGATCCACCATTCTGTGGCTCCTTGTAAAACAGTCCCATTTTCCTTTAGGAAGATTGTTATCTTTAGGAGTTGTCTTCCTGATCAAGGACTTGGAGTCAAATAAATTCTGGCAGAAAAGCAAAGTTATAATTACTCTTAAGTTTTTTTGATGATTAAAAATAGTGAAATTATAATCCACGATCTCAAAAGAAGTTGTTAAATGTAGAGCGTACATGTGTTTTACAAAACCACACAAAGACAGTTCAAGAAAATGATACTACAGACCAATATTCCTTATATGAACACAGACACAGAAATCCTCAACAAAATACCATATAGAAAATAAAACCCAGCATAATGGAGAAAGAATAATACACCAAACCAATTTGATTTATCCCAGGAACAAAAAGGTTGGTGCAGTTTTTGAAAGTAAATGTTATAGGTGTACACCATATTAATAACTTAAAATAACAGGCCAGGCACAGTGGCTTATGTCTGTAGTCCCAGCACTTTGGGAGGCCGAGGCAGGTGGATTGCTTGAGCCCAGGAGTTCAAGACCAGCCTGGGCAACATGGTGAATCCCCTTCTCTACAAAAAATACAAAAATTAGCATGACATGGTTGTGCATGCCTGTAGTCCCAGCTGTAGGCTAAGGTGGGAGAATTGCTTGAGCCCAGGAGGTCAAGGCTGCGGTGAGCCGCGATCGTGCCACTACACTCCAGCCTGGGCAACAGAGTGAGACCGTTTCTCAAAAACAAAACAAAACCCAAAGCCACATGATTCTATCATTTGATGCAGAAAAAAAAAACTTTTGACAAAATTCAGTACTTTTCCATAATAAATGCTGTCAGCAAACTTGGAAGAGAAAGGAACTTCTTCAACCTGAAAAAGGGCATCTACAAAAAATCTACAGCTAACATTATACTGTAATATATAATGTTACAGTGGGGAAAGAATGAATGCTTTCCCCCATGATGGGAAACAGGCAATGATGTTTACTGTTACCACTCATATTCAAGATCATACTGGAAGTCCTAGCCGTTGCAAAAAAATTAATAGGAGACGTACAGATCAGAAATAAATAAAACTGTCCCTATTCGCATATGGCATGATTAGGTAGATAATCACATGGGAATCTATAAAAAACCTCCTAGAACTAATAAGTGAGTTAGCAAGGTTACAGGATATAAGGTCAACACACGATAACCAATAGTATTTTTATATCCTAGCAATAAATCATTGGAAATTAAAACAAAAAAACCAATATCAGTTATAACAGCACTCAAAAGAATGAAATTCTTAGATATAAATCTCACAAAACATGTATAGAATCTGCTCACTGAAAACTACAAAACACTGAAGTAAGAAATCAAAGATGACCAAAATAAGTAGACAGGCATTCTGTGTTCATTAGGATTGGAAAACTCAATATAGTTAAAATATTAGTTCTCCACAAATGATCTATAGGTTTAATACGATCCCAAAATCCTAGCAAGGTTTTTTTGTAGATAGAAGAATGCTGATTCTAAACTTTATATTAGCCAGGCAAAGGGCTAGTGATGGTTTATGGAGGTATGTTCCAGGGAGAGAGAACAATGACATGAAGTCACCCTTGTTTAGGGTAGAATGTGTGTGTGTGTGTGTGTGTGTGTTGAGGGGAGTGTTTCTGAGAGTATGATGGACTTCGTATCTCTTATCGGCCATGAGACTTTTGGCAAGCTACTTGTTCACTCAGGCCACAAGCAGATCTCCTGCAGGTCTCTCACTTGGGGATTGTAAGTTGGGGATAATGGTAGTATTACAGTGCTGGTGAGCCCACCATGCTCCCTAGCTCAGCGTCTCAAGACACCACGTCATCAAAGCCTGTTGGAGGTTGCTATGGTCTGAATGTTGGCATTCCCCCAAAATTCAGATGTTGGAACCTAACACCCAGTGTGATAGTATTAAGAGGTGGAGCCTTTTGGGAAGTAATTAAGTCATGAGGGCTCAGCCCTCATGAATGGGATTAGTGCCCTTTTAAAAGAGTTTGAAGGGAGTGTCCTTGCTCATTCTGCCATGTGAGGACACATAGAAAGTGCCGTCTGTGAAGAATGGGCCCTCACTCAGATACTGAATCTGCTGGCACCTGGATCTTGGAGTTTCCAGCCTCCAGAACTATGAGCAATAAATTTCTATTTATAAATTACCCATTTTGGCCAGGCGCGGTGGCTTACACCTGTAATCCCAGCACTCTGGGAGGCCGAGGCGGGCAGATCACAAGGTCAGGAGATCAAGACCATCCTGGCTAACACGGTGAAACCCGGTCTCAATGAAAAATATAAAAAATTAGCCGGGTGTGGTGGCAGGCGCCTGTAGTCCCAGCTACTCAGGAGGCTGAGGCAGGAGAATAGCGTGAACCCAGGAGGCGGAGCTTGCAGTGAGCCAAGATTGCGCCACTGCACTCCAGCCTGGGCGACAGAGCGAGACTCCGTCTCAAAAAAAAAAAAAAAAAAAAAAATTACCCTTTTTACGGTATTTGGTTATAGCAACCAGAACAGACAACAGACTGATAGTGATACAGAATATCTCTGGAATGATACAAGTTGGGGAGCTGGGTGGCCGAGGGCCAGGGTGTCAGGGAGACATTTTCTGCTGTATAACTGTTTGTACCTTTTGTATTTTATTTTATTTTATTTTATTTTTGAGACGGTCTCGCTATGTTGCCTAGGCTGGCCACAAACTCCTGGGCTCAAGCGATCCTCTTGCCTTCAGCTCCCAAAGTCCAAGGTTTACAGGCATGAGCCACTGCTCCCAGCCCTTGAATTTTGTACCACATGCAAGTACCTTCTATTCAAAAATTACTAAAATAGTAGATGTTACTAGCTTTACCTTAGTATAGCCTTAAAGCTCATATACTGACTGTAATCTTTAACTTTTCATGACTTTCTTTGTAATTTGGAGGCCCTTGGGAAGAATGATTTAGATAATACAGACCACTTGGACAAACTTGAAGCTTAAATTGTTTTAAAATGCACTTTTCTGTAAAAAAAAAAAAAAAAAAAGCATTCTGCACAATAGTGGGTGCTTAATAAATTTGTTGATGCTAATGGAAAACTTCTTCCATTTGAAAGGAATTTACCCTCATTTGTTAGTGAAAATGTTGTAACATTAAAGAAAATTAGAAATTAGAAAAATAATCATCGTATTATGACAGACTCAAATGAAAAGGACTTGGAAATTTTTTCCTTTCCAAAGGCTACATATGATCCCCTGTGGCAAAGTCTGGTGATTATGTTTTCTAGTTTTTTTGCTATTAGGAAGATGCGTCAATAAATGTCCTCATGAGTGTAGCCTGGATTCTTCTTTTGAATTATTATTTTTGGTTAAATTTCAAGGAGTGCTTTTACTACATCAAAGGACAAGACCACCACATTTCTGAACATTTAAAAAAAAAATACAGACTTGGTTGACATTTCCTCCCAAAGCATATCTGAAGGTCTCAGTTTATTCCAGGTTTCTAGTATGCTTACCCACAAGTACAGACAACTGGGAAATGGTGACCTCTGTAAGTCCTAATGGCTCCTCCTGGACCACAGGGCTAAATTAATTCTTTCTCCACAACTTTGGAGGAACTTTTTTTTTTTTTTTTTTTTTGAGACAGAGTCTGACTGTCACCCAGGCTGGAGTGCAGTGGCGCAATCTTGGCTCACTGCAACCTCCACCTCCTGGGTTCAAGCAATTCTCCTGCCTCCGCCTCCTGAGTAGCTGGGATTACAGGCGCCTGGCTAATTTTTGTATTTTTTGTAGAGATAGGGTTTCCCATGTTGGCCAGGCTGGTCTCGAACTCCTGAGCTCAAGTGATGTGCTCATCTTGGCCTCCCAAAGTGCTGGGATTACTGGTGTGAGCCACTGTGCCTGGCTGGAACTTTGTTGTTTTTTTTTTTTTTGGAGACGGAATCTTGCTCTGTCACCAGGCTGGAGTGCAGTGGTGCGATCTCGGCTCACTGCAACCTCCACCTCCTGGATTCAAGGGACTCTCCTGCCTCAGACTCCCCGAGTAGCTGGGACTACAGGCGCGTGCCACCACGCCCAGCTAACTTTTGTATTTTTAGTAGAGACAGGGTTTCACCATGTTGGCCGGGATGGTCTTGATCTCTTGACCTCGTGATCCACCCGCCTTGGCCTCCCAAACTGCTGGGATTACAGGCATGAGCCACCATGCCCGGCTCCAGAACTTTGTTCTTAATTAGAAATCAGGCCAGGCGCAGTGGCTCATGCCTGTAATCCTAGCACTTTGAGAGGCCGAGGTGGACAGATTGCCTGAGCTCAGGAGTTCGAGACCAGCCTGGGTAACGTGGTGAAACAAGATCTCTACTAAAAATACAAAAAATTATCCGGGTGTGGTGGCCTATGCCTGTAGTCCCAGCAACTCAGGAGGCTGAGGCACGAGAATCGCTTGAACCTGGGAGGCGGAGGTTGCAGTGAGCCAAAATTGCACCACTGCACTCCAGCCTGGGCAATAGAGTGAGACCCTACCTCAAAAAACAAACAAAAAAGAAATCAGTAAGAATCTTTCCCAGGTTATGGCACTCCAAAGGATGCTTAGAGGTAAGGACAGGGCTGTGTGTCAGGATGCTTCTCTCTCGGTAGAATGAATGCATACCTGGGTGCCTGGGAGAGAGCTCTTTCCAGCCTAAAGTCGTGCTGTACAGACTTGAGCTGCACCACACGTGTGGCCTACCCCATTAAGGACTGAGGTATGTCTGGAAGCTGGGGTTGATTTTTTTTTTTCTTCCCCCACAGCAGTCTTCCCTGAGCCATTGAAATAGCCTGGAAATACCAGCATGGAGTTTTCAGCCTATAGCTGTTATCACTGACTCTCGCATCCTTGTTTCTGGAAGTAACCCCAAATGCTTTTGCAGGATGACATGGGATTCCTTTGGAAAATAAAGTTACTTATTAGAGAATAGAGCAGAAGGGATCACAGATAATAAATTTTCCCAGACAGTCTCAATTTCCTGTGCTGCCTCATCAGACCATATATAAGTATAATCCTAAATTTTAAATAATTATTTTACTATAAATTGTGAAGTATTCTAAGCATTGAAATTACAGCAATTCATGTGACAGTACCCGTGTGCTCACAATATACCCTGATATTTTTATTTGGAAAATAAGGTGATTCCTGGAGAACAGGCTGTGTGTACAAGAGAAGTAACATGCAGGGTGAGATGAGATGGGATTTGGGTTCATTAGCCTCAGGGCTCCAGGAAGGAGGAAGGATATAGACTGGGAGAGGTGGAGAGGAAGAGAGCAGGGAACCCCTGCTCAGGGGGATGGCTTCGGCCTGTCAGCTGACTTAAACTTTGACCTCAGTTTGAAGTGGTCCAGGGCTCTAGAGCAGGGCTGCAGCAGGCTGGAGAAGAGGCCAATAAGTAGAAGGGCTCAAGCTCAGAAAGTGACACCTCCTGGGGGAGAAGATACTGCTTGTTTAAGTATTTGGAAACTATCCTATTTTTAAACAGTTTAACTTCTTGATGGGGGAGGATTTTTGTGAAAAATTCTCAACTTAAAGCAGTGGGTTGGGGGGTGTTCAGGCTTCATTGCAGTGCCTCTCGTGTGTGGCCTTTTCTCGAGATGGGGGCTATCACTGGTTTTCAGAGTGGGGTCCTGGGATCACTAGAGTTTATTAAGGTAGTAATGGGGGATTGAGAGAAAGAGGGCTGAGGGGTGCAGTGGCTCATGCCTGTAATCCCAGCACTTTGGGAGGCTGAGGCAGGCAGATCACTTGAGGTCAGGAGTTTGAGACCAGCCTGGCCAACATAGTAAAACCCAGTCTCTACTAAAAATGCAAAAAAAATTAGCTAGGCTTGGTGGTGGGTACTTGTAATCCCAGCTACTCGGGAGGATGAGGCAGGAGAATTGCTTGAACCCCGGGAGGTGGAGGTTTCAGTAAGCCGAGATCATGCCACTGCTCTCCAGCCTGGGCGACAGAGGGAGATTCTGTCTCAAAAACGAAAAAAAGAGGGCCTGGGTACTAATTATATTTCAAACAGTCTATACTCTAAACCACAGTAAGCAGAATAAGGCAGATTTCTGCTTACATTAAGCAGAATGAGGTAAAATTTCTTACCTCTGGCTGGAATTTTATAATACCGATTACTTCAGGTTGATCAGGAGCTTTCAGTAAGCTTTTGATTAATATGCACCTGCCTTCGTCTTTGCACTCAGGGTTTATTCTCTCATCCCTCACTCTCTTCCTGAAAATGCCCGCTTAGCTATTTTTATTTTTTAAATTAGGCAGCCTCCTGCACCGGAATAGGCTCAGAGAGATTCCCACTTGGCTCTGTTCTTCTGGTTCCCGCTCAAAAGAGACCTTCCCTATCCCCCCACATCTGGAATAGAACACTCCCCCACCCCACTCTGCCTTACTATTGACCCCTGTCACCCTGCTTGATTCTCCTCCAGAGCATTGACCATCCAGCTGG